>NC_000001.11:68341713-68644744 GCF_000001405.40 Homo sapiens | reverse complement strand
ATATCTGTAACCTTTACAATAGAGAGCACTGAGGCCAGTTAGCTGTTGTTTATCTGCTGCTTATTTTTAGTATGTTCTAGTCATTTGGCTATGTAGTCAATATTTTTTAGCAAAAACCTAGAGTGAGTCCACTACATGAGGGATAGTGAGGGAATAAAATAATGAGTCATTGTCCTTGCATAAGAATCCTTTATAATTCAGTGGAGAAGAGATAATATCTAAAGTATATAGACAGAAGCAATAATTAGAGCAGATTGATTCCAATTATAGACTCATCAGAGCCAAATGGGGTTAACCTGGAACAATATCACCAGGAAATCAAAGCTTGACTTGGTAACATTTATTCATGCATCTCTCCTTTATAGGTTAATGAAGGCAGGTTTTTAGAGCTAATCTCTGGAATAATAAAAGACTCAGAGTTTCTGTCACTCACTAGCTCTCAGAAGTTGAACCTGTTACTCAGACTTTCTATATATCAGTTTCTTCCTATGTAAAATAAGGTTAATAACAGTACTGACATTATTGGGTGAAGATTAAATGAGATAATGCAAATAAAATGCTTAGCATAATGTCTGGCAAAATATAAGCCATTAATATTCTTTATGTAATATTTATTGGAGATTTAATAGGTACCAGCCACTCACTATATGGCAAGAATACAAAGATGAATCCAAGAACACTGTATTGCTAAATCCTCTGCCAATAATTTTACCAAGGTAATTTTTGAAGCAGAAATAACTTCTATATTCACGTTTCCATGACTTGTAAGCTAGTCATGAGTTCTACCAAATTCCTCAAGTGTTAAGAATAAGAATGATTCAATGTTGAGAGGGCAAGTGAAAGAACAGCCTTAAATTAGACAATTCCAAGGAGGAGAATTAGTCTTACTGTTCTTATTAAAAACATAAAGCAGTCCCTCCTGCCACTCATAAAGAAATCTCTCATAACTGGTGGCTTCTAGTACCTAGAAAATTATGGGTTTAGAGTTTATACTGTTTAAACAAGACTAGTCTTTGTGAAGATGTATTTGAGCATAGAATAGGAAACCACCTATTCACAATAGCAAAGACTTGGAACCAATCCAAATGTCCATCAATGATAGACTGGATTAAGAAAATGTGGCACATATACACCATGGAATACTATGCAGCCATAAAAAAGGATGAGTTCATGTCCTTTGTAGGGACATGGATGAAGCTGGAAACCATCATTCTCAGCAAACTATTGCAAGGACAAAAAAACAAACACCGTATGTTCTCACTCATAGGTGGGAATTGAACAATGAGAACACTTGGACACAGGAAGGGGAACATCACACACTGGGGCCTGTCGTGGGGTGGGAGGGGGAGGGATAGCATTAGGAGATATACCTAATGTAAATGACGAGTTAATGGGTGCAGCACACCAACCTGGCACATGTATACATATGTAACAAACCTGCACCTTGTGCACATGTACCCTAGAACTTAAAGCATAAAAAAAAAGAAATACCTAATGTAAATGATGAGTTAACAGGTGCAGCACACCAACATGGCACATGTATACCTATGTAACAAACCTGCACATTGTGCACATGTACCCTAGAACTTAAACTATAATTAAAAAGAGGGGAGAAAAAAGAATAGGAAACCACCTTGAACTAAAAAGCACAGTTGTCTTAAGTGCTTCTCTGCTACATGGTTCTTCCTTATTGAAGCAAATGGGTATATGCAAAACTAAAAGATAATCCCCTAGTGGAAGAAGAAACAAACCCCAAGTGTGATATATGCTAAGCCTGTTATTTATATATTTTTGCCTATATGGAGAACGTTCTTTGTTTTTGTTTATGTAGCAATATTGGAAAAGCATATGTAACACAAGAAAACTAACATAACCCATAATAGATCTCAGTGCAGATATAAGGAAGTTTAAAACCAGATGTATGTCAATGTAGGAAAACCAAGCTAAGAAATTTTCCAAGACATTTTTCTTATTCATTCTCTCAGATCTACCCTAAAACTACCAATCCAAACCTTTAGCAAAGAGGTCAATATTTTTAACAATACCCCCGGGAATCATTATAAACATACACAGACTAGTACTGGATCACAAGTGTTTATTGGATATGCATAAAAATAATAAATAGATAACCCTTATTACCCCATATTTGCTACAAACACTTTTTCCACTTTTTACAGGTGTTAACTCATTTAATCCTTGTAGCTGTCCTATGAACTGAGTTCTATTATTATCCACATTTTACAGATGTGAGACAGGCACTGAAAGAATGTGACTTGCCAAAGCCCATCAAGTAGACTTTAATTCCTCATGTGGAGGTAATAATGATCACAAACATACCAACAGTGCTTCACTGTTTACAGTGTGATCTTGATTATCATTTTTCTATCTGAACTCTTAAAACACCATTGAAGTTAGTAGCAAAGTTATAAGTATGTTTGTTATGTAAATGAAGTCACTTCAGAAGTCTCGCAACTGAGCTCAAACCAGGCCTTCTGACCGTGTTCTTATTTCTTTCCATTCTGGTTTCAAAAATTCTTTTCAACCCTATTGTTCCAGAATCCTATGAAGTTGCAGAATCCTTTTTTTATATATACATATATATGTGTATGTATATGTATACACAGGCACATACACACACACACATATATATATATATATATCAAGCTCTTTTTGTGGATATATTACATATATTTTAACTCATTTAATTCTCACAATTCCATGGGTAAGTTCTATCTAGATAAGAAAACTAAAGAACTGAGAGATAAATAATTTGTTCAAAACATAGTAGGATTAGGATTCAAACCCAAGTAGCCTGACTCTAGAGACTGTGCTCTTAACCATTACATTATGTGGTCTCACAGAAAAAAAAAATCCTAAATGGTATTTATTAAAAAGAAATAAAAGTGTAAGTTTAAAATAGCACTTATGACTTGAAACACCCCTTGGAAACTAAAGTTAATAAATTGATCAATAAGTATTTATTGAACGTTTTCTTTGGGCAGGCATTATGATAAGCACTGCTGAAAATAGAAATATAATAAAATATTTTTATATTTTATGAAAAAATGTAAGCTATATCCCTCTTCACAAAAGAAGTTCACTCTAGCTATGGAAAATAGATTTATATATATATGTAAGTCATCTTCAACAAAATTTAAACAATCATGTTCATAACATAATAAATGCTATAAAAATTGCTTAGATATGGAATATAAAACCCAACAAAAGGAATTATGTGGAGGGAAGTCCTATTACAACTTAAACCAAAATAAAAATAAAAGTTGGTTCTTAAAGAAATAGCATCCATTTCATATAAAAACATAAAGAGCACAATTTAGCAATAGATTTGCCCTAAATCTCATTAATCCTTTTTTTAAAAGTACATTACTTTGTATTTGAGATCTATATTTGAAGCAACAGAGAAAAAAATAAGAGGTAAAAAGTGTCTGATATCTTTTACATAGACCTAAATTCTTTTAAACATCTGATTGCTGAAGAATTGTCTACAGAATTTAATGAGATGCTTGATTGCTACATAAGACCATTGCTGCATTATTTCTTGATGAGAACAGACTTTATGTCTACAATATTGATGAGAATACAATACAGTACAGAACATCAAAAGACTATGTGCAACCTTAGTCTAGTCCTTCCCTCTGGGTAAAAAGTATAGGCGTATATGCCTGCTCTTCCGGTATACTTCTCTTGATAGAGTTTATAGTAGAGAATCATGATAAGTACAAGGTCCATTAGTAACAAAAATAAAGGCAGGGTGGCAGTTAAACTGAACATCATTAGCAAACATCACACTAATTACTCATTTTGTTATTAGTGTTAACTGTGCTGCCAGTTAATTATATTTGAATAAGAAAATGACAATGCACACAGAAAAATTCAAACCACACTGAAACAAAAAGAATCACACTAGGGCATGGAAATCCACTGTAAAGAAGAAAACTTCTGTGTTAGGAAGCAAATAATCTGCAAGAGTCTTTTGCACCAAAGGAATTTTTTTCATGTAAGAAACATTCAGAAAATGTATACTATTATGCTAGACGCATAGAAATGTGAGAAAAAGAGACATAGTCCTCAATATTTAGGTTCACTTTTATTTAAAAAAAAACACATAAAGAGATAATTGTATTAGACATTGTGTTAAGCATTATAATAAAGATTGGTTCCTCATATGGAAACATGTGAAACTTAAGAGGAAACAACTAATCCTCTGGAGAAATTAGAAAAGGAATAAATGAAGAGATGACTGTGAGTAGCGTATTGAAAATTGAGCAAAAAATAAGCATGTGGAAAGAAAGAAAGCAGGGAAAATGAAACCCTGGAATCACACCAGGCTTTTCTCCTATGAAAAAGAAAGTTTGTTTGCAAGGTAAGTGACCAAAACAGGTGAGATTTCCTCTTTAATAAGAAAACATTTCCTGTGAAGGGCTGATTAATCCTGGCTAACATGCTGAAACAGCTCTGTATTAGCAAAAATCTTGAACCTTTCCCTCAAAGATCTTCAGATTGGTCAAAACTCTAGTCCTTTAGAAAGTAGGAAGGATTAAAATGCTATTGATAAAATTCACAGACGAACTGATAAAATGAAAATAGAATTATAAAGTACAAATTCTTTGCTAGAAATTATCTGCAGCAGGTATATTGAATGCTATTTTTATTGTGATGCAGGTCACAACCCTGCTGTTACTGCAGGGACTTCTGTGTTTGGACTAATCAGAATCTCATTTTTTTGGATAAATGATAGAATCAACAATCTTCAGGATAGTAGTTTTCCTAACAAAAAAAAATGCAAAGGTGTCTCTAAAGCAGAGACCTGCATGTTTAATCAAAATGACTCAGCCTGGGCAACATAGAGAGACCCTGTCTACAAAAAAATAAGAATAAAAATAAATGATCCAGGAGTGGTGGCACGCACCTGTGACTTCAGCTGCTCAAGAGGCTGAGGTGGGAGGATTACTTGAGCCCTCAGAGGTCAAGGCTGCAGTGAGCCGTGATTGCACGACTCCCCTTCAGCCTGGGTGACAAAGCAAGACCCCGTCTCCAGAAAAAAAGAAAAAAAAATGACTCACCCTCTTCAAGAGCAAAGGAGGCTGACAAGTGACCCTACAGGGGAACAAATATTAAGGAAAAGGATCAGACTGTAATTCTCTGAGGACAACCCCTCAGCTCTATGATATGCAAATCCCCTATGGGCACCTGGAATTCAGAGGGCATTCCTCCATCAAATGTATACTAATGAGTCCTGCAAAGATTCTCAAACTCTGGGCATTAGTCCCTTGAGCAAATCTGTCTGGGCAGTTGATGTCACATAGCATATTTATTAAATCAATTTTTAACAGACCAGATGGTGTTATTGTTGACAAAAACAAGTGATCCAGTGATTTAATAGAACATAAGAGATATAGATTTTTTTCTTTTATCTCCCAACTGCCCCTGGAATCCTGCTTTTGAAAATAAGATACACAAGGACAAATAATTTAAGTGATACTTTCTCTGGTTTCACAAACTACTAAAGAAGAGTGGTCTGAGAGACAGATGACAAGGTGACAATCCATTACTAAAAAAATGAAGAAAAACTCCCAGAAAACTATATTTGATGTTTAAAGCTTTAAAAAGCAAATGCCCTTCAGGAATAATTTAGTTGAAGAATGTGGATTGTTTGCTGAATTTCATTCTTCTTATTTTATGACAACAAAACCAGCAGCTTCCCCTTAATTTTGGGATACTGCTCCATTCACATCTCTTACTTTCTTTAATATAGAATAGGGTAAGTCTCTTTTGAACATCTCATCTCTTCCTGTCACCCACCCTTAGATTGATAGCAAGAAAAGCAATGTGCCTTAAAGTGAAATGGTCTCTTGACCTCTTCCAAATCCACCTTCTTGAATAGAATAGAAATCATTAGGTTTTATGTTTGAGTATTGACCTTAATATTTTTGAAAAATGAAAAAACATGCCATTTTTAAAGCAGTCAATAGCTTTTCTATTTCTCTAAACATTAAAGATTCTACTCATCTCTAGGAGAAGACCACATTTTCACTTTAGGATAAGACAATTTAAAACATAGTTTGGCTAGGTAAAAATAAGCAAGGAACCCATATGGCATGAAAAGCTGTGAATTATTAAGGTGCTCAGGCACTTTCCATGGACTGTCATTGGCTAAGTATTCATTG
Source organism: Homo sapiens (assembly GCF_000001405.40). Classification (NCBI taxonomy): domain Eukaryota; kingdom Metazoa; phylum Chordata; class Mammalia; order Primates; family Hominidae; genus Homo; species Homo sapiens. The sequence goes on along the minus strand of NC_000001.11, from coordinate 68,638,556 downwards.
CCAGTGATGTTTCAAATATCTAGAATTTTTTTCTTCTTTAGGATGCTGTTTTTCCTTTCTGAGGGCCTGAATTCAAATAGGAAGTGGCAAGATCTCTTCAAGATATTCCAACTGAGCAGTAGAGCAGTCTTTACAACATGGTAGAAAGCCAGACCCTAAGGAGACAGATGGCCAGTAGAAGACTTCTTATGGAGAGTCTTAGTATATGAGTCTGGGAACCATTATGTATAGTAGATCAGCTAGTTTTAAATTATTTTCTTCATTGTTGCTTCAGTTACTATGGTCACATAACAGATTGCTCTCACACTAATAAACATGTATAATATAAAGCAGCCATTTATTTTGCTCTTAGGTTTTATGGATTAAGAAGTCCAACAGGGTACAACAGAGGTGGCTTTTCTATGCCTTATAACGTCTGCGGTCTCAGATGGAAGACTCAAAGATGAGGAAGTGCAATCATCTAAAGACAGCTACCCTCCTATGTCAGGTAGTTGATGCCTGCTTCTGACTGATGGCCTCTCCTCTCCAAATGGGCCTTTCCATTAAGTCTCTCCAACATAGTGGCTTCAGGGTCATAGGCTTTTTTCACAGCAGCTCATGATTCCAAGGACATATGTCCTGAAACAGATAAAGAATGAAAGAAAGAGTTTGAGATGAGGGGAGTAAAGGATTATACCACCTCCTTTGACCTAACTTCAGAAGTCACAAAGCGTCATTTCCACTGCATCCTACATAACAGAAGCAAGTCAAAAAGAAGGATTCATTCAACAGAAAGAAACATACCGGCCCCCGCCTCTTGATGGAAGAGTGTGTAAACATTACTATAGCAAATACACTTTAAGGTGACTGCACCGAGACACACACTTATGTAATTCATTCTCCTTGAAAGTAGAACCAGAGACTTGCCTCTAAACTGTAAAGTATGGCAAAAACCTTGATTAGATTATGTTATGAGATAAATGTGGTGTTATGCTGCACCGTTAATTGGGCTATGTTTTATGGAATGAATCTTTTTGTTCACTCAAAATTCATATGTTGAAACCCTAACCCCCAATGTGATGGTATTTGAAGGCGGGTCCATTGGGGATGATTAGATCATGAGGTTGGAGACTCATTATGAGATTAGTGTACTTATAAGAACACTGGAAATCTCTATTTCTTTCTCTCTTTGTGTGTCCAAGGAATGATAATACTGCAAAAATGTAGCAGTCTGAAAGCCAGGAAGAGAGCCCTTACCGGAAACCAACCATAGTGCCACCCTGATCTTGGACTTCTGGCCTCCAGAACTGTGAGAAAATAAATTTCTGTCATAAAGTCACTCAATCTATGGTATTTTGTTATGACAGCCTAAGCAGACTTGTATGTTATATAGCAAAGATGATGTGATGTCACTGCCAGGATGATATGCCATATAAGACTCATCTTGATAGACTGGAAAGGAAAGTTCTCCTGGCCTTCAAGAAACAAGTTGCTTTGATGTAAACTGCCTGTAGATAGGTTCATATGTCAAGTAACTAGGTGGCTTTTAGGAACTGACAGGCTCAGGCCTAGAGTTGAAAGTTATAGAGGGAAAAACCTGAGCAAGCTTGGAAGTGACTTCTTTCCATCCAAAACCTCCAAATGAGAATGTAGTCCAGGTAATGCCTTGATTATTACCTGGTGAGATCCTGAAGCAGAAAACCCAGCTAAGGCATGCCTAGATTCTGATCAACAGAAACTGTGAGAGATAATAAATGGGTATTATTGAAACCACTAAATTTTTGGTAAATTGTTATTCAGCAATAAAAAACTAATACAATCACATCACATGAAGAACATGTAGGATGGTGTGGCCATCTTAGGAAAATGCAATCTGCCCTAACTGTTCATTCTTCTTTGCCCATCCATAAATCTTTAGTAACCTGAGATGGACATTGCAGTTCAGGCTCAATTATGCAGTGGGAAATTAAGGAATGAAATTGTGTCCCCACTTGCAGCAAAGTAGTTTAGAGGAGAGTAGCGGCATAGGAAGAACCATTCCCAAGACCCCAGTAAGTAACTTGCAGAACATTGGAGCAAAGGCCCACAGCTAGAAAGCTGGGTGAAACAGCAAACTACATCCAGACAGCTTTGTGGAATATGTGAAGTGAACATGTTCCTCAAGAATTCTAGGACATGATTAGAGTTGGGAACCTGGTAAAATGGCAGGACTTCTGATTTCAAGTGTATTTGAGAATCAGACTTGTTATTTGGGTAGTGAAGGGGAGTGTAATTTCTAGACTATGGCAAAGTCTATATTGCATGGGTCACATATGTGTGGCATAACAAGACTAGACATATTACAATGCCCCACTTTTTGCAGAAATCATGGATTTTTTCCCTTCTTAAATTCAATTATGTTTAGTTTAATCTTTTGCTCATCATTTGCTGACAACTGAAGAATTTAAATCCCTTTTCAATCCAATGTGTCTTTATATTTAGAAATAAATATTTAATAAACATATGCTATGAACTTGGCTAAAAGTACATAGACAAGACTGTCCTCAGTGGGGAAACCAAATATATTCATCAAACACAACAAAATGCAAACATATGCATTTTTCACAGTTCCTGTTACTTTACCCAGACAATTTTCTTATTGCATTAAAACAAATAAAAAATAGCACCTTTGTATTTTCTATTTGGAAAAATATAATAATGATGATGATGATCATAAAAGTATTAAATGTTATTGGACATATTTTGTGGCCAGACATTGCTAAACGTATATGCATTATCTCTTTTAATCCTCACAACTCTTTGAGGTAGATACTGTTATTTTCCAGATTATGGATGAGAACATTGAGAATTAGAGACTGCTAAAATTACCTAAGTGGCCCAGTAAGTAATACAGATAGGATTGAAGCCCATTCTGTTTGATTTCAAAATTCATATTTTTAACTCAACCATGCAATGTCTTCTTTTCATACTCAGAATCATGTAGATGAATATGAAATCTTAAAAGTCATTTAATCTTACTGCTCTTCTAAGATTCTTTTATAAGTGATTCATTAAAAAAATGTTCTCAGAAGAAACCTGCAAGGGTGTGAAGCAGGACAGGACAGAGGAAGAAATTAGGCATACATGTGGTTTCAGGAGAATTTCAGTCACAGCCTGGTCCTCTGGGGGGCTTTTATATCAGAGCTGGTCTTTCCAACAGCAAGGTTACTGGGCTGTTACACCCCCACATCAGGCAGTCATTGGCTGCCTGGAGTTAAGGGAAAGCGTAAAGGGAGAAAGAGGGGAGAGGGCTAAAGGCATCTCCATGGAAGGTGGCTCCTATCAGCTTAGGAAAATCCTCAGAAAAAAACTACAGGTGTGTGTCATTAGCAGCCAACACCTGTAGCAGCCGGGGTTGGTTTCAGGGCCTGCTAAAGGGCAAGGCTCTAACAACATTGATAAATCTGCCAAGTATTTGGCCAATCCCTGCTTGAATACCTTCAAGTGAGAAAGAACTCCCCATAACTCCCTCTCCTCCACCCAACGAAGTAGTCCATTACAATCCTCAGAAACTTGGTTAGAAAATTCTTCCTTTTGTTGGATGTGGGAATAACAAAGGGAGGTCATTCCAAGACAGCATATGCAAAAGCACAGAGTGTAAAAGAGCATGATGGTGTATGTTGTTCTGTAGCTAGTACTATGTTTTGTGGTGGTTAGAACTTAAGGTGTGGAAGTAGAAAAATGGAAAAGATGAGTTTAGGAAGATGGTTATAGGCAAGATCATCAAATAATGAAAGACAAACTTGCCTCACTAAAAAGTTGTGATGATGGCACAAGGTACAACTAAATGAGTTTTAGCAGAAGAGACAAATGATAATCTCTTTTAGAAAGCCAACCTGCCAGCAATAAAGAGAGCAACCCTACCTCGTTCCTTTCATGTTGTGGGCTTTCACATCTATGTTTTCTCTGGACTTCTTCAAGGACAGGATGCTTGCATTGTGAATGCCTAAAACAATAAATGATTATGGAACTGAAATGAAGTGAACTCATCATAAATAAGAGAAGCCATTACAAAACTCCTGGTGAGATATGTCACAGGTCTCAGTCAGGAGACAGCATTTCATAGCTCACAGGCCTAACCAGGCCCACCACCTGTTTTTGCAAATAAAGTATTATTAGAACACAGCCACAACAGTTTGTTAACATATTGTCTAGGTTGTAATCATACTATAACAGCAGAGTTGAGTTGCAACAGAGACCATATGGCCTGTAAAACCTAAAATATTTAGTATTTGGTCGTTTTGCCTGTAAAACCTAAAATATTTAGTATTTGGCCCTTTTCAGAAAAGGTTTGCCAATCCCTGGTCCACAGTAAAGCAGTAGTAATATATGTGAATAGGTAAGATAGATGGAAATGATATTTAGAAGCAAAAATCAATTGGAGTAACCACTACTCACTTCTCCTATTTTTATTTCTTCATGCCATGTACGCATTAGACGACATTATAAATATGTATGAAGTCTTTCCAGCATTCCACAGCCTCTTTTGACAATTTCTACTTATTCTGTCACATTTAAATTAAATCATCATTTCCATAAAGACCCCTACACTCTGAAGAGCACATAGCAGAGTACACTCACTCCTCCTAGTTCTATTTCTTCATGCCACATAGGCATTAGAGGACATTATAAATATGTATAAAAGCTTTCCAGCATTCCATGGCCTCTTTTGACAATTTCTATTTTCTATTTATTCTATCACATTTAAATTAAACCATCATTTCCATAAAGACCCTTACACTCTGAAGAACACACAGTAGAGTCCACTCACCACACAGGCCTACCGATCCAAAACAGAATCAGTACCCCATTCAGTCCACTTAGAATGAGATCATCCTGCAATAATGGGACAGTATCAGCCCTTATATAAATCTGCTAAAATGCCCCCAACTTTTAAATCACTGTGACGCTTTTGTTTTCACTGCAGGCCTTCAGAAACGGCCTAAATCTTTTTTCACTTCATTAAGCAGCTCTGTACCAAAGTCCTCTAAAAACTTTTCATCAGAAAATTCCCCATAAGGCCTAAAACTTCTTTTCCCATCTCTATGTGGTTGGAACATAAAAGATTGCAATTCAAAGAAAAAGTAAAGAACTGTCATGGTCCTTTTTGTTGGTGTTAATCTCTGAACAGCAGATTTAGGACGACTATTTTTTTCTAGTTCCTGGTTCTCCACTTCCTGTTTGAATATCCACTACAAAGTGTCAGTAAAATGTATTTATAGGACACAGTGAACCAGTTGCTAGGCCTTTTGTATAGGACTTGAAAGATAAAGGCAAGTTCCTGTCTCTTAAAAAAAAAAGTAATCTGCAGCCATAGAAACATCTAATCTTAGTCATAGCACCAACACCCCCACATGGGCCAAAAATACAATTCAGAATAAAAGTTGCTTATAAAAAATGGATTTTTTAAAATCACACCTTGAATAAAAAACCAATAAGGAAAACTTTTCCTACTTTCCAGGGAGGAAATTAAGAAAAACAAAACAACAAATGGTGTACTGGTATTTTTATATTTGAAGATTATTTGCCTCAAATATTTAGTTGCTGTCACTATTTGGAAGAAAGTACAGTTTAGCCTTATCATACACAATGCACCAAAATAATTTTCAAATTAATGAAAAATTTAAACGTGAAGATAAGCACAAATATACAGAACTAGAGGAAAATATAAATTACTATCTCTCTGGCTTTAGAATGGCAAAGAATATGAGTCAAGATAGAGTCTATGAAAGACAAAGTGATACATTTAATATATAAAATCTATATTTTTCTGAATATGTTAAAATAATATTCAAAATTATAAAACAAGTAACCAACACGGAAAATGTTCCAATGAGTCTGACTACAAGTTTCTTCCTTTTAATTCTGTAAGAAGCAACACGTGAAGATATAATTTTAAAAAATATTTATAGAATACAAAGTCATTCATAAAGAAGGAATACCAAATGGTCAATATTAAATATATTTTAAAAATCATTCTTACACATAAATAAATATAAACTAAAACAGCAATAAACTATCTTTTTGCCTGTATTTTAGCAAAAATATTTTATTTAAAAGAAGACACAAATTTACTAGTTAAAATGTTTTTGGTCGCGAATAACAAAATCACTTCAAATTAACTTCATGAAAAATGAGTGGACTCTCAAAATTTGTCAAATTCAGAAGTAGATTTGTTTTTAGGCATGATTTAATCAGTGATCCAGCTCCAGTTCTAATACTTGAGATCTGTTCTATCTATCTGCATTGTGCTTAAGGTGGCTACCATTATGGAGGCAAAATGGCCAGCTCCAGTAATTCCAGGAGTCAGCTTCTTAGCACGTCATTGGGAAGAAGTGTGCCACTTTTCTCAACCAGTACACTCCTGACATCCATTCTGATTGGATAAATTTAGGTCATGTGACCAATTCTTAACTAATCATCACATCCAGGGAAATGGCACCTTCCAATTGGATTAGGTCTGTGTTAAATACTCGTGCCTGGATCAATCACTGTAGAAAGGGAGGTTGGCTTAAAGTACTCAGGGCCATCCTTGGCACCAAGGTAGGGTAAATCCTCTTCAAATTATGTAAGGAGGAAGGAAAAAATAGCTGCACTGAGGCTGTACAGAGAAGCATGCACAGTTAGGCACAGTGGGTGAAGCAATGAATTATTTCTGTGTATGGAAAAATTGGACTATACATATAAAAGCCTTGAAAATATGTGTACCACGTTTGTCCCAGAAATACCAGATCTTGAAATTTATCCCAAAGGAATTATTACGGTTCATTACAAAGATTTATCTTTCAGGATGATTTAGGGTGGCTGAAAATCAGTGCCTGACAAAGGAAAAATAAATAAATTACAACACATGAATACAATGCTATATTATGCAACCTTAAAATATAAAATTCCAAAAAATATTACTAACAAGTAAAACTGTTTAAGATATATTAAATGACTGACTTCAGGTCACAAGAAATTATTCTATTTTTATAAAAAGAATATACACATATGTGTAGTCATTGAAAAAGACTTAAACATATCAAAATTTTAATAAAGAGTTATCTGCATATAGTGGAATTGTGGATAGTTTAATTTCCTTTTTATGACCTTCTACATTTCATAAATTTTATTCATGCATATGAATTATTCCAGTAATGAGAAACATTCATATTTAGTTTTTAAAAAATAATAAAACAAATCCACATTTTTTAAAAATGTGATGGGGACTATGACTTTAAGAATGTATTCATGAAGAATTCGAAGAGTCCACAATTGCAAGTTGAGAGGAAGCCCACATAAAAGCAGAGCTCTAGGAATGAAATCTTTAAATAATCTGCTTTTTATCCCTGGAGGAGCACCAGCATTCACACCAACCTTTAGTTAAGCAGCCTTAGCCCACGTGAGAACCAATGTGCTGACTTCAACCATAGTGACTTTCCTACCCTCTGAAAAAGGGCTTTGGGTAAACAAAGAACTATCAAACCTCGCAAGAAGGCTTTCCAACTCCCTGAGGAATCCCCCTTTGAGAATAAACACAAATACTCATTTATAGATCTGTGCAAGTGATGGCTAATGGCTCAAAATTGCACTGTGTATAACTCCATCTGCACTGTATGTAGCTTCAACTTTCATGTAAGTGATCCAAAGAGCAAAAGTTGGTGTGGCCTATGTGAAAATGTATGTGCACTGAGCTACAGGACTAACCATCTTAATTGAATTGAATAATTTTTTTAAAGTCAGCTAAAGGATAGCTACATTTATTGGTTGCATTTACTGATATATCATAATATAGGCAACAGACCATAGGAGGAGAATATGCATCACTTAAGGGAAAACTGCAGGGTTGAAATGTGTATAGCACTGGATGATGTGAGATGATTCCACACATATATGCCGTCTGCACACAGTTGATCCTAACTCCATTGCTGCAGAATAAACCCTGTTCTCCAGCAACATAAGACAAAATTACCTCAAGTGAAGAAAAGGGGAGAGAAAAGCAAAAAGGATGAAGGCAAAAGTTTGTTCTTTTGATTTCTGATTTAAGGGAGGACTGAGTGCAAAATTCAAAGCATTCTTTTATTCAACATCCAATTAATATTTGTTCAGCATATGGAAGTTAATTAAATGAATGAAAATCCCTGCCTTCATGGAATATACATCCTAGTGGATACACAGGCTATGTACAAAGTCTAAAAAAGCTTCTTTGGTTTTTGTTTTTTTCTGTTTTTTTGTTTTTTGGGTTTTGTTTTGTTTTGTTTTTGTTTTTGTTTTTGTTTTTGTTTGAGACGGAGTTTTGCCGTTGTTGCCCAGGCTGGAGTGCAATGGCGTGATCTCAGCTCACTGCAACCTCCCCAACCTGGGTTCAAGAGATTCTCCTGCCTCAGCCTCCTGAGTAGCTGGGATTACAGGAATGTGTCACCATGCCTGGCTAATTTTGTATTTTTAATAGAGACAAGCTTTCCCCATGTAGGTCAGGCTGGTCTTGAACTCCCGATCTCGGGTAATCCACCTGCCTCGACCTCCCTCTTTCTTTAACATTAAGTGAGAACGAAAACAGAGAATTGAGTGTCTGAGAGAGGCAAGGCAGGACTTAATGAGATATATGCTTGGTTAAGATGAAAGCTTAAAAGCTTATTTTGTCTGAAGAGGAAAGGAGAAAGGCAAATTTGCTGTAAAAGCCTAACCAGAAATGTATCTTTGGTTCTCCCTTCTATTGCCCTCACTTAATTACTGGGCCCTCTTTTTTTGCTCCTTAATACCAACCATTCATTTAGATGCCTCTAGTCAATAGTGTAAGAAAGAATTAGACATGTTGTATATTTGCTCTCTATGGGTTGTGTTGTGCCTATCAGCATCTGACCCATGCTGGAGACTATTAAGGGAGGAAGGGATGAATGCCTGGATGGATGGATGGATGGATGGATGGATGGATGGATGGATGGATGGATGGAAAGATGGATGAATTTTTGCAGGGGACATAGCTTAATAAGTGAAAAAATAAGTGAATGAAAAAGTAAAACAATAAATGAAGGAATTAACAAAAGAATAATTAGGTAAAGCAGGGGAAAAGACATAAAGGTGCCTACAGAAAGCTTATGAAGTCGAAAAATGGTGAAGATGGGAGTGAAATAAAAAGAAATAATACCGTAAAGGTGTGACTGAGGTGACAAAATTGCAGGGGGAGGAACAATAAATAAAATTGTAGAGCTAAGTCTCAAGGAAAAGGGAAAAAAATCACAACGTGCTTAAAGATGAGCAGAGGAGCCAGGGGAGAGGTTAGAGGATCAGCTCTGACTGCAACCTTGAATCTCCAGGCAGTGAGAACTTTTCTGCTTCTGCAAGCAACAGGCACTGGGGGCTTCCCTGAAAGTGGTGTTAGGTATTCATGCATTAGAGGAACGCATAGAAATATTATAAACTCTTGTTAAGGTCTCAAACGTTGTGCACTTCAAGTTGAGATAAATTATAGTTATTCGGCGGTAACCTTCATTATTATTTGACAAAAATGTATATCCTTAAATATTGAAAAAAATATAAATAAAAAATTAAAATTACCTATAATATCCCACCTTCAGAAATAATATTTTAAGAGCTTTATACTTCTTTAATACGTGTATGTGCATATATATGTGTTTAATAAAATATTGATTTAATCTATTTAATTACATTAGTTTAATATATTTAATATTTTGATAGTATACATTATTTAAACAGCTCAATATTATCTATATGCTTTCACATATAAACACAAAAGCAAATATATGTTTATTTTATTTTATTTTATTTTATTTTATTTTATTTTATTTTATTTTATTTTTGAGACAGAGTCTCACTCTGTCACCCAGACCAGAATGCAGTGGAGTGATCTCGGCTCATTGCAGCTTCTGCCTACTGCGTTCAAGCAATTCTCCCACCTCAGCCTCCTGAGTAGCTGGGACTACAGGCATGTACAACCATGCCCAGCTTTTTTTTTCTATTTTTGTAGAGATGGGGTGCTGGGATTACAAGTGTGAGCCACCGCACCCAGTCATGTATATGTTTTTAACCTGCCTTTTTCAATTAAATATATTGTAAATATTTCTGTGTTAGGAAACTGCCTGTGGCATTATAATATTGTGTCACCATACTATTTTATTTTATTAATGTACCATAATTTATCAATCAATCCTCTATTGTTGGAAAATTAGGTTTGTTTCCCAATGTTTTGCTATTTAAAACAAAGTAATTTGATTATGTTTTCCTTCATACTGTTTTATCCTATAGAATAAAGTGCTACATTCTTATGGCTTTATCATTGCACATTGCTCCTGATTATATCATTATTATAAAATCCTTGTGCTGAAATTGCTTAGTCAAATCAAATTCAAAATGCTAAGGCTTTTGATGTGCATATCAATCACAGTGTCTTCAGTTACCATTTACTGAAAAAAAAAAAGCCTCAATCAATGGAATGGCTTAAATAAAGCCTTTTTAATGTATCTCATAAATACAGTCTAGAAATAATTCAGGTCACAGAATTGGTTTTCTCCAGTAGCACAACAATGCCACCAAGAACCCTGCTTGTTTTGGTCTCCTGCTCTGCCTACAGTGCTATGAGCCTCACAGATACAAAATGGGCTGCAAATTACTCTTAGAAGTACACTTTTACTCCTTGAGGCTCAGAAAATAAAACACATTTTCCCCAATTCTCAAACAAAAGGCCTAAACTTCACGTTGGATGAATTTGGGTCATGTGCTCATTCCTGAGTCAACTGCTTTAGCAAGGGAGTTAGATGGTATCATTAATAGTCCCACAAATACTATGAGTTCAAGTTTCCTCCAGCCTTCACTAACATTGAGAATTAATCTTTAAAAACCACAATAAAATCAAAAGCTGCCAACTTGGTAGGTAAAAGGAGTAGACCGTTATTCTCTTCTTTTTCTCTTTTTCTTCCCTTTCTTCCTTCCTTCCTTCTATTCATCAGTTTGAACTTTTCAGTGGTGAAAGCCTGGACTCTAAAATCACATGGTGTTTATTTGCATTTTGTTTCTCTGCATAGAGTTGTGTCATATTAGATAAGTTAGAGAAATTCTCTGCAAAACAAGAATAATAATAGTAGAGCCTCCTCCTTGGGGTTCTCATAAAAATAAAATAAAATAGTAATAAAAAACTGGTAAATGTTAGGTCTTATTAACAATTATAACATTATTTTCATAATTAAATTATTGTGAATTACATATTCATTCCTGTGCTCACTTTTCTGTTGGGAGTAGTCATTTTAACAGTAAAAAGAAGGCTTTATTTTGTTGTTTGAAGTATTTATTTTCTTATTTAAGACATGTATATTTCGGTACTCATATTTTCTTCATTCGTTAAAAGACAATGCCTACAGACCCTGGCCATGAGTGTCTGAAAAACTAGAAAGAGTAAAAAAATCAATCGTTGATGAGAGGGTGAGAAAATATTGGCTTAAATATTTTTGAACAAGAAATCCCTTTCCATCTCCCAAATACTTTGCAAATGAGGCACTGGTGTTAACACTATAGCTCCCTGGAATCTATACTAGACTTTCTTCACTATAGCATTTCAGATAAAAGTGCCAGCTATGATAGTTAAAGGAATGACAAATGCCAAAATGAGTTACCATAAAGACATTACAAGGGCTCACACCTGTAATCCCAGCACTTTGGGAGGCCGAGGCAGGCAGATCACCTGAGGTCAGGAGTTCCACATCAGCCTGGCCAACATGACGAAACCCTGTTTCTACTAAAAATACAAAAATTAGCTGGTTGTGGTGATTCATGTCTGTAATCCCACCTACTCAGGAGGCTGAAGCAGGAGGGTCGCTTGAACCTGGGAAGTGGAGGTTGCAATGAGCCAAGATTGTGCCACTGCACTCCAGCCTGAGCGACAACAGTGAGTAATAAACGTTATTTGTTAGACTTTTCATTAGTTCTAAAAATAATTAACTGTAAATCTCAGCCTCTTATAATATAAATATTTTTAACAAATAAAGGGAATGTTTTAGGGGGAAATATACATAATGAAAGAAGCTTCCCATTCACAAGTTATGAATACTCCTGTCCTGACATAGGAGGACTAGCTTAGTTTACAGGAACCTTATATGAAGCCCTCTCTCTAACTGGGAATAGAAATGACGATTTTTAGTTTGTTCAACATGTAGTGTGGTTCCTGTCTGAGTGGTGTTATTTCTGGCACCCTGATGAACCACTGTTAGGATTGGTCAAACAGGATCCAAGCCCCCTTCTTCCCTTTCAGATATTTTCTTCCTCTGGCATTGGTTAGGAGAAAGAGCCTCTTTCTTCCACTTTATCAGTTCTTTGATTCCTGACAAGTAAGGCCTATTGGAAACAAACTTGTTTTAGCTGTGCCCCTAAAATCTCCCACCCTGCCCCCTACATGCATGCCCCAGCTACATTTCCAATGGGTGTTGTTCAACCCTCATTCTTCCTTATCCCTCATGATATATAAATGGTGATTATGAAAAGCTCTCTATTGTGCAAATGGTCCTTATTGTCTTAAGCTTTTTTAAAAAAACCTGTCTTTTGAGAAAGTGGGAAGGTGTACCCTGTTCTCCAATATTTGGCAGTGTTCATTTTAACTGAATCACTTGTTAGGGCAAAATTGCTATAACCTATAATAAATGTTAAGATTGTCAGATGCATACTTATACTGAATTAATATTTTATAGCTCCTCAGCCCTGTGTGGGTTGGCTGTTCTACTGGAATGCTCTAGCACCATGGAAACGCTGGGAGATATTTTCTCTTAATTGTAAGAATGTTTGACAGATAACAGTACAGTGCCATGGAATTAAACTTTATTGCTGATGAATTCTGATTACTTTATAACCTGATTCTATTAGATGAGGTTTTGTTTTTGTTTTTCTTTTTAAGCATTGAAACACCTGTCCTTGTCCATAATCACTTTTTAAAGACTTAGTAAGTATTGTATTACCTATATAATTATCATCAGGTAGAGAAAGATATCCAGTTTTTTTAAAAATTAAAAATTATCTCCATTTTTTTAAAGCCCAACCTGTGAACTATGAATAAAATCTTTTTAGATAACTATTTCTTTAAAGAAGAAGAAAGAATCCTGCTAACATCTTTCTATGGCTAAACTATAATTTTAGTCACAATTATGTTAGCCTTAAATTCTAATGCTAAAAGATATTGGGATTTAGCTAGAAAAAAAATGTGTGATCCTAAAAACAAAATATATATGTATTATGCATTATTTGTTATTTATGTCTAAGAGAAACAGACTATGCTTCCATTCTTCCAGTCCAATGAAAAAAAATTCTTATTTTTCTAAGCTTAATACCTGTGAACCAGTTGACTCAGTCTTACCCTAAAACACTTTTGGCTCTTGTCAGTCAAGTTTATGATGGAACCTAAGCATCCTAATCCTTAGGCAGAGCTTCGTGGAAGAACAGGTAACTGCTAGGCTTGTTCTTTCTTGCTTGTCTCTTTTCTCAAAATCACTTAAGAAAGTCCAAGAAGCTGCTTATAGCCAACTAATTAAAGCCCTTTATTTTGTTCCTTCATGGTGCTGTGAAAAGCAATGGGAGGATTTCTCTCTGAGCTCTAAAACAATAAAGTCTTTCATTCATCATCTGCCCTCCCCTGGGGTCCCTCGTCAGCACCTGTCTTCACAGATCTGAGAAGTGGAGAGTAGCTAAGAAAGCAACATTCAAAATATCCAGTTGAAGATTGGTAGAGGAAACACGTGGCCACCTTAAAAATGTTTCTCCTACCACAGAGAGTTTACTAAGGAAAGAGATTTTTTTCCAGTTGGGAGTAACTGAAAAGGTTTGTAGCAAAGAAGACACTTAAGTAGGATGTGCACTTGTGCTTTGGGAGTAGCAAACCCAAGGTGGAAGGAGAAACTCAGCAAAATGTGGTAGGCAAAAAAATTGGTCCCTGGAAGTGTCTATATCTTAACCCCTACATTATCTTACTGGGCAAAAGGGACTTTGAAGAGTGATTAAATTAAGGGAATTGAGATGGGGAAATTATCCTGGATTATCTAAGTGGGCCCTAAACATGGTCACGGTCAGGATAGTTCTTCTAGGAGGGAGACAGGAGTGTGAGTCAGAGAAGGAGACAGGAGAACAAAAGCAGAGGTCAGAGTGATGCAATTGCTGGAATGTGGGCAGCCTCTAGATGCCAGAAAATGCAAACAGACAAATTCCCCACAGCACATCCAGAAGAAACACAGCTCTGCCAACACCTTGATTTTAGCCTACTGAGGCCCGTTTTCCGCTTCTGACCTCTAGAATTATAAGATAATAAACTTGCATAGTTTTAAGCCCCCAAATTTGTGTGTACTGTGGTTGCAGCAGCAATAGAAAACTAATACAAAAAAGTAAAGTGTGGGCTATTTGTGAAGAATATTAAATACTTCAGAGTAGACAGTGCGTAAGGACATTCAATGGAGGAAAAGATGGGAAGAATAATCACAAACAAGAATAAGGATAACATTTTGTTGTCCACTTAAAGTGCTTTCATAGTCATTGTTTTAAAAATATGATTCCCTTAACAACCTTTTAATCCAGGCATTATGATACTCTACAACTTCAAGATGAAGTAGCTCTGGCTCGTGGAAGCTAATTGCTTTGCCCAAGTTCACAGTTTGGTAAGCAGTAGAATTGGGCAGCAGCCAAGGTCTCCCAACTCCTCACCTCTTTCTCCTGCAGCACGTCACTCATTCATATCAGGGCAACTAAATTTAGAAGGGCTTCAATGTCAGGCCAAAAGGTGTAAAGTTTATTCTCCAGCAATAAATTAAAGGTTTTTAAGCATGGAATGACATAATTAATTAATACAACAGCATAATATAAAGTAGATCAGAGAGGGGTAGATAAAAATCTAGAGACAAGTTACACTAAAAGAATAATCCAGGAAATAGGAAAAGAAGGCCTGAACTAAAGCCAGCCAACAGAATGGAGAGAAGGTGGGGAGGGGATGGGGGCAGATGGAGAGAGAGACAAGAATTCATCATTTTGATTATTACCAATGAAAAAGTTATGATTTTCTAATATGTGCATATCTTTTAGACAACAAATTCGTGTACATTTAAATAGGATTTATAGATATAAATTATGATTTCCAAAATAAAAATTAAGCTTTTATACCTACATCAGACTATTTGACTTTTTACCTTTCCACTTCAGAAGATGGCAAAATTTTTGCTTAAAAAGATGAATCCCAATACCATATTTTTACAGTAATCCCTGACTTCTTTTTGTCTCATGAGGTCAACTATCTGATCACCAGTGAAAACTGAGAATAAAAAAGTGCCACTCTGTTATTCTCACAGTAATGGCCATATACTTTCTAAATCATCACCTTTCTGACAAGTATTTCTTGACCCCATCCATCTCTCACTCTATTACTTGTTTTCTATTCCTTTTGTATGCTGTTGTTAAGCTGCGAAAAATACCTTTGCATGGATGTCCTTGTTATATATCTGAAATATTTGCTGCTGCATTGTGACATATTATTTATTGCTGGTATTCATCGGTCAGTTCTCATCGTGCCCATTTTTCAATATTTGATTGCCTTTTATGACCTTGATTCCTAGAAGCTTTCATTAATTTTTTCCCTTTTACTTCAAAGATTTCAGAATTCTGATACTGCCATGGTAGGCTGAATATTGGCCCATCAAAGATGTTCATGACCTAATCCTCAGAATCTGTGCATATGTTACCTTACACAGTAAAAGAAATTAAGATTGGGCAAATGTAATGAAGTTAAGAATCTTGCTATGAGATGTTATCCTGGCTTATCCAGGTGAGTTCAATGTAATCACAAGTGTTCTTATAAGTGAAAGAGAGAGGCAGAAGGAAAAAGAAAGAAGGAGACAACAGAAGCAGAGATCTGAGAGGAGTACAGATGTTATGTTGCTGAGTTTGAAGATAGAGGAAGGGGCCATGAGCCAAGGAATGCAGGGAGCTTCTAAAAGCTGAAATAGGCAAGGAAACACATTTTCCCCTAGAGCTTCCAGGAAGAACACTCTGGAAGTCCTGTGATCCCATTTTAGACTTATGAACTCCAGAACTGTAAAACTGTTGTTTTAAGCCACTAGGTTTGTGATAATTCATTACTGCAGCAATAAATAACAAACATATTGGCCCAACAGCAAAAAAAGAAATCCCAAATGTCTCATCTTTTTTTTTTACATTTTCAAGTTGAGATAAGAAATTCGAGTACCTCAAAAAAGTACTCTTAAATGGTGTCTCATTAGTCTAATTAATTATTAGCCATTACTGTCCTTCCTCAGTCACAAAAAGCAAACATTCTCACTAATTGTTTCATCTTGCAATGTCAGTTTTGAAAAACTGAAAACCATAATCCATTTCATAACCATATAAGAAATAAGTAATTTAAAACCTATTCAGAACTTCATATGTGGAATCACCAGTCCTGTGTGACTGAAAACTATTCATGCCTTCTGATCTAGAAGAGTCATTTAGAAAATTTTTATGAGTTTAAGAGAAACACCTAATGTAGATGACAGCTTGATGAGTGCAGCAATCCACCATGGCACGTGTATACCTATGTAACAAACCTGAACATTCTGCACGTGTACCCCAGAACTTAAAGTATGATTTAAAAAAGTGAAATTAAAATGTTTTTAGTCAAATAATTGAAAATAATTATTTTCAATAATTATTTCAATAATTATTTTCAATAATTATTATCAGTAACTGCTATAATTAAAAATAATATCAAAAGCTTTAATATTATAAAAGTGATATATTAGGTAACCCACACTTCCTTCAATATTATTCAAAATAAAATCCTGCATTCCCTTCATTCCAACACAAAAGAGCAAGATCTAAAGTTTACTTAGAATCATTTCTGATCCCAAATTGCTAAGAGAAAAAAAGGAAAAGAATTGGAAAGCAAGCATGAGAGTGATGGACAGGTAGGAGAAGAAAGATAAAGAGAGGCATGATGATCACATTCAGATTCTCAGAAATATCTTGATCTAAAAGTAACGTCAACTTCTATTTACTCCTATACTCAACCAAAGGGAGATACAGAGTAACACAACACAAACATTCCTATAGACATGTCTAGCTTGGAAGACTTGAGGAGGAGAGTGGGATAAACCTTAACAGTTTTCAAAAGCTAAGGAAAACATTTTAGTGAAATACCATTACTGTCTTTCACTTTTATCTTCACATTGTGCCAACTTCACCCCATCTCTCTCCATATCTCCCTACCTCTCACAATAAGGGCAAAAGGAAAACAGAGAAGAAAAAAATTAACATGTTTTGCATGCCTATTAATGTCAGAGAAAATGCAAGATTTTTTTTTTTTTGAGACAGAGTCTCACTTCATAGCCCAGGCTGGAGTGCAGAGTGGTGCATTCTTGACTCACTGCAACCTCCCCCTCCCTGGTCAAAGCGATTCTCTTGCCTCAACCTCCTGAGTAGCTGGAGCCACAGGCATGTGCCACCACAATTGGCTAATTTTTGTGTTTTCAGTAGAAATGGGGTTTCACCATATTGGCCAGGCACTTACAAAGAGATGGTTTGGAACTGGAACTTATGTTTAAAACGGAAACAGAGCATGAGAGTTTGGAAGATTTGCTGCCTGACGATGCAATAGAAAAGAAAAACCAATTTTTCTGAGGAGAAATTTAAGCCAGCTGCAGAGATTTGCATAAGTAATGAGAAGCCAAATGTTAATCTCAAGACAATGGGGAAAATGTCTCCAGGACATGTCAGAGGTCTTCACAGCAGTCCTTCCCATCACAGGCCTGGAGGCCTAGGAGGAACAAATGGTTTAATGGGCTTAGCCCAGGGCCTTTCTGCTTTGTGCAGTCTTGGGACTTGGTGCTTTGTGTCCCAGCTGTGGCTAAAAGAGGCCAACATAGAGCTCAGGCTGTTGCTTCAGAGGATGCAACCCCCAAGCATTGGCAGCTTACACATGATAGTGGAACTGTGGGTGCACAGAAGTCAATAATTGAGGTTTGGGAACCTCTGCTTAGATTTCAGAGGATGTATGGAAACACCTGGATGTCCAGGTAGAAGTTTGCTGCAGGGGTGGAACCGTCATGAAGAACCTCTGCTAGAACAGTACAGAAGGGAAATGTGGGGTCCGAGCAGTTCCCACTGGGGAACTGCCTAGTGGAGCTGTGAGAAGATGGCCACCATCCGTCCTCCAGACCTCAGAATGGTAGATCCACTGACAGCTTGCACTGTGTGCCCAGAAAAGCCACAGACACTTAACGCCAGCCCATGAAAGCAGCTGGGAGTTGGGGGGGCACTGTACCTTACAAAGCCACAAGAGTGGAGCTGCCCAAGGACATGAGAGGCCACCTCTTGCATCAGCATGACCTGGATGTGAGATATGGAGTCAAAGGATGTAATTTTGGAGCTTTAAGACTTGACTGCCCCACTGGATTTCAGACTTGCTTGGGGTCTGTAGCCCCTTCATTTTGGTCAATTTCTCCCATTTGGAATGGGAGCATTTGTTCAATGCCTGTACTCCCACTGTATCTTGGAAGTAACTAACTTGCTTTTGATTTTACAGTCTCATAGGCAGAAGGGACTTGCCTTGTCTCAGATGAGACTTTGGAATTGGACTTTTGGGTTCATGACAACTATCCCCTTACTCAGTAAGAGGAGGCTCACTTGGCATCCAGAAATTGATGTTAGGTAAATCTCAGCATTCAGATCTACAAAGTAGGACCTACTGATTCACCCAAAGGCAGAAGCAGGGTTTGAAACAATAGAGTCTGAATTTGGAATAATTAAATCTGTCATGCACAACTGTGCTTTTAATTTTCAAACATGCTTTTCAAGGAAATTTTATGTTACATAATCCCAAAAGTTAATTTCTCTAAGTTCATCTAATTGGTGAGAGCTACAGTAGGTAGGAAGCTACTGACAGAAAGAACCTCATACAAACTGTCTCCAACCAGAGTCTCAACATGATGGATCTGTGTTTCCTGTGATGCTCCTCTGGCCACCATGGCTACATGCAACCCATATGGTTCACAGATAAAACACAATATATATTGCTTCATCCTAGATCTGTTTGCTTCAACAACCAAGCCCCCAATAACAAAATCGAAGGTTCTTTTGCACTTCTTTCTTTTGGCTCAGGCATATGTTCATGTGCAAAATACACAAAAGCTTATTATGTTTTTGATTAAAGCTTCTAATTTGGGCAATGCAAGAGCTAAACTTGGATACTGCAGAACACATCCATTTTGTTCCTACCAGTCTTTTAAAATGTGTGTTAATGTATCCAGCACTTGTGCCACAATAAAAATAACTTCACATGTACCTGTAATACCTCACAACTTGAGAAATATGACAACAAAAAAGTTCATGAGAGTCACATGTGTTCTAGTGAGAATACAAAAGAAGCTACTAATTAGGAAAAACAAAACCACCATCGATGGAGCAGCTGCAGTAATTTGCTGTGCCTTTCTGGCATTATGGGAAACTGAATGCATTATCACAATCACTTCACAGAGTAGAGAGGCTTCATTAGCTTATTCTTTTCCTCATAAATTCATCCACATTAGACTAAAGAGAAGAGTTCGCAGATCTAAGGTTGAAATGCTGAATTTCAGAAATAACGTTTGAAAAGTATCCTTTAATGGATTTTGAAAACAACCTTTTTATAATTTTCAATTAGAGTCACAAAGTGTTCAATTGTAATGTTCCCTTTTCCTTGATGAGAATTCAGGAAAGCTGCTATTTCACTTGCCGAAATGTGGTAGAAATGTAGACTTGGTTGGCAATAAATAGAACAAGAAAATAGGGAGTGAGGTGAGAACAGAGGAGAGAAGCAAAGTTGCCAGCCAAACAGAAATACTGAGTTTATGATACAGGTCTGAGAGATATAAAGAAACCTAGCCAAAATTCAGCAGGACATAGCATTGCATTCTCTTGGGATGTAGGCAGTGGTGAGGGTACAGGAGCTGAGGGTACCAGATTCAGCAACCCTGCTCTGGAATGAGAGGGTAGAAGGACCGAAGCCAAAAATGGACAGTTCTGTGTTCAGAGGACAAATTTGGACAAGTCCCACCCAAATCTGGTCATACAGAACTCCTCTCTTCAGACACAACAGAGTGACTTATAAGCATGGACTTTATTTCTGGTTTTAGAATTCATTACTGTGTCCAGAGGAGAAGCAAGCGTTCACCCATTCCACCATACAGAGAACCGCACTCTCTGGGTGCCTGCTATTTTCCCATGTAAAAAGAAATCCTTGTTAAGTTATAGGGTATTGAACACATAATTTTAAATGCAATTATATTATTTAAGACTAAAATCAAGCTCAGGATTGAGTTTCACCATTTCCCCTCCTCCTTGACTGGGAGGCCTTATGGAAACCAGCCCTGGCCAGCCAGTCTTGCACAGTTGGCATGGAGAAAGAGCATCAGGCCTTCCAACAATTGCTTTCAACAAATAGTAACTGAGCATCTGCTGTGTTCCTACCCAAAGGGAATGAGGCTGAAGGCTGTTTATGGAATATGGTGCATAAGGCTGATTTCCAAGGCTGAACAAGATAAGTTTATCCAAAATAGGTAGTCAAACAAGGGCATCCTGAGACCATCGAGAGCTGAGGTGCAAGGGAACAAAAGCTAATCTAAATGAATTTAGTAGACAGTTGTTAATGCCCATTGAAGGGCAATTACCTGCTCTTGGCACATTCTCATAGATGTATCAGTGCCATTTGAACGAGCTAGAATGTGGTAATAAATTACACTATTTTTTAAAAGCAATAGGCTTAAATAGGCAGCTTATGATATAAAGTCACCATTTGACCGTATGTACTGCATACCCACCTTCCTGCATTCCCTTTGAAAGGATCAAAGAAACGTAAATGTTAGGAAAACATCTGTACCAATGATGGGAATCAGCAACAGTGTCAGGAAACAAACCTTTTTTGCTGTCAGCCACTGAAATTTGGGGGACTTTGTTCCCACAGCATATTGATATGCTATTTTTCTAATTATAAAATGAATACAATCAAGTAACATATAGAAATGTATGAAAATGGGTGGGCAGTTTATTCATCAAGCTAATCATAGTGGTTAGCTTCAGAGAAGTAAAGAGAATAGTGCTGAGGGTGGTGGATAAAAGGGACTATTTCTTTTTCTTAAAAAAAGACTTAAAACAAATATAACAACATGGTAATTGCAAATTTAAGTTGTCAGTACATGAGTATTTGCTATATTATTCTCTGTAGCGTACTATATTTTTAACATCTTGAAATTAAAAATAAACACAATTATAAACATGCACTGAAGATAATTGGGGAATGTATAAAAAGCATGGAGAAAATTAAAACCACGTATAACCCCACCACTAAGAGACATAATTCTACAAACACTGAATATAGATATTCAGCGACTATATATACATATACATACACATACTTTTTTTACTAAAAAAGTTATAAAGACTTAGACTTATTGTACAGTGTATGTCCTGATTTCACATAACAATTAAAATTTTTATTATATTAAATATTATTTTATAACATGATTATTTTCTCAAGAAAAATCTTACAAAACAGAAAGTCAAAGAGTTTCTAATTCCCTCCATCACATAATGTTATCATTTATCTATTATTTCTCAATCTGATGAGTGAAAAACATTGTCTTCTTTATTTTGTGTTTTTTTGATTACCTGTTGGATTGTACATTTTTTTCATTTATACATTACGTTGTAATGCATACGATTCTGTACCCTTGTAGCAGCCATCTGCCCTATTTGCCTGCCTGTATCTCCCTTTTTAAGGAGGAACTGCCTCTCTCCTTTCCTACATGGTTTTGATGGGACTGACACTCAAGTTGCCTTTGCCCACTCCAGTTGCAGGAATGAGCATGTAACCCAGTGAGATCCTATCCTCCTAACGGCAGTAATTACTCCAGGGGGTGGGCCTTTGCCCCAGTGAACACCAATCAGAGCATTTCCCTGAGATTTAACTTTTGGATTCTGGGAGATGGTATGGGGCAGGGCATGGCCTTCTACTTCCCCAGAATTCGTGAGGGGTAAAATGATGAGCACCACAACTGTTGGTAATCATCTTTCTCAGCTGCATAGAGAAACCCAGCTGCATTAAGAGCCAATGAGGCCCACACACACAAAAAAGAAGAAGACAGAGATGGAGACACCAAAAAAAAGTACAGCTAGCCTCTAAACCCCTTCATGTAAGCACACCTTTAGCCAATTTACTCCTGAAATTCTCAGTACTTTCTTTGATATAGATACAGATTAGGCATGCTAGAGATAGAGAGAGAGACAGAAATAGAGGTAGTTGTTCTTGTCATGTAGTCTAGTTTGTATGAACTTTCTTCCCATCAGGATTTCATTACATGAAGGGTGGAGTCAGGCAAAGCAGGTGAGTCTGCACAGAACCACAAATATTTAGGGGATCTGCGTTTATTACAAGAATCGGAAGGAGTTGCTATAGGTCTGAAATACCAAAAAGTTGCTGAGCGCAAATTCAAACCAATCTTTTTTTTTTTTTTTTTGGAGATACAATCTCGCTCTGTCGCCCAGGCTAGAGTGCAGTGGCGTGATCTCAGCTCACTGCAACCTCCGCCTCCTAGGCTCAAGTGATTATCCTGCCTCAGTGTCCCAAGTAGCTGGGATTACAGGCATGTGCCACCAGGCCGGCTAATTTTTGTATTGTTTTTAAGTAGAGACGGTGTTTCAGCATGTTGGCCAGGCCAGTCTCAAACCCCTGACCTCAGGTGACCCGCCCGCCTCAGCCTCCCAAAGTGCTGAGATTACAGGTGTGAGCCACTATGCCCGGCTTCAAACCAATCTTTTTTCTCTGCAATCCAAAACAATTTTCTTATTATAACATGCTTCGTACTGCATACACAAGGCTCTTCCAAAACCCTTTCCAGATTTTTCCCCCAAAGTCTAACAGCTGCCTCTGTTTATTATTCACTTCATTAACATAGCCTTTTTAAATTCTAATAGCACTGTATGAGAAAGGGGCCTCTCTCGGGATTGTCTTATAGAGCTGTGCATTGTACATTCCTTAGAGGTCTCCCTTCTTACAGACCTACGTGAATAATGCCCTCAACAAGTTCAGGCACAGCATCCCTAACCCCATTCGTGAGGCAACTAAGGGAGAGCCAGACACTGCTCAGTCCCAGCTATGCCCCCACTTCATTTGTGCAAATGTCAACTCTGTTCTAGGCTCAATGCCACAAACAATGTTTTGTGGCCACAAGAAAGTAGATATTCTGTGTCTTTTTCTGACCTTCCTATCTTGCCACATTGTCTTCCTGAACCCTACATGTTTCCATAAAATTAAAGACTTAACACGTTCTTTTTTTTTTCTAATAAAATTGAATGCATTTAAGGAGTTCTGGCTATACAGAGTCTCTTATCCTCTTACCTATTTTTCTATTATATTTGCTTTTTTCAATATACTTTTGTTTGCTTTCTGTTTTATTTTGTAACATTCACAAGTTTTAATTTATACATTGCCAATGTGCTTTTCTTTTATTGCTTCTCCTTGAGTTGCTACACCTAGAGAAACCTTTCTTAACCTAAAATCCCATAAATATTTACTTGTGTTCTGTTCCAGTACTTTTTAATGAGCACTTTTTTTCATTTTAATGTATCTAGAATGTAGCTTTTTAAAATCATATGTGGATGTACTCTTTCCAAAGACCTAGTAATGGTTGAAGAAGTTAATGTGTTATTGTAAGTAAAGGAGCCTCTAGATTGATTTTGTATTAACTGGCTCACATCCTCAATATAGGCTTCAGTAAAGCCCTCGACATTCTGCTTGGACTTCTATAGACCAAAAGATCCCTAAAGATGAAGGATCCAGGTCAGCAGCCTGATTCACTGAATTTTAGTTTGGTTCTGTATCCACACTTCACTGCATCCAGACATTTTCTCCATTTTTACACGGACTAAGGCCTCACCTAAGCTAGGAAGGCAGCTTCATCATTGATGTCACTTAGGCATTAACTATTTTCCATAGACTATGACTACATGATTATAACACTTAGAGACTGCTGCTTCTACTTGTAGAATGCTTTATTACTATCATTATGGCTATTGAATTCCTTGATTAATTTTATTCTCAAATGTGCAAAAAAGGGGAAATATACTGCCCAGACATACAAGCCCAGGTGTGGTACTGTGTGTGTGTTATGTGTGTGTGCATGTGTGTGTGTGTGTGTGTGTATACACATGCATACTTGAAGGCTATAATTTTAATTATATGTTTATTTTATTTTAATTAATTTAATTATAATTCATTATAATTTTAAACGTCTAACATCTAAATACCAGCATGCTTATTTCTGGTGTCATAAACTTTACTCTCACAAATATGGTTTAGGTGATGCCTTCTTTGTCAATCAGCAAGTCCTCCTGCTCTGGGCTACACACTGAGGGGAGCTACATGAAGGAAAATGATAACTGCTGAACTATAACAACTCACAGTAGAATGGAACTATCAATACTAAGAAAGAAACAAGCAAAAAAAGACAAATCTCAGTAACAGCACTCTCAAAAAATATATAAAAATGCCAGCTACAAATTAGCAAGACATGGGCATACGAATGATTTTAATAGTTAATTTCATATCTAAACATCTGGGAACTGAGAACCCATGACTTGACTAGAACTTGAAACCTTTGTGTCTGTTTATGGGTCATAATCATCAGCTGGTTCTCTTGAGGATCTGGAGGAACAGACTATCTGGTTTCCTTAAGACTTTGCGTTAATATCAAATGAGGAACAAGTTCTCAAAACTGGATAAATCAGAAAATATATGTCCCTTCTTCCTTCTTCTAGTTATCTTTTTTGCCGTTGGCATGTATTAATTTATTTTTAAACATTGTCTTTTTGTCAAATGTAAAATTAATTTATAATATCTATAATGACATAAGTTCTATGTTAAGCATTGAAAATAAAGAGATGAATGATTCAGTCCCTTCCCTTACAGAGTTCATAACTTGATGGAAGGAGAAACATAAGCAAACAACTGCAGTATAGCATGAAAAAATGCTACCAGTCTGAGGAAAGATTTTTTAGAAAAGACAAAAGAGGCCTCTGAAGGAGGTGCTACTCAGACTAAAATATTAAAGGTGAATAAAAATCTGGAGTCTGAAGTATGATTATTGTGGGGAGGTGTATGTGGTTTGAGGAAAAAGGTTTTTGTCTTGTTGCACCATCAGTGAGAAAAGCACCATCACAATAAGTAATGATACATTGTGTTTTCATAGCTCTTTTCAGGCTTACAAAGCCCTTTCTTGTTACCCACAGCCACCAATAACAATGGAAATGAGGCAACAGAATATCAGTCTCCAAATTCAAAACCAACTACCAGCTTCAGCCACTCCAACAGGGTTCTTAGAAAGAGATCATATGCACCTGGCAAATACATGGTATTTATTAAAAGCCAGGGCTATGTCTTAGATCATTGAGTATTTTTCTACCTGAAGGAATTGGATAGAGCCACGAAAATACCTTTGAAAAACCAGTGGTGAAAAAAAAAAAAACAGTGGTGCACACTGGTTTTCATGCTGTGTGCACTAGGACCTCAGTGTTCTCAAGAAGAACCATAGCATGGGACAATGAGCAGGCCGATGTCCCAGCCCTCATCCCATGGTTAAATAAATTGCTTATATATTGGTTTATATATTGGACTTCTGCCTAAGATTTTACTTGTAAATATTCTGTTTATTGGATAAAACGGAGAGAAAATGTAAAATCATTGTCCCACTCCCCTATATATTGACTGCTTCCATTTTTGTAGAGGGTATCTGGAATACTCTTGATCTCTAATAAAACTTAGAAAAATATCTAGAAATAACAAGAGAAAAGCATGTAATCACATATAAGGGAAACCCATCAGAACAGTTACAGATTTCTCAGCAGAAACCTTATAAGCCAGGAGAGAATGGGATAATATATTCAAAGTGCTGAAAAAAAAAAATGTCATCCAAGAATACTATACCAAGCAAACTTAACTTTCATAATTGTAGAAGTAAAGACTTTCCCAGACAAGCAAAAGCAGGAAATTCATCACCACTAGACCAGCTCTACAAGACATGCTCTAAAGGGTCCTATACCTAGAAGCAAAAGGTCAATATCTACAATGATGAAAACACATGAAAGTATAAAACTCACTGGTGGAGCAAATAACACAAATAAATAAGAAAACAGAGTCAAATGGTACCACCAAACCACAAAGGCAAACAAAGAGAAAGAGAGATAAAGGAACAAAGGATCTGCAGAACAACCAACAAACAATAAACAAAATGATAGGAATAAATCCTCACATATCAGTGGTAACCTTGAATGTAAATGAATTAAATTTTACTTAAAGATATAGACTGGCTGAATAGTTTTTAAAAAACATAACCCAACCAAATTTTGCCTATAAGAAACTCACTTAGTCTGCAAAGACATAATAAACTAAAAGTAAAGAGAGAGAAAAAAAGTGTTTCATGCAAACAAAAACCAAAAACAAGCAAGAATAGCTATACTTATATCAGATAAAATAGACTTTAAGTCAAAAATAGTAAAAAGAGACACAAAAAGATCTTACATAATGATAAAGGGATCAATTCAGAAAGAAAATATAACAATTTTAATGTATAGGCACCCAGCACTGGAGCACCCAGATATGTGAAGCAAATATCATTATATCTAAAGGGAGAGACAGACTCTAATACAATAATAGACACTTCAACACTCCACTCTCAGCAACAGATAGATTATCTAGACAAAAAATAAACAAAGAAACAATGGATTGAAGCTGTACTTTAGATAAAATAAAACTAACATTAGGAGCATTCTAACAGAACCATTTTATAGAACATTTTATCTAACATCTGCAGAATACATTCTTCTCATCAGCACATGAAATATTCTCCAGAATAGATCACATGCTAGGCCAAAAAACAAGTATCAAGAAATTTTAAAAATTCAAAATCATACCAAGTATCTCCTCAGAACATAACAGAATAAAACTAGAAATCAATAACAAGGGGAAGTTTGGAAACTGTACAAATGCATGAAAAATAAACAACGTGCTTCTGAACAACTACTGGGTAAATAAAGAAATTAATAAGGCAGTCAAAAAATATCTTGAAACAAATGAAAACGGAAACACAACATACTAAAACCCAGGAAGACAGCAAAAGCAGTGCTAAGTGGAGAGTTTATAACAATAAATGTCTACATCAAAAAAGCAGAAAGATTTTAAATAAAACAATCCAATGATGTACCTACAGGAAATAGAAAAGCAAGAACAAACCAAACCTAAACTTAATAGGAGGAAAAAATAATAAATGTCAGAGAAGTAAACAAAACAGAGACTTAAATAGATACAAAGAATCAACAAAACAAGACATTCTTTTAAAGTATAAAATTAATAAACTGCTATCAAGACTAACCAAGAAAAAAAGAGAGAAGGCCCAAATAAATAAAACCTGAAATGAAAAAGCAGAAATTACAACTGATAGCAAGAAATGCAAAAGATCATCAGAGACTAGTGTGAACAACTATATGCTAACAAGCTGGAAACCCTAGAGGATATGGATAAATTCTTGAAAACATACAACCTACCAAGATTGAACCAGGAAGAAATAAAAAAAAAAAAAGAAAACCTGAATAGACTAATGTGAGTAACAAGACTGAACCAGTAACAAAAAAAAGTCTCTCCACAAAGAAAAGTCCAGGACCAGATGGTTTCACTGCCAAATTCTAACCAAACTTACAAAAAAAGAATGAATATCAGTTCTCCTCAAACTATTCCAAAAATTTGAAGAAGAGGAAATTCTTCCCAACTCATTCTGTGAAGCCAGCAACATCCTGATACTAAAACCAGAGATACAACAACAACAAAAAAAAAGCGATCTATTAAAAAAAAAAAAAAAAAAAAAAACTATGGACCAATATCCATGACGAACATAGATCCAAAAATCTTCAATAAAATACTATAATAGCAAACTAAATCCAACAGCACACCAAAAAGATAATACACCACGATCAAGCGAGATTTAGCCCGAGAATGCAAATATGGTTTAACACATACAAATCAATAAACATGATACATCACATCAACAGAATAAAGAACAAAAACTATATGACCACAAAAAAGCATAAAATTCAACATTTCTTCATGCTAAAAATACTCAACAAACTCAGCCTAATGGAACATACCTCAATATAATAAAGGCCATATGTGACAAACCCATGGCTAATCTATTGAATGAGGAAAAGCTGAAAGCCTTTTCTCTAAGAACTGGACCACAAGGATGCCCACCTTCACCACTCCTATTCAACATAGGACTAGAAGTCCTACCCAGAGCAACTGGGCAAGAAGAAAAAAATAAAGTGCCTCCAAATTGGAAAAGTCAAATTGTCTCTCTTTACAGATGACATTATCTTATACTTAAAAAAACCTAACGATTACACCAAAAACCTTTTAGATCTGGTAATCAAGGTTAGTAAACTTGCAGGTTGCAAAATCAGCATACAGTAACAAGTAGTGTTTTCATATGTCAGTAACGAACTAGCTGAGAAACAAATCAAGAAAGCAATCTCATTTACAATAGCTACCAAAAAAAATACCTAGAAATAAATCTAGCCAAAGAGGTGAAAGACCTCTACAAGGAAAACTACAAAACACTGATAAAAGAAATTTTAAAAGACACAAACAAATGGAAAGATATCCCATGCTCATGGACTAGACAAACTTATATTGCTAAGTTAATCATACTACTGAAAGCAATATACAGATTCAATGCAATCCCTATCAAAATAACAATGACATTTTGTATAGGAAAAGAAAAAAAATCATAAAGTTTTTATAGAACCAGAAAAGAAAAAAAAATCATAAGATTTGTATAGAACCAGAAAAGAAAAAATCATAAAATTTTTTATAGGACCAGAAAACAAATATCCAAAGCAATCTTAAGCCAAAAGAATAAACCTGGAGGCATCACACTACCTGACTTCAAATTATATTACATAGCTATAGTAATCAAAATAATAATAATATTTTTATGCCAAAATATTGGCATAAACACTGACACATAAACCAAAGGGACAGAATAGAAAGCCCAGAAATAAACCCATGTTTTTACAGCCAACAGACTTTTTACAAAGGCCTCAAAAACATACATTGGCGAAAGGACACCCTCTTCAATAAACGGCGATGGGAAAAGTGGATATCCACATGCAGAAGAGTGAAACTAGCAGCCTATCTTTCACCATATACAAAAATCAGTTTAAGATGGACTGAAGACTTAAGATCAAAAAGAGAGGGCCTGGAGGGGTGGCTCACGCCTGTAATCCCAGCACTTTGGGAGGCTGAGGGCAAATCACAAGGTCAAGAGTTCGAGACCAGCCTGGCCAACATGGCGAAACCCCGTCTCTACTAAAAATACAAAAATTAGCTGGGTGTGGTGGCACATGCCTGTAATCCTAGCTACTCGGGAGGCTGAGGCAGGAGAATCGCTTGAACTTGGGAGGCGGAGGTTGCAGTGAGCCAAGATCGTGCCACTGCCTGGCTGACAGAGCAAGATTTCATCTCAAAAAAAAAAAAAAAAAATCCAAAAGAGAAAGGAATAGTGGAGACACTCCAGATCACTGGTCTAGGCAAAGACTTTATGGTTAAGACCTGAAAAGCACAGGCAACAACAACAAGAAATAGACAAATGGGACTATATTAAACTAAAAAGTTCTGCACAGCAAAGAAAACAACAAAGTGAAGAGACCATCGGTTGAAGGGAAGAAAATATTTGCAGATTATTCATCTGACAATAGACTACTATCCAGAGTGTACAAAGAACTTAAACTACTCAACAATGAAAACACTGTTGAGGACATGCATTGAAATATATATATGTAACCATATGGGGTAGCCTGGAGAATGTTCTGAGGCAGACTGCTCTCAGGCTCCAGAGTTGTACGCTTTGGTTCCTTTTGTCCCAGGGGCAGCCTCCCCAGTGTACTGCACCACCCATTCCTCAGGCATAGGGCACTGCATGAGCTAGGGTGCTGGGGACCCTGCAGTGTCGTACCTCTGCTACACTCTGGGTGGATGTGAGGAGATGTCAGTAGGACTTCAGAGATATGGAGACACAGGGGCTGTTGGGCCCTAGGGCAGGATGCGGTCTAGTGCACACTGGGCTGGGATCTCAAAATGGTGCTATGCTGCAAGCTAGTTAGGTCTCAGGAAGTGTGCAGGACCCAGTGTGAGCTACCTCTCTGGAGCAATGCCATTGTGCGATCTTCATGAAGTTCCCTATGCTATTCTCAGGGCCCACGAGGGTCTAGAGGCTCTCTCGTGGCTAGAGTTGCAGGGGTCCATAGTGAAAATGTGGCCCACTAGAATCTCTCACCCATCCTTTTCTTGCACTGGGGAGTCTCCAATTGCAGCCAAACCGGCTGCCTGACTTCGCCTTTCTTCTCTTCTTCAGGTGTTTCCTATCACTTCTCTGTTGAATTCCATTGTTCTTTCTTAGATGCTCTAATTGAAGTGCGATTATCTACTCACTAGTTTGAGTCCTCTTTGTGGAGGAGGGAAGACCCAGATGTTTCTAGTCAACCATCTTGAAGCCCCGTTAGTCCAAAAGTTTTATCAACAAAATCCACAGAGCAATCCAGAACAAAACCTCCTTAGCCACTTTTGCTTTTCTACACAAAATAAACATCTTATTTAAACCCCAACATATAATACCAATAAGTATTGCATAGAGATCTACAGTAATGAAGTAGAAAGTTTAAATAGCTAACTGGAGAAAGTTGATAATTATTTTATTCTCTTAGCTGAAAAATTAATTTTTTTCATTATTATGAACATTAGAGTTATCAAATAAGAGAATTTGGAAAAAGTAGTGCCCCATATTCAAAGTATGATTAATGCCCAAGAAGCAGTATTGAATGGAGATTAAATGTGTACATTAGGTCAGATCTTGGTTTAAATCTCAACTTCAAATGGGGAATCATTGGAAAGTTAGTCTCTCTGAGCCTCAATTTTTCTCTACAATAAAATGTACAGTTCCTTCCTAAGGTTGTTGGGAAGAATAAGTAGAAATATGAGATGGAGCAGCTAATAGATAATAGATAATAAATGGTAGGAATGTATTAAGTTCATTATAGTTGATGAATTGTGGAATGTTAACTATTCCTTTATTTCCTAGACCTTGACAAAAATTTTAAGCATTAAACTATTATCAATCACTTTAGAGTCCACTCCTGAAACAAAACATCACATTTAACCAGGCAAGAGTTCATTTTATATGGTAATATTTCACAGTTGTGCTTTAATATATTTATTTAGGTTCTATCAGTCAACAACTCTTCATTTTCCCTATCTTCAATCTGAAATACTTCAATAAAACGCATCCTTTTATAGCTGTATGTATCAACATTAACTCTTCTCTACATTATAAAATGACAATGATAAAAATATAATGTTTTGAGTTACTCTAGCATTGTACCTTCTTATTACATCATTAGTGGAACCAATAACATGATTTATCTTAGAAGTTCTTCTTCAGGAAAGTAATTAGAGCATCCAATTCCTAAGAAATAATCAATTTTCCTGTAACACAAATTCTCAGATATTTTATAGCCTCTCATTTGCCGCCTTTCAAGTTAAGAAAACATACAAATAAAAGGAAATAATTAGTGTATGTGACATAGCACTCATTAAAGACACTGAGAACATGCTCCAGAATGTAAAGAAGAAACAATGAATAAGAGTTAAAAGAACTGGAACATGATTTCACCTTCACCATTCATCAGCTTTGGCCACTTAAGCTCTCTGAGCTTTAATTTTTCTTATCTGTATATTGAGAAGAATAATATATAACTCACAAGGTAATGTGAAAATTAAATGTAAAATGCCAAAGCTGGTGCTCACATGTAGTAGCTCCTCCAAAAATTTAGATAAATAAATATAAAAAAAGAAAATGCCTGAATATTCCCTGCAGTTATCTCTCCTTCCCAAGTTTTATGAAAGAAAATTAACTTTGTTAATCAAAGCATTTCCTAAGAGCACTAGTGTTTTAACAGGTTTAACATAAGAACTCTTTTTCAAGCAAAACTTTATGTAGAAGGATAAAATGTCATATATTAAATGGTCAGAAGCAGAGCACTTTCTTATAATCACCAACCCACCCATCCATCCACCTACTAAATATCATTGTCAATAGGTGTCAGGCATGGTGCTAGACCCTGGGAATACAAAGAATGACATTTGGCTCCTGCTCTTAAGAAATTGGCATACAACCATATCTAACCTCTTCTCCTGGATGAATGTGACATGCTGGTTGGTGCAAGTAGAGGATCATGGATGGACACACTATAACTAAGGTCAGGTGTAAAGATACACAGAATAAACTGTTGGCTGCAGACCCAGCATAATATAACACAAGGTCAGACTTGAATGATGCTGCTGGGAGCAAGAAACAGTTTGAAACATCACATGCACAAGGACAGGTAGAAAACAAAAAGTAGTTCCAACAGGAAGGCTCAACTCTAAAGTCAAGCAAGGCTAAGCAAAAATATTATCTGTCCAAAGGCAGACAATGGAGAAATCTCATGTGGTGGTAGTTTACTGGAGAGGGGTTATAATTCAAGGGGTATGGATGCTTGAGGATTGGGTAGAAGTTAATGGCTTAGAGCAAGTTTGAATAAGGAGATAATGACAATAGAGGAAAAAGATATTCAGTGAAGTAATAATATGTGAAATTGTATGATACAAGGTTCAGTAAGGCACCACATTCTAGGAGAAACATTGATTATTTATAGCGCATTCAGAGGAAGGAACTGCATGAGGAAATGGTGCAGATATGATTTCATGCTGGGAATATTTGCAGCAACTGGGCTTATGCAGCCTAAAGAAGAAAAGGTTTAAGGGTGCTATGATAGCTAAAGCGGACTAAATGTATGTGTCCCCAAAATTCATATGTTGAAATCCTAATCCCTAATTTGATGGCATTAGGAGGTGAGGCCTTTGGGAGGTACTTAGGACATGAGGGTGGAAGCCTCATGAAAGGGATTAGAGCCTATATAAAAGGGACCCCAGAGAAATGCCATGTGAGGACACAAGGAGAAGATAGCAGTCTGCTGTACAGAAGAGGAGCCTCACTGGAACTCAACCACACTGACATTGTGATCTTACAGTTCCAGCCTGAAGAACTGTGAAAAACAAATGTCTGAAGTTTCTGAGACACTCAATCTATAGTACTTTGTTACAGCAACCTAAACTGACCAAGATGATAGCTGACTTCAAATATGTAAATGACTATTGAGCAAAGAGGAAACACATTCCGAGTAGCTCCACAAAAGCCATTCCAAGATTTTTCACTGTGATCTCTAGTCTCTTCTGATATCCAGACCAATATATGTAACTATAATCTGCATCGTTAATTCAGGCTGTCCACTTGAACTTTAAACATAATTGCCTAAAACTGATTGTGTTACACTTTCCACCGGGACTCCTTCTTATTCTAAAATCTATATCCTTTTTTTTACTGGCATCTCCATACCAAGATAGAAACCTGAAAATCATCCAAGGTGCTTTCTCTAGTAACTCCCCATCAATTTAGTTACATCCCCTAGCTTCTCGCTGGTAATGTCAACATTCAGGCTTCAGCATTTCTTACCTATGCAATGACAATAATCTGCAGGGGCTCTCCCCAACTACAAACCTACCCTCTTGCAATTAATCTCTGCACCAAAATATTTTTTCTAAACAACAGCTATGGATCCCTGTTGCCTAGAAGCCTTGCCAGTGCACATAATACCAGGCCCTATGGGCAGGGTATGAACAGGTGTTAGGAGTTTCTCAGTCACAGAAGTTTGGGAAACAGAGTTTAGTAAAAATCTGTCTTAGGTATCACAATCAACATCAGCATACTAACATCTGTGGAGCCTTGAAGTAAAAAAGAAATTACTTAAATGTGTATAACCAATGTTTCTTTTTGACTACTTAATCCCTCTTAGCTTTTTAAAGAGTTGATATTCCATAGAATATATTTCAGTGACTGCTGGACTATAAGATGAAATCTCAACTCAGTATTATGGCCTGTAGAACCATTCATAAGTGGTTTTCAACTTTATCTACTAGTGTATTATTAATTACTCAATTCAGTAAATATTAATTGAATTGCTATGATGTTATGTGCTAAAGATACAACAGTGAGCAACTAGACATGGTACCTGTCTTCAAGTATTTATTTATAATTTCCAAAAATGACCATCTTTTTATTTCTTCAAGCCTTTGCACATACTCTGCCTACTCCCCCGAATATCCTTCCTCTATCTTCACCTGACAAACTCCTCTTCGTTCTTCAGTTATTTACTCCCTGAACTGTGAGGTCCTTGACCACAGAGAATATCTTATTCACTTTTATTTTCTTATGCCTAGTGCCGTACCTGACACCTAGTTCTAGTCAACAGATGCATATTACATTAATAAATGTATAAATGACAAGATTAAGATTCCTTCATTTTAATATTCAATAAATCAGTTAAAAATTAAAACATGTTCTTGTAATACAGTGTTTGCAAATTAAAAAAATAATGTATTACTTGAAATAAATGCTTATAAGTGTCTTTTAAAATTTTTATCTTCTGACTTCTTATCATAGTTGTTGCATAATTTATGCATAGTTTGGCATAAATTACAGGTACAACTGTCATAGTTCTAATTGTACATGAAATACTAATTTGCAAGAGTTTTAAAATTTTATGTTACATGGAAATGGAAGTAAAATATCAATTAAAAACTACATTTAAATTGTAAATAATCTCATCTCAGGAAAACACAAATATACAGTAAAATCACTATTTTATCACTAACATAAACTCTAGGTCACAGATGTTCACCTTTTGGCATTTCATAAGCTTGATGAAGCTAAGAAAAACTGGCACAGATTGCCAAGAGTTGAAGAGTCAGAGAACTGAGGGTTTTTTTTACACTAAAAACAGTGAACATGTTAGTTCTTTATAGCTCAAGTATGGTTCAAACATTAAGGACCTAGATCTGTTTCAGTCAAGTGCCAACAAGTGAGTTCTGGTGAATAAATTTATAGAGAAATATTTATATACCAGTGAAGGTAAAGAAAAAGACATGGTATAAATGGAGGAATGTAAACTTGAAGATAGGAAAGGGTCTAGAAATTGACAAAGGGCTGGTAAATATGGAAGCTAAGTCATGGATACATGAGGTCACTATACCATTCTATCTACTTTTGGGTATAATTTTTATAATAAAAAGGCAAGAAGGGAGAAATAAAAAATTAAAGAAGTAAAGGAGGGAGGGAGGAGAGAAAGAAAAGCATAATATATTGGGAAAAGGAGAAAATGAAAACAGGCACAAAAACAGAAAAATACATTTTTCCAACCTGGACTACATAATGGCAACATTCTGGTTGGCCCATGATTCAGTATATTTGATCATTTGGGTCCCTTTTGTAACATAATCATGTTTTTGTGATCATTATTTATTGAACATGTATTTGTAAGTCAGGGGCTTTACATGTATTATCATAGTTGGTCCTTGCATGAACCCTATGGTTGGTACTACCCATGTTGAGAGATGACAAAGTGAAACTTAGAGATAAGTGACTTGCCCAAGTTCTCACAGTAGACAAGTGACAGTGCTGAATTTCAAGCCAGGAATGTGTGACCACAGAGGCAGAACCATCATGCACTGTTATATGTTGCATAAGCAGCTCATCTGCACACCTTGTTTTGGCTTATATTGTGATTCAGGTTGATCCAAGGATATCAGGGTAAAGTGTTGTGGAATAATTGGGATGCACTAGAGCTAGATTGTCAACTAAAATATACTTCATAAGAGGGACCATTTTTCTTTTCGAGTTAAAATCCATTTATATATTTATATACCCAGGAGAATATTTTTAATGTTATTACATTTATAAGCATATTGATATCTGTTGCAGATATTCTAAGAAACAATATTTTTTACATGCACAGTAACTACATATATCAGTGCAAAAATTAAATGTGTCAGTAATACAGCACTACTTTACATAAGTGGCCTTCAATTATACTTTGAGCCCCCATTCCACCATATATGGGTACCCACATTTTCAGATAATTTGGGTTCTTTCATTTTATCTCCAAGCTATGTCTACATTCCAAGGAATTTCTTTAGTGAGAGCAGAAGGGAGCAGTGAAACAGCATGTCTAATCCTTGAATGTCATCAAAACTACATACTGGCATTCCATTAGATGTTACTGCCTAGTGTTCAATCAGCAGTACACATGGATCACTGCAGCTTTCTTCCATTTCCAGGTCACAAGGCTTCTCCAGGTCTTGTTTACTCTCTCTCCGTGGCGGCCCTATCCTTCTCAAATGCTACTTCACTCTTCTGGGGCAATAAGAAACTCAGAGGGGCTATCTAAAGGTCTCCTGTGAAGATTCCTTAAATAACTAAAAGTAGAACTACCATTTCATCCAGCAATCCCACTACTGGATATCTAGCCAGAGGAAAAGAAGTCATTATAAGAAAAAAGATACTTGCACACGTATATTTACAGCAGTACAATTCGCAATTGCAAAAACATGGAACCAACCCAAATGCCCATCAATCAATGAGTGGATAAAGAAACTGTGGTGAGTCGTATAATTATTTCATTATATATTACAATGTAATAATAGTAGAAATAAAGTGCACAATAAGTGTAATATGCTTGAATCATCCTGAAACCATCCCCCCTCCCAGATCCATGGAAAAAATGTCTTCCATAAAACTGGTCCCTGGTACCAAAAACATTGGGGACCACTATACTAGATAATGGACATTACAAAATTTTGTTTGCTTCTTGTGCTGTACCCAGAGATGAAGGCTCTCTGGGGTTCCTGTACATCAGCCCAACTGCCAGATTTTAGACCAGAGTTGAGGATAATAGTGCACAAGATCACTTCACAGAGTTGCACCAGCCAGCTTCTAAACTCTATTGTGCCACCCAACTCAAGAAAACTTTTCTAGTCTTCAAATGGGTGAAATATTGGCTCTCATTGATAATGTGCTCTTCTGAATGTGCTGTTTTTCCCAAGCGTCTATGTTTTAGACAAGCGTTTGATTATTTTTTATCTTCACCTTGTTGTTCTCCCTTTCCAAAGTAGTGAAAGCAGGATCTTCAGCTGTTTGGGTTGGGTAAAGGTCAGCGAAACTAAAAAAAAAAAAAAAAAAAATCTACAAGGGTAAAAAATTCTTAGTTAATTCCTCAAAATATTGCATACCATGCATATACATGAAAAAATATGCTTTGGCCAGGCATGGTGGCACATGTCTATAACTCCAGCACTTTGTGAGGCCACGGTGGGAGAATCTCTTGAAACCAGGAGTTTGAGACTAGCCTGGGCAAAATAGCAAGACTCCATCTCTAAAAATAGGTTTATTTTGCTTTGTATGTAAAAAAAAAAAAAAACACTGTTCATTTATCATGAAACTTAGAAGCACATTATATTTTTAAGTTTAATCCAAGATCCTTCTGTAGATGGTAGAAAAGAACTGTAGAACAGAAAGACTAGAATTTAGTAACAGTCTTAACATGGAAGTGATATATAGTGTCATGATATGCTAACCCATTCTGCTGCTGTATGGTGTTCCTGCTGTGCTAGTCAATTGTGGAGGACTTGGGCATGCATACATGAATATTGCATGCATTAAATGTTTTAATTATTGAATGCTTGAAATGTGTGAATTACTTTGCAAAGAACTAGTAATATAAAAATAAATTACAAAGAGAATTCTGGCTTTTGCTCTGTGATATAGAGAACTGGAGAGAGTGTTACTCTCATTATTATAATAAGAAAATAGGATTGAATTAACTTCAATTGTATGACGTTTTTCCAATCCAAGAGAGATAGTATTTCAGAACAACCAACTGACCCAAAATCTGTGAAGATACAGGCACCTGCGGAAAGAGAAGAAACGTGAGCAGTCAAATACCTGGATAAATGCAATCAGACGTCAATAGAAATAGTTTACCAAAAATAGTTAATTTGTAGGTGAAAGGTATGTGCAGACTGGTGGAGAGAGTTTAAAGCCTGTAAACACTTCAGAAGTGAAAAGAGTCTGAGCTCTCTTGCAGGCTCCTTCCCAGTGAATTTCATGGGTCAGTCGTAGAATACACAGAAGTGTCCCTTTAAAAGTCTCTATTGTGTTTCAGACCTGGGAGAGAGGAAGAATAGCCATGCTAAAGAGGTAAGAAACCCTACACAGACCCCTTTCCCAATTCCTTTATGGAACGAAAGTCTTAGTCTGTGAGAAGTTGGGCAGCAAACACTGCCCCCCTCAGGATAGTAGTAAAACTGATTGCAGGTGGAGGAAAGAACAGAAGGGAATAAAAATCTCCTCCTAAAGGACAATAGAGCTGAAGGCTCTGTGGAGTTCCTGTTATATCAGCCCAATCCCCAGATCTTAGTTCAGGGATCCAAGAATCAAGGACACAGTGCCTGAGTAAGAATAAAACTTAATTTGAATAGAGAATGCTCCCCATATTTCCCCCACAGCCCAGCACATCCAAAATAGCAAAAGCAGATTACTGCTGGGAGAGGTGCAGGAGAGAAAAACAGAAGGCAAAGAAACACTTTCTGAGGCACAACATAAAAGTACACCTTACAGCTTGTGGTCTTACAGACATTGCTGTGGTAAATCAACGTGACTTTAAACACAAAGCTGTCGCTAGAGTATTTTAAAGTCTACAGTGCCCTCTGGGTAAACATAAAAACATTAAACCTCAAACCCAGACAGATTCCTGATTATATTAACTCAAAACCCCACAATGAAGACCTACAAGTACAAAGGGTGTGCCCATGTTGAGGCATAAAAATTATTTATCTCAATCTCTACTCTCCAACATGAGATATTTGGCTTTTAACGAAAAAATACAAGGCATAGAAAGAAAAAGGCAAGAAAAACACTCCTGAAGTACAAAACAATCGTCAATATCAGATTTGGCTATGACACAGATGTTAAAGGATCTAAGATTAATATGTTAAAGATTCTAATAAAAAGTTGGCCTCATAAAGATCAGGTGGGAAATTTCAGCAGAGAGATGAAGACTACAAGAGAGAATCGAGTGGAAATAATTGAAAGAAACAAAAGAAAAAAAACAGGAACAAAGATGAAAGCTACCTTCGATGAGCTTATCAGTTGACTCAACACAGCTGAAGAAAGAAGCAAAGAATGTACAGATGGATCAACCGAAGTAACCCATACCAAAATACAAAAAGAAAAGAAAGTGAGAGTAGGAAACAGAACTAAACAGTTGAGAGATGTGGAACGATATAGAATAGTTTAATAAGTAAGCAATTAAAGTCTTAGAAGAAGAAGAGAGACCTGAGAAATAGAATGTGGGAGAGAATCAAATTTGAGGAAAAAAAATAAAATTAATTACAGACAGCAAACCATGAATTCAAGAAGAACAGAGACTACCAAGCAGAATTAAATCCAAACAAAACAAAATAGGTGTGTCATACTCAAACTGCTGAAAACTGAGACCAAGAGATATTCTTTCTCTGCTACAGAAAGAAGACACAATATACAGAGAGGACAAAGAATAAGTATTACAGTAAACTTCTCATCAGAAAACAGGCAAACCAGAACACCAAAAAAGTGACATCTATAAATCTCTGAAAGGAAAACAACTGTGAATTGATAATTCTATATCCAGCAAATAAATGTTTTGAGAAATAAAAGAAAAATAAAAACTTTCTCAAACAAAAAAACATAAAAAACTGTAAGAACTCATCCTAAGAAGACTACTTTTCAAGAAAGGTTAAGGCTGGGTGTAGTGGCTAATGCTTGTAATCCCAGCACTTTGGGAGCCTGAGGAAAGTGGATCACCTGAGGTCAGGAGTTCGAGACCAGCCTGACCAACATGATGAAATCCCGTCTCTACTAAAAATACAAAATTAGCCAGGCGTGGTAGCGCACGCCTGTAATCCCAGCTACTCAGGATGCTGAGGCAGGAGAATTGCTTGAACCTGGGAGGCAGAGGTTGCAGTGAGCCAAGATCATACCATTGCACTCCAGCCTGGGCAACAAAAGTGAAACTCCGTCTCAATAAAAAAAAAAAAAAAAATTAAGAAATGATAAAAAAAAAAAAAAAGTTCTCCGGGCAGAATGATTATGATGTCAGACTGAAGATAGGATCTACACAAAGAAATGAATAATAGAACACTAGAAAAAAAAGGCAGGTAAATTTTTTTACATTTAATTTATCTAAAAAATGTGAAAGTGCAAACCAAAAATTGTTGCAATGCATTTTGTGTTTGTAGTATATACAAAAGTAAAATGTATAACAAAGCATAAAAAATGAAAAGGACAGATCAAGTAGTATAATATGAGTTACACCATGGAAATATTGAAGGTTCAGTTTTCAGACCACCTCAATAAAGCAAATATTGCAATAAAGTGAGTCAAACAAACATTTTAGTTTCCCAGTGCATATAAAAGCTATGTTTATGTTATACTATAATCTATTAAATGTGCAATAGCAGTATGTCTTTAAAAACAACATACACACCTTAATTTGAAAATATTTTATTGCTAATACATGCTAACAGTCTTCCAAGCCTTCAACGAGTCATGATCTTTTTGCTGGTGGAGTGCTTTGCCTCGGTATTGATAGCTGCTGACTGATTAGGATGGTAGTTGCTAAAGTTTGCAGTGGCTGTGGCAATTTCACAAAATAAGACAATAGAGTTTGCTACATTGATTGACTCTTCCCTTCACAAAAGATTTGACTGTAGCATTTGATGCTGTTTGATAATATTTTACCCACGGTAGAACTTTTTTAAAAATTAAGATCAATCCTCTCAAACCCTGCCACTGCTTTGTCAGCTAAGTTTATGTCACATTCTAAATTCTTTGCTATCATTTCAACAGTATTTATAGGATCTTCAAGAGAAGCAGACTCCAATTCAAGAAACCACTTTTTTTGCTCAACCACAGAAAGAAACTCCTCATTTATTCAAGTTTTAGCATGAGATGGAACAATTCAGACACATCTTTGGGCTCCACTTTTAATTCTATTTCTCTTGCTATTTTTATCACATCAGCAGTGACTTCCTGAACTGGGGTTTTGAACCCCTTAGAGTCACCCATGAGTGTTGGAATCAAGTTTTTCCAAACTTCTATTAATGTTGATAGTTTCACCTTCTGCCATGAATCATGAATGTTCTTAATTGAGAATGGTGAATCCGTTCCAAGGGTTTTCAATTTATCTTGCCCAGATCCATCAGATAAATCACTATCTAAGGCAGCTACAAATGTAAAAAATGTATTTATTAAATAATAAGACTTGAAAGTCAAAGCTACTCCTTGATCTGTGGGCTGCAGAATGGCTGTTGTGTTAGCAG
The DNA here is from genome assembly GCF_000001405.40 of Homo sapiens. Lineage (NCBI taxonomy): Eukaryota > Metazoa > Chordata > Mammalia > Primates > Hominidae > Homo > Homo sapiens. The sequence goes on along the minus strand of NC_000001.11, from coordinate 68,597,161 downwards.
GCATGAAAACATTAATCTTCTTATACCTCTCCATCAGAGATCTTGGGTGATGAGGTGCATTGTCAATGAGCAGTAATATTTTGGAAACAAAAAACTCTTAAGGGCCATAGGATTTTCAGAATCCTACATAAATGAGCATTAAATCCACTGCTGCATTAACCCCTAACAAGAGAGTCAGCCTGCCCTTTGAAGCTTTGAACCCAGGAGTTGGCTTCTCCTCCTAGCTATGAAGGTCCTAGATGGTGTTTCCTCTAATAGAAGGCATTTCATCTACATTAAAAATCTGTTGTTTAGTATAACCACCTTCATCAATTACCTCAGCTGAATTTTCTGGAAAAATTGCTGCCCCTTCCTCCTTAAACTTGTGTTATTGAGATGTCTTCTTTCCTTAAACCTCAAAAACCAAACACTGTTGTCTTCAAACTTTTCTTCTGTGGCTTCCTTAACTTCTCTCAGCCTTCATAGGACTGAAGAGAATTAGGGCTTTCTCTAGATTTGGATTTGGCTTACAGGTATGTTGTGGCTAGTTTGATCTTCTATCCAGATCACTCAAACTTTCTTCATATCAGCAACAAGGCTGTTTTGCTTTCTTCTCATTCATGTGTTTACTGGAGTAGCACTTCTAATTTTTTAAAAAAAACTTTTACTTTGCATTCACAACTTGGCTAATTTTTTAGTGCAAGTGGCCTAGCTTTCAGCCTTTATTGGCTTTTGACATGACCTTCTCACTAAGTTTAATCATTCCCAGTTTTTTATTTTAAATGAGAGACATAATTCCTCCTTTCACTTGAACACTTGGAAGCCATTGTAGGTTATTAATTGGCCTAATTTTGATATTGTTGTGTCTTTGGGAATAGGAAGGCCCAAATAGGGAATAGGGAGACCCAAAGACAGGGAAAGAGATGAGGAATGGCTGGTCGTTAGAGCCAATAGAACACACAGCCCTTATGGAATAAGTTTGCTGTCTTATACGGGTGCAGTTTATGTTGCCACCAAACAATTACAATGATAATATCAAAGATTGCTGATCACAGTTCATCAAAACAGATATAATAATAATACAAAAATTTAAAATATTTTAAGAATTACCAAAATGTGACTGACATAGAGAAACAAAGTGCATATATACTATTGCAAAAATGGCACTGATAGACTTGCTCAATGCAGGGTTGCCATAAACCATCTATTTATACAAAATGTAATGCAAAGCACAATAAAGCAAAGTACAATAAAATGAGGTATGCCTGTATTTGAAAGAAGGCTATCAAGGGAAATTTGAAATGTAGACCATGACAAATAAATCTAACTGTATTACATATTAATTGTATAACTGCACAGAAGAGAATAGGGGAAAAGGTGCTGAACTAAGAAATTTTGGAAAACAGTTTTCTGACAGGGTACTGTAAAGCTAAAGGCAAAAAGACTAGCTATGCTGAAACACTATCCTATGGTTATACATTTGTTTTTTATTAGGGGTACGTGTTACCAATTCTCAAACTACTTTATTTTTATACTAGGGTTGAACAAATAAGTAAATATGTACCATGAGAGCTATGTTTCTCATCATTGAATCAAAGACATTGAAAAATACGGAAAGACAGAGTCTACAGTGAACCCTGTGGGGCATGATTGAAATCAGAAACATCAATATAGATTCACTGTCTTTTAAAAATATATATATACAGAAAGACAGACACAGAAATAAATGTAGCTATGTGTCATATGTTAATATATAGGAGCCAACACTGAAAAAACTCTCAATGTCCTCATTTGGAACAATTTGAACAATAAAATACATAATGAGAGTATTGAATTCTAACCCAATAAATTAGAAGAATCCCTACATCCATACTGGGATAGACAGATAGATACATAGACACCTAAAAGATCAAGGAAATCGCTTCCTTACAGATGATTTCCAGTTAAGAAATGTAGAAAGAATAAAGAAAGTATAAAATCACCATGAGAACACCACGATATTCTGTTTTTATGAAAATTCCAATTATGACTAAATTAGCGGGCAAAGTTTAAGGAGAAACATGATATCTGCATAGTTTCAAAATATCTATTCCACAATATTTAGAAATCACAAAGTGAAAGTGAAGTTTGGAGAATCCTGGCAGACAGCACTTAACCAAGGTCAACATCATGGCTAATACATACCAACATTGTGAAACTTCTGTTATGATGCTCTGAGAAGGGCAAATCACACTGTGAGATCCTTTCCACTAATATATACCTCAAGCTAATCATGAGAAAATATCAGACAAACTCTAATTGGAAAATATTCTGCAAAATAACAGACCAGGACCCTTCACAAAAACCAAGGTCATGAAAAACAAGGAAAGGTTGAGCAACTGACACAATTGAACGAATAAGAAAACATGAAAACTAAACACTGAAAGACACCCTGAAAGAGAAAAAAAGTCCTCAGTGAAACAATTGATGAAATCCAAATAAACTATGTAGTTTAGTTAATAATATTTTACCAAGATTAATTTCTTTTTTCTTTTTGTTGTTGTTGTTGTTGTTGTTTTGAGACAGAGTCTCACTCTGTCGCCCAGGCTGGAGTGCAGTGGTGCGATCTCGGCTCACTGCAAGCTCCACCTCCCGGGTTCACGTCATTCTCCTGCCTCAGCCTCCCGAGTAGCTGGGACTACAGGTGCCCGCCACCACGCCCAGCTAATTTTTTGTAGTTTTTGGTAGAGACGGGGTTTCACCGTGTTAGCCAGAATGGTCTCGATCTGACCTCGTGATCCACCCGCCTCGGCCTCCCAGAATGCTGGGATTACAGGCATGAGCCACCGTGCCCAGCCACCAAGATTAATTGGCCACCAAGATTAATTAATTAAGAAATTAATCTTGGTGAATGTTCTACGGTCATGTAAGATATTAATATAAGACGAAGCTGGGCGAAGGGTATATGTTTCTGAAACTCTTCTGTAAGTATAAATATAGCTCATAATAAAAAAGATGGGGAAATGGATTATTGGTTTGTCAAGGTCTCAATGAACAGTCGATATGAAAAGAAAATACATAAAACAATACCATCATATAACTGTCATGAATATCTAGGACTAACTACAGAAACTATCAAAGACTGCCTCTAGGAGAAAGCATAACATTTTAGATAATCCATTTAAAATGCTTCTGATAGAAGCAAGCTGGAACTTCCAGAAAAAGATAATAAGCATATATGAAAGACTGTGGAGTGTCCCAGGAACTGCAAGTGGGTTGAGACAGTTGAAATAAAAGTGAAGTGATAAAACAAATACAAGTAAACATCAGACCCTGAGGAATGTTGTCTTATATTCCAAGCAATAAGGGATAACCAAAAGGCTTTGTATCTGCATCTTAGTCTGTTTGGGGTGCTATAACAAAATACCACAGATGAGTACCATAGACTTATAAACAAGAGAAATTTATTTCTCATAGTTCTTGAGGATGGAAAGTCCAAGATTAAGGTGCCAGCAGATTCAGTGTCTAGTGAGGGCTGCCTCCTCACACACAGCCATCTTCTTACTCTAACTTCACATGGCAGCAGGGGTGAAGGGTTTCTTTGGGGCATCTCTTATAAGGACAGTAATCTTATTCATGAAAGCTCCATCCCCATTACCTATTCACTTCCCAATGGCCCCACTTCCGAATACCATCACCTTGGGGGTGAGGATTTAAACATATGAATTTTGGGGGAATGTAAACATTCAGACGATAGCAATAAGGAGCATGACAGAGCAGTTTTGTGTTTTAGAAACATCATTTTTGATAGCCCTGTGGAAAATAAAATGAAACAGTGCAAGTATCTAGTTACTAATTCAATGCTTATTCCTCTGATTTACCTTTTATTTAGAGCTCTAAATGCAACCTATGGTACCAATAATAGAGTCTTAGTGATAGAAACATTTGAAGTCTTCAAATGCCAATACATTAATCCTCACTCCTCAAATGAAACAACCTGGAAATATCTACTCCAAATTGCAGAAAATGCATTTAAAAATTCAAATACTCTGCCTTATTAATGTATCAAAAATATTTTTATATCTCTTTGAACAATGTAAATAATGACATAGCTAACTCGATCATTTGCCTAGATAATAAATATTTACTGAGCACCCACTGTGTGTCAAGCACTATTCTGGGTATTAAAGATTTAATATTTTTATGGACAAATGTTAGCAATATATATTAAGTGGAAAAAGTGCCAAAAGATTATATCAACTTTTATGTGTTATATGAAAGATTGAATATTTTTAAGACAAAAAAAATTCGTTCTTCATGGAGCTCATGTTCTAGGGGTGAGTGGTGAGACAGAAAAATGATTAGCACCTGTAATTCCAGCACTTTGGGAGACTGAGGCAGGCAGATCACCTGAGGTCATGAGTTCAAGACCAGCCTGGCCAATATGGCAAAACCCTATCTCTATTATAAATGTATATATATTTATATATATTAGCCAGATGTGGTGGTGGGCTCCTGTAATCCCAGCTTCTTGGGAGGCTGAGGTACAAGAATCACCTGAACCTGGGAAACAGAAGTTCTAGTGAGCTGAGATCGTGCCACTGCACTTCAGCCTGGGTGGCAGAGCGAGACTCCATCTCCAAAAAAAAAAAAGAAAAAAGAAAAAACTGATTAGCTAAATTGTATATTCACAGTGTATTAGAAGATAATAAGAGCTATGAAGAAAAATAGATCAGGGTAAGGATGATAAAGAATGCTGGAGAGGAGGGAGATGCACAATTTTAAATAGAGTGATTAGTTAGGTCTTATTTAAAAAGTGATATTTGACCAACAACCCATGCAAATATACCTAAGGGAAGAGCCTTGCTCGTATAAGGAAGAGCTAGGGAATATCTCTGGAGACAGTATGCCTGAAATATTAAAGGAAGAGAAAGCAGCCCAGTGTGGCTAAAGTTGAGTGGACAAAATGGAGATAAATAGGGCATGACCTTGAAGAGGTAGCATGGGGTCAAGACCTTATAGGACTGAGCAGCCATCGCAGAGTTTGGTTCTTATTCTGAATGAGAGGAGGGCTAGTGGAGGATTATGAGCAAAGGAATGACATCACTTAGCTTGTATTTTAAGAGAATATCCTTTCTTCCATATTACAAATGGAAGAGGCAAGGATAGAATCATAAAAGCTAATTAGAAGGCAATTGAGTAATCTAAGAAAGAAATTTTGATTACTTGTGCCAGAAGGGGAGAAATGGTCAGATTCTCGATAATTTTCAAGTTAGAGCAATCAGGATTTCCAGACAAATTAGATATAAGATACAACAGAAAGATAAAGATAACTCCAAGGTTTTTACCTAAGCAACTGAAAAGATAGGATTACTCTGAACTGAGATGGAGAAAACTGTAGTTGAAACAAATTTGGAGAGGAAGATTAGACATTCCCTTTTGAACATGTTAAGTCTGAGATGACTGTTAGACATCCAAGTGAACATCTCATCAGCAATTGGATTTCTAAGTCTGAGGTTTGGAGGAGATGTCTCATCTGAATACAAATGGAGAAATATCAGTATACAGTATATATTTAAATCATGCATCTGAATGCCTTCACAGACGACATAAGTGTGGAGGAAATGTCAGCAAGCTTTTTCTGTTAAGGGCCAGATAGCAACTATTTTAGGCTTTAAGGACTGTAGAGCCTCTGTTGCAACTAATGAAATCCATCTATGTAGCTCAAAAGGGACCATAAAAAAACACATAAATAAATGGGCATGGCTGTGATTCAATAAAACTTTTATTTATCAAAACAGGCACAAATTGGACTTGGGACCATGGGCCTTAGTTTGCCAATTGCTGATCTAGGTAAACAAGAAAAATCAAGTACTGAGCCCAGATGGACAATTTTAAGTCAGAGAGGAAAAAGAAAAGGAACTGGCATAGGAAATTGAAAAGAAGCATCCAGGGACATAGTAGAAAAACCAGGAAAATGTCCTGTTTGTGAGCAAGAAGTGAAGCGAGTATTTGAAGGAAGAATGATCAAGTCTGTCAAATGCAGCTGACAGTTCACATAAAATGAAGACTGAGAATTGTCAACAAGATGAGGCAAGAACAATGACAAGCATGGTTTTGGTAAAGTGACTGGGGGAAAAAGCCTGACTAAGTGGGTTCAAGATTAGACTGGGAGGAAAAGACAAAAAGATATACTCTTGCTAAATATACAATTAGCTAAATATACATTTAGAAATATTTTAGAAATATGTAAAAAGACATTTTTTATTTAGAATTCTGTAAAACTCTTGCTGGAAGTTGTGCTGCAAAAGAAGGAAAAGGTAAAGTTGAGAGTTTTAAGCAAAATGGGACAAAAACAGCCTATTTTTATGTTGTTGGGAATGACCCAATATAAAGGAAATAATTGTCAGTGCAGAAAAAGGAGGTGGGAATTGCTGGGGCCACATCCTTGAGTAGGAAAAAGTAATGAAGTCTTGCATACCAACTGTGAGGCCATTCTTAGATAAAAGTGGAATAGTTCATTTCTAACAACAGGTGGCAGGCAAAGTATATGAGAATTTGTGGCAGGTTGTTAAATCTGATCATGAAAAGTTGTAAAAGTCATTTTCTGAAAGTGAACAGCTAAGAGTGAAGATGGATAAAGAAAATTTGGAGATTTGAGGTAAGAGAGATAGTATAAGATAGCTAACTCGGAAAGTGGAAAAGTGATTGGATGGGAAAGTCCAGTGATTGACAAGCAGCATTAGACGTCCAGTCCACTCACATTCACATCATGAGTTTCAAGTGAAAAGAGTCAGCCATGCTGTTTTCATTTTTTGTCTGCTCTGTTCATCTATAGAGGAGCAAACAACTCTATGCTAGATTTAATCAGTGTTAGAGTTTCTCAAAAGTGTATGACAGAGAGAAAGGCAAGAGAATTAACTCTAGATGAAGGGGGATGACTATAATGAAGGAAAATAGCAATTAAGCTGGGTGAAAAGGAAAAGGACACCACGAAGAGGTGAGACAGTGGAAAGGTGGTAAGATCAAAGGATTGTAGGTTCCAGTGGGTAGAAGGATGGTTAAGTGTGGAGAATTAGATAGAGTAACCTGGAAACAGAAGAGGTACTAATCAAAGAGTGGGGTACATAAAATTGGGATTATAAGATGACCACAATTACCAGTAATGACAAGACCATTGCCTGTTTATCAAGTCCCAGACATTCTTCCAGGCACTTGATATGTAGTCATACATTTAAATTACATAGAATACTGATGAAGCACTTAACATCAGCAAGCATGATAAACCATTGCAGCCCTGAGTAGAGAGGTAATTAATGACTTTTCTTCCCCATGGCCGTCCATAGTTTTCTTCAGAGGCAGATCATCACAGTTCCTTTCTCATATAACCTTGGATAGGCAAGGATACCTTTCGGGAAGATTCCTGTAAATCTCTAATGAAGGTAGTAATCACTTAGCAGTTTATGTAAAACTGTCTGCTTTTTAGGGCTTCTTCTGTTATTATGGAGGATAATATTTATAATACATTTATGAACAATGAAGGTATATTCTCCAGCAAGGGTACATTGCCTACATGGGTGATAGAATTAATCACTTTCCCTTAGGAAGAAAGAAATATATTTTAAATCTTAGAGGAAAATACAAAATTCAACAAAATAATCAAAAGGGTTATGACATATTATACATGTACTGCTCATGCTCACTGTGAATGTGATGTTTCACATTCATGGATTCGACTAACTGCAGATAGGAAATATTCAGGAAAAAAATGATGGTTTTTGTCTGTACTGAACATGCAGAGTTTTTTTCCTGTCACTATTCCCTAAACAATACAACAACTATCTATATGGCATTTATATCTTATTAGGTATTATAAGCAATATAGAGATGATTCAAAGTATATAGGAGGATGTGTTTAGGTTATATTCAAATATTTTACTATTTTATATTAGAGACTTAAGCATCCATGGATACCGTGGGGGTAGGGTCCTGGAACCAATCCCTGATGGATATTGAGGGATAACTATATATATATGATAACTAACTATATATATGATACATATATATACCATATATAATATCATTATGATATATTATATATATCATTATATTATGACATATTATATTTACTGTATATATATTATGATATATTATATATACTGTATATATATAATTATATATGATATGTTTAATGTCATTAATGATTTAGTTATTTTAGAATTACTGAAGTTTTTCTCCAAACTTAGCAAATTTCAGAATAATGTTTACTTCTCAGGAGATTATCTGGCATTTAGTTGGAACTCACTATGTATTAGCTAAATGAATCAACAAAAAGTGAGACTGCCTTCTCTTAGAAACAAGTGACCTCCCTCCAACATTTAGGTTTTTTTTCTTCGTTTTCCTTATGATATGAAATCTCTGAGACAAGGCTTGTTTTTTCCTTTTCCCAGGACTATACTTACACAAGTTATTCTCCAACTCACATTAGGTAACAGCCTTGCTTCACAAATATAATACTTTCAGAACTATGCTATTTATAGTCCCTTGGCTTCAAAAGATATTTCCCCCTTCATTAATTCGTTTCTTTTGGTCCCAGCCCTCACCCTTTATAAGATGATGTGTAACAGGGACAAATCTTCCCCTGTGTTGCGTATGCTCCTGAGGAAGCTAACAGCCTGGAAAGCTATACTTCATACACTAAGGTGACGCCAGCCAAGCTCTGGCAAAGGAATGATTGAACATTCTCAGATTAATTTCATGGCTATTTGTTCCATCCCAGAATCACATCAAGCATGGGCCTCCAAGTTGAAATTGCATCACTTTGTCCTTGCTACCCAGGTAAGGGCAATGAAAAATGAGCATATTCCCCACCTTATAATGATAAATAATGACTTTTCCCTTCACAACTGATATGTATTTTACAACATCATCAGAGAAGTCTAATTACCAGACAAAATGATAAGATATATCAGGACACAAGGAGCCTAGATTAAACTCACAAGGAATAGGCATTTGCATTTTTGCCATCATTCATTGTCACTGCAGTAATAGGAAAATGGCAACCACAAGGTGCATAATGAATATAATGTTAAATATTCACTTGGATTGTAAATGACTTAAAAATTTAAACTACCCAGCAAAAGAATGTAAGAGAAGGGTACAAACGTGTTCGGCTGATAATAGAGAACTGACAAGCAGAGTTAGAGGGAAAAATAAAAGGAAGGTTTAGCATTAAACTGAATAAATAAATGCTGAGGGGCCCACAAGAACCGAAAGGGGTGCATTTGCTTTTAGGAATCTGACTGGGCAAATTTGGCTTTCACAAATTTTGATCTGTACTTGTTCAGGTAGACTAACATTATGTACTCTGCAATGGAGTCATTCTTATAATCACACTTTTTAAATTACAATAATATTACCATAAGCGTAAGTGTGGTTTTTAGCATTTGGAGGTTTTCCTGATTGTGAACTTCTTTCTTGTTTTAGGCCTGCATGGCTCATTGAGCTGGGTACTGAATCGAGATTTTGAGCACTGCAGATTCTTGTTTATTGAGATTAGACTAGTCATTCCAGTATCAGTAAAATAGAAACAGCAATAATAACTTGTCATACAGGGAGCAGTGGCCAAAAGAAATTAAAAAGAAGGTTGAAAGCATGGGGTACAGAACAGGAATCAACATTCAGTGAGTACCTGCCAAGAACCAGGCACCATCTAAGTACAAAGCAAGTCACATACAAAATCTTATCTTATTCCACAACAATACTGCCTGGTTGGTCTTAGTATAACCCATTTTGTGAATGAGGAAAATGAAATTCAGAGCAGTTAAGTAACTTGCCAAAAGTCACACTGTAGGAAAGAGGTAGAACATGAATTTGAACCCAAGTCTATGTAAACCCACAGGCTTTATTATTTTATTCTTTTCATTACCCTGTACGGTCTTATTGGCCTATGTGAGAGCCATTATAGACCATAATTTTAAAATATAGATGCTACAGGCAGGTTCAGGTTATGTTTTGTATACCCAGTGTGTCTTAAAGTATCTGGAATATAGTATGTACCCAGTGAATACTTGTGGAGATAAGGAAAAAGATAACCAATCTGGCACTCAATATTAAACTATTTCTGGTAAAACTACATAAAAAACAAAGTTCATTTTCAAAAAGTAAAATTAACCACAATACAAAATGAATACATGTGCCAAGGATTTTATTTAATTCATTAAATAATGAGGGAACCAATAAGATGTTACAAATGGCAAAAGGGTAACTGAAAGAACTACACATATGTAGCACATAAGGGATGGTGAAATACATTTGCTGAATGATGAAAACCCAGTTAATACTCATAGAGAAAGTATCAGCTGCATTTCCAGGGGATATAATTTGTATTTCCACAGACAAGAAATCATTTGCATTTCTATCTGTATTATCAACCTTATAGAGTTGTGAAATAGCTTAAAGACAATAAAAACACTGGACGGAATACCTAATAGTCTTTTCTCCCCCATTTCAATCTTTCACAAATTTTTCTGACAAATTAAGATAAAAAATTGTAATACAGAAACAAGAATACCTTCCGTTTTACAAAATAGTATCCCAAAGGTTTAACTCAAAGAATAGCAATGTTTTTCTCTTTATTACTTTTAACTTGTTAGAAACCATTGATGACCTACGAAACAAAAATACTTATCATCTAAATTTCCTGTGAGACTAGAAGACTTCTAAGATACCATAAAATCAAATATTTTTTCTAAAAATTTTAATATGCAAAATTTAAGCAGCAGAGAATTCTAATGCCAGAACTAAAACCAGAATTCTGCTGGCTGCCCCTGCTAAATATCCATGCTCCCACTGCCATATTCAACCGTTGACAAATAGAGCAAATAAAGGTCATATATGCTTCTATGTTTGCTGATTGGAGCCTGTCATCTTTAACTTTTTTGTTTGTTTGTTTTGGTATATTGCTATACTTATCTTTCTTTTTTTTTCTTAACATCTCTCTCCCTCTCTTTCTACAGAGCTTATGTAGGCTGCTGAGGTCTATATTTCTAAAACTGGAATTTAGAACAAACATATGAATTACAAAGAAATATGCTTTATCAGTGATGTTTCAGGAATGCACAACATCCAGAGATTTAGATGTATCTGTACTGTTACCTTAGAGCCTGAAGTTAATGCCCAAGTTTTAAAACCACTTAATTCTTAAAGATCATTGCCACTGGCTGACAACTTGTTTTCACATCATTTCCTGTATGGATGGTGCATTAATCTCCCTGTCCATACATATTTCCTTGTCCAAAGATCAACATTGCATACTCTAGGTAGTGCATTACATCTTTCGAAATTACTTAGCAATTTGTTGCTGGAGAATGATTAACAAACATCAGAAAATATCTCCTCTGGGTTCAGGACATATATGATAAATAAAAAACCTGGTTAAGCATGGGATAAAATTCACATACTTAGCATGAATTTTGGTGCTAAGTTGGTCTACTGTGGCTTTCTAGCTGAGACACAGGAATTATGTAGGTGATAAAAAAAATCCCAAAATTATGGAAGGAGCTTCTGTTCATCTGTAGTCTAGAAAGGGACAAACCATGGCCAGCACACGTCAGCACAACTCTAACAGTTATGCATGGGTGGCAATTTAAGGGCATTTGTAGCAGCTGCTAGAGTGCTTCCCGTCCAGGATTTTGTTATGCTGGTTTTGAAAAGACACTATCAAACTTTATGCCAGCTATTACATTAGGCTGTTGGCAGCAGAAAGTTTATTCTGTCCTAGAAAATAGTAGGAGCACAATAGAAAGAGGCTCTTCTCCTCATTTCACCACAGTGCCCTCCTCAGCACATCTCCAGCTTTGTTGATGGAAGTTTATCCAGATTGTTGGGAGAAAGCTACTTCAAGAGTGTTTTGACTATACACAATAAATGGAAACAGTGATATTCTGAATAACTGAAAACCTGGAAAAGAAATCATAGGAACATTATTTTTATTTCCATAAAATTTATATCCAGGAGGTGCCGAAAAAGGATTTAAGATGATTCAAAATTCATTCAACTATCATTGGGCTAATTATAAACATGATATAATCTCCCCATGAAGAATTTAGTAGAAAGGTCAAAAACTAAAGTACCAAGGGAAGGAAGAGAAAGGAGTGATTAATTCTTCTCAGAAATAGTCCTAGAGGGCTTCACAAAATTAATCTGAACCTGGAAGTATACATTTAAAGACAAAGAGGAAGAAAATCATTTCCAAATGTCTCCTTGAAGGGCATACTGAGGGAATTAAATGTAGTTAGCTGTGTTGAGAAAAAGGGTACTTGATAAAGAGCAGGAGAAAGGGAAGCTGAAAAACAATGGGGCATATAATGCCTCAAATCAAAACAGCAGTATCATAAAGGGCATTGAATACCATGATAAAGGCTTTATACTTGACCTCTTGGTGACAGGGAGACACGAAGTGTAGAAAAACAGGTGCGGTATCCAGAAATCAGGTACAGAAAAGATTTCTTTTTTTTTTCAAATTGTAGTATTCATTTATTTTTAATGGTTTTTTTTATTATTATTATACTTTAAATTCTGAGATACATGTGCAAAATGTGCAGGTTTGTTACATAGGTATACATGTGCCATGGTGGTTTGCTGCACCTATCAACCCGTCATCTGCATTAGGTGTTTCTCCTAATACTATCCCTCCCCTAGCCCTCCACCCCCTGACAGGCCCCAGTGTGTGATGTTCCCCTCTCTGTGTCCATGTGTTCTCATTGTTCAACTCTCACTTATGAGTGAGAACACGTGGTGTTTGGTTTTCTGTTCTTGTATTAGTTTGCCGAGAATGATGGTTTCTAGCTTCATCTATGTCCTTGCAAAGGACATAAACTCATCTTTTTTATGGCTGCATAGTATTCCATGGTGTATATGTGCCACATTTTCTTTATCCAATCTATCATTGATGGACATTTGGGTTGGTTCCAAGTCTTTGCTATTGTGAACAGTGCCACAGTAAACATATGTGTGCATGTGTCTTTATAGCAGCATGATTTATAAACCTTTGGGTATATACCCAGTAATGGGATTGCTGGGCCAAATGGTATTTCTTGTTCTAGATCCTTGAGGAATCGCCACACTGTCTTCCACAATGGTTGAACTAATTTACACTCTCACCAACAGTGTAAAAGCGTTCCTGTTTCTCCACATCCTCTCCAGCATCTGTTCTTTCCTGACTTTTTAATGATCGACATTCTAACTGGCGTGAGATGGTATCTCATTGTGGTTTTGATTTGCATTTCTCTAATGACCAGTGATGATAAGCTTTTCCTCATATATTTATTGGCCACATAAATGTCTTCTTTTGAGAAGTGTCTGTTCATATCCTTTGCCCACTTTTTGATGGGTTGTTTTTTTCTTGTAAATTTGTTCAAGTTCTTTGTAGATTCTGGATATTAGCTCTTTGTCATATGGATAGATTGCAAAAATTTTCTCCCATTCTGTAGGTTGTCTGTTCGCTCTGCTGATAGTTTCTTTTGCTGTGCAGAGGTCTTTAGTTTAATTATATCCCATTTGTCAATTTTGGCTTTTGTGCCATTGTTTTTGGTGTTTTAGTCATGAAGTCTTTGCCCATGCCCATGTCCTCAATTGTATCGCCTAGGTTTTCTTGTAGGGTTTTTATGGTTTTAGGTCTTAGGTTTAAGTCTTTAATCCATCTTGAGTTCATTTTTGTCTAAGGTGTAAGGAAGGGATCCAGTTTCAGTTTTCTCCATATGGCTAGCCATTTTTCCCAGCACCATTTATTAAATAGAGACACCTTTCCCCGTTACTTGTTTTTGTCAGGTTTGTCAAAGAAAAGATGGTTGTAGACGTGTGGTGTTATTTCTGAGGCCTCTGTTCTGTTCCATTGGTCAATATACCTGTTTCGGTACCAGTACCATGCTGTTTTGGTTACTGTAGCCTTGTAGTATAGTTTGAAGTCAGATAGCATGCTGCCTCCAGCTTTGTTCTTTTTGCTTAGGACTGTCTTGGCTATATGGGCTGTTTTTTGGCTCCATATGAAATGTAAAGTAGTTTTGTCTAATTCTGTGAGGAAAGTCAATGGTAGCTTGATGGGAGTAGCATTGAATCTATAAATTACTTTGGGCAGTACAGCCATTTTCACGATATTGGTTCTTCCTATCCATGAGCATGGAATATTTTTCCATTTGTTTGTGTCCTCTCTTATTTCCTTGAGCAGCAGTTTGTAGTTCTCCTTGAAGAGGTCCTTCACATCCCTTGTAAGTTGTATTCTTAGGTATTTTATTCTCTCTGAAGCAATTGTGAATGGCAGTTAACTCACGATTTGGCTCTCTGTCTATTATTGGTGTATAGGGATGCTTGTGATTTTTGCACATTAATTTTGTATCCTGAGACTTTGCTGAAGTTGCTTATCAGCTTAAGGAGATTTCGAGCTGAGACAATGGGATTTTCTAAATATATAATCAAGTCATCTGCAAGCAGAGGCAATTTGACTTCCTCTCTTCCTATTTGAATACTCTTTATTTCTTTCTCTTGCCTGATTGCCCTGGCCAGAACTTCCAATACTATATTGAATAGGAGTGGAAAGAGAGGGCATCCTTGTCTTGTGGTGGTTTTCAAAGGAAATGCTTCCAGCTTTTGTCCTTTCGGTATGATATTGGCTCTAGGTGTGTCATACATAGCTCTTATTATTTTGAGATATGTTCCATCAATACCTAGTTTATTGAGAGTTTTTAGCATGAAGGGGTGTTGAATTTTATTGAAGGCCTTTTTTGCATCTGTTGAGATAATCATGTGGTTTTTTTGTCATTGGTTCTGTTTACATGATGGATTACATTTATTGATTTGCGTATGTTGAACCAGTTTTGCATCCCAGGGATGAAACCAACTTGATCATGGTGGATAAGCTTTTTGATGTGCTGCTGGATTTAGTTTGCCAGTATTTTATTGAGGATTTTCACATCGATGTTCATCAGGGATATCAAGAAAGGATTGGATAATGGTACCAAAGGCCACAGAGTGATCACAGAAGGAACAATTTGTATTTTGCTTCTCAACATCTTTAAAAGACTTTTTTATTTGGGGGAGGATTTCTGCTTCATGTGAAGTTCAAAGGACCGTGTCTCCACTACAGAAGCTAGAACATGCAGGGTTCATCAAGACAAGTGGGCCAGACTCAGGCAATTGGATGTTCCACCCAGGAATTTGAGTCTCAACAGAGGTTGGAAACATATAGAGACACTTAAGAATTCATAGTCAGTAACTGTGGAAGGGTCCAGTGTTCCTCAGCATTTAACTGAAGTGTGGTTTGGCCATTGGTCCTGTTAGTTTCCTTTGTTCCTTCTCCATTATCAAATCCTTGTTCCACAGCATTCTTTTTGGCTCTGTGAGCTACTCAAAGTCTTTCTCAGAAATTTCTTTTCAGTTTAACTCAGCAAGAGGCAGTTTCTATTGCTTACATCTAAGAACCCACACCAATACCAAGGACTGAAAGTAGATTTTGGTTTTGTTAATTCTTGGAAGAGCATTGGTTTTTGTACTGATAGAACTTCCAAAACACCAATAGGGGCAGTAGCCAGACTTAATTGAAGTATGGATTTATGTTGTGAGGAAAGTTGATCCACAGATATAGACCCTTTTTTTCAGTAGTTTGGAAGTAAATGAAGAAAAGAAAACAGTGAAAGCCAGATTTGAAGGAAATCCTTCTTTTTTATTCTTTAATAAAAAGGTTTACATACTTCATAGGCAGAATATGGTGGTTAGAAAGGTATCAATTTTAAAAGAGTTAGTATTTGATCACAGGACGTTCCAAATAAAGAGTCAGAAAATGAATTGTTAGAAGGCTGTTATAGAAAAGTCAGTCTTTAAATAATGTAAAAGACAAATGAAGATAAATAAAACTTAGTGGGTCCATGAGAGGAACTTTGAGTTTTCACACCTGTTAGAATCTATTTTATCTGTGAAATAAAATAAAAGAGAAGTAGAACTGTATCTCAGTTAAGGAAAATGGAAAAAGATTAGAACAGTTACCAAGAAAAAAATAACTACTTACTAATCGTGTGAAGAAAATGTTTGCAAAACACAACATATTGAAAAATAAATACATCATTCCAATAAAAATATTTTATAATAATGAAGTCACATTTTTCATATGGCCATTTCTTATGAAATTTCGTGACCACACTAGTAAAACAGCACAATGAAAGATTCTGCAAGAAGATAAGATGTCACAGTCTATGCACAGAGATGTCATATTTTTAAAAATTTTATTTTAGACTAAGGGGTATATGTGCAGGTTTGTTACATGGGTATATTGGCTGAGAAAACCTACTTGGTACTATGTTGACTATTTTGGTGATGATCATTGTACCATGTTGACTATTTTGGTGATGAGTTCATTAGAAGTTCTGAGTTTGGACTTCTAATGAATTCATCACCAGAATAGTCAACATGGTACCCAATAGGTGGTTTTTCAACCTTGCCCACCTCTGCCTACTATTGATGTCCCCAGTGCCTACTGTTTCCATCTTTATGTCCATATGTACCCACTGTTTAGCTCCCACATATCAGGGAGAAAATGTGGTATTTGATTTTTTGTTTTTGTGTTAATTCACTCAGGAAAATGGCTTAGAACTGCATCCATGTTGCTGCAAAGAACATGATTTTATTCTTTTTATGATTGCACATTATTCCTTGGTGTATAACTACCACATTTTCTTTATCCAACTCACTGTTCATGGACATCTAGGTTGATTCCATGACTTTGCTATTGTGAGTAGTGCTGCAATAAGTGTAGAAATGCAGGTGTCTTTTTTATAAAACCATTTGTTTTCCATTGGGTAAATAAATACCCAGTAGTGGGATTGCTGGGTTGAATGGTAGTTCTATTTTTAGTTCTTTGAGGTATCTCCATACTGTTTTCCATAGAGGCTGAACTAATTTATATTTCCACCAACAGTGTATAAGTGTTCCCTTTTCTCTGCATTCTTGCCAACATCTGTTGTTTTTTGACTTTTTAATATTAAGTATTCTGACTGATATGAGATGATATTTCAGTGTGGTTTTATTTTGCATTTCTCTGATTATTATTACAGAGAATTATTGATGTTGAGCATTTTTTCATATGTTTTTTGGTTGTTTCTGTGTCTTCTTTTGAGAAGTGTCTGTTCATGTCCTTTGCACACTTTTTAATTGGGTTGTTTTATTTCATGTTGATTTGTTTAAGATTCTTATATATTCTAGATATTAGTCTTTGTCAGATACATAGTTTGCAAATATTTACTCTTTCTGAAGGTTGTATTTAACCTGTTGATTATTTTGTTTTCTTTACAGAAGCTCTTTCATTTAATTAAGCCCTATTTGTCAATGTTTGCTTTTGTTGCAATTGCTTTTGAGGTCTTAGTCAAAAATTATTTGTCTATGCCAGTATCCAGAAGAGTTTTTTCTAGGTTTTCTTCAGGATTTTTATAGTTTTAGGTCTTACATTGAAGTCTTTAATCCATCTTGAGTTAATTTTTGTATATGATGAGAGGGTAGGGGTCCAGTGTTTTTCTTCTGCAAGTGGCCAGGCTTTTTTCCTAGCACCATTTATTGAATAGGGTGACCCTGTGCCAGTTTTAGTTTTTCTTGACTTTGTCAAAGATCAGTTGGTTGTAAGTGTGTGGCTTTATGTTTTGGCTTTCAATTCTGTTCCATTGATCCTTATGTCAATTTTTGTACCACAAACATGCTGCTTTGTCAACTACAGTTGTCAACTATAGTTACTACAACTATAGTTTGAAGTGGGGTAATGTGTTGCCTCTCACTTTGTTCTTTTTGCTTGGGATTTCTTTGGCTATTTGGGCTCTCTTTTGTTTCCATATGAGTTTTAGAATTGTTTTTTCTAAGTCTATGAAAAATGATGTTGGTAATTTGACAGGAATTGCTTTGAATCTGTAGATTGCTTTTGGTGGTATGGTCATTTTAACAAGATTGATTCTTCCAATCCATGAGCATGGAATGCTTCAACATTTTTTGTGTGTAATTCATGATTTCTTTCATCAGTATTTTGTAGTTCTTTTGTAGAGATATTTCACCTACTTTGTTAAATGTATTCCTAGATTTTTTTTGTGGCTATTGTAAATGGGATTGAGTTCTTGATTTGCTTCTTAACTTGAACATTGTTAATTTGATAAACATACAATAATTTGTACATTGATTTTGTGTCTTGAAACTTTGCTGAAGTTGTTCATCAGGTATAGGAGTTTGGGGGAGAAATTTTTAGGGTTTTCTAGGTATAGGATCATGTAATTGGTGAACAAAGACAATTTGACTTCTTTTTCTATTTGGATGTCTTTTATCTCTTTCTCTTGCCTGATATGCTCTAAGACTTCCACTATTATGTTGAATAGGAGTGGTGACAGTGGACATTCTTGTCCTGTTCTAGCTCTGAGAGGAAATGCTTTCATCTTTGGTCCATTCAGATTTATGTTGGCTAAGGGTTTGTCATAGATGGTTCTTATTATTTCAAGGTATGTTCCTTAGATGCCTAGTGGTTGAAGGTTTTTATCATAAAGGAGTGTTGTATTTTAGCAAATGTCTTTTATGCATCTATCGAGATAATCATATGGTTTTTGTTTTTAAGTCTTTTTATGTGGTGAAACACTTATTGATTTGTATATGTTGGACCATCCTTGCATTGCAACAATAAAATCCATTTGATTGTGGTGTGTTCTCTTTCTGATGTTCTGTTGAATTCAGTTAATTTGTATTTTGTTGAGGATTTTTACATCTATGTTCATCAAGTGCATTGGCCTGTAGTTTTCTTTTTTGTTCTTGCTGGGTTTTGGATCAGGATGATACTGGGTTTCTCAGAATGAGTTAGGGAGGAATTCCTCCTCTTTGATTTTTTAGCATGTTTTTAATAAAATTGGTACCAACTGTTTTTTGTACATTTGGTATAATTTGGCTATAGATCCATCTGGTTCAGTACTTTTTTGGTTACTAGATTTTATTACTGATTCAATTTCATAACTCATTATTGGTCTGTTAAGGATTTCAATTTCTTCCTAGTTCAATTTTGGGGGATTGTGTGTTTTCATTTCCTCTAGATTTTCTACTTTGTGTTCATGGAGATGTTCATAGGGTTTCTGAGGATATTTTGTATTTCTGTTGTAATGTCACCTTTGTTACTTCTGATTGTGCCTATTTGGATTTTCTCTTTTTTTCTTGGTTAATCTAGCTAGCAGTCTGTCCATTTTGTTTATCCTTTCCAAGACCAACATTTCATTTCATTGATCCTTCATGTGTTTTTATGGTCTCAGTTTCATTTAGTACTGCTCTGAGCTTCATTATTTCTGTTGGACTTAGCTTCATTATTTCTTTGGATTTAGCTTATTCTTATTTTTCTAGTTCCTTTAGGGGTGACATTAAGATTTCTGCTGAGAGGTCCACTGTTAGTCGGATGGGTTTTCCTCTATAGATAATTTGATCCTTTTCTCTACTTTCCTTTAAGGTTTTTTCTGTTTTCCCCCAAGGGATCCTATGGGAATCTGATGACTATATGCCTTGGGGATAGTCATCTTGTACAGGATCTCGCAGAATTTCTCTGAATTTCCCAAGTCCAGATGTTGACCTCTTAGCAAGATTAGGAGAATTTTCCTTAATAATGCCTTCGAATATGTTTTCCAGGTTGCTTACTTTTTCTTTTTCTCCCTCAGGAATACCAATAAGTCAAAGGTTTGATTGCTTTACATAATCCCATATTTCTCAAAAGCTTTATTTTTCAAGATTATTTTGTCTTTATTTTTGTCTGACTAGGGTTAATTTGAAAGACTGGCCTTCCAGCTCTGAAATTCTTTCTTCTGCTTCTAGTCTATTGTTAACTCTTGCAACTTTATTTTGAAATTTCTTTAGTGGTTATTCAATTTGTGCAGTTCTAGTTGTTTTTTTTTTCTTAATATGGCTATCTCATCTTTTACATCCTGAATCTTTTTCTGATTTTTTTGTATTGGGTTTTAGCTTTCTCTTGGCTCTCTTGAGTTTCCTTGCATTCCATATTTTGAGTTTATTATCTGTCATGTTGTCGTCATTTAAATCTGGTTAGGAGCCATTGCTAGATAACTAGTACAATCTTTTGGAGGTTTCAAAACACTCTGGCTTTTTGTACTGCTGGAGTTCTTGCACTGATTTCTTTTCATCTGAGGGAGCTATCACTTCTCATTTTTGAAATTGCTATTATTTGGAAGAGACTTTTATTCTTTTTTATTCCTCTTAAAGATATGACTGTAGTGTACATGGTATATGATCATTTGGTTTTATTTCTGGGTGCTTTCAGGGAGCCAAAGTTCTATATAGGTTCCTTGGTTGTGAATAGCTTCTGTGTAGTGGTTTTCTCAGTTGCTGCTTGTTGTAGTAAGGTATTGGCTGTAACAGCTGATATCCTATTTCCTGTAGGGCTGAGGGTGTGGAAGTACCAGGGGGCTTATCTCATGGACTAGCACTGAGCCCTTCTCATAGCAGATTTTTTTTTTTTTTTGGTAGTACAGCTCAGGCTGCAGTACAGCAGATGGTGTTTAAGAGCTGGCAAGTAGACTGGTGTCCACCAGAAGCACCCTCCTGGACACAGGAGTGGCAAGAAGAGATTTTGAAGTGCACTGATATCTCAGGATAGTGGGCAGGAGAGTTGCACCCACTCCTCATCCGTCCAGATGACCCCCCTCTCCACATTCATTCCCAGGCATCGGTGCTGTCTCTTTCAGCAGTTAGTGCCAGACTACATTTCCTTTGTCCCAAGAGGAGGCTTTGGTGCTGTATTCCCTTGTCCCTTAGGGTCAACCTATGCCAAGGGTTAGATCTCCAGGGATCCCACAGCTCCCCAGAACCAGTCTCCTGTGCTTGCCAAAGTCAGAGCAGGTTGTGGGGTATGTTTGCAGGGGATTTAGTGGAGCAGCGTCTCAAGGGTGGAGACTCCCTGGACAGGACAGTGTTCCACTATGGGTGCATGACAAGTATGGTGCCCCACCATCTCAGCTCAGGTCTGAGGGCAGTGTGGGCACAACTGTTTAGGCTAGCCACTTGGGTCTCTATCCCCAGGTAGTTCTCAAATCACCACTGCTAGTGTCACCCTTGGCCTTGAGAGCAGAGGGTCTCCCCAGTAGTTTGGCTGTTAGGAGATTGTGAGGGGTAAGGGGAGCAAAGAAGCCTTCCCACCCACCCTTTTCTCAGGGCTTCAAGCTCCACAGGGATCGATCTTGGCCAGACCCTCGCTGCTTTCCTTTCCTGTACCATAGCATCTTCCCATGAACACTCTGATAGGTCCTGGCTCACTTCCCTCATTTTACCACTCAGAATTTGTCCATTCACCAGTAACTTTGATCTTCTTTCTGAGGAGAACTGGTTTTCAATGTTCCTAGACAGCCATCTTGAAAACAAGAGGACCAGAAAACAACTAAGCATAGAGTTTCCTTGTCATCTAATCTCTTAAAAGACAGAACTTAAAACATATAGAATAGATGAATTATATATACTTTATATCATAATATTTTCTCTTTACTATAGCCACTTAGAAAATTCCTACACATTCTCCACAAATCTGTGCAAATGTGACCTCCTCTCTAAAGACTTTTTCTGCCTTTAAAGACAGAATTTATCTTTCTTCTCTAGTGTCTCTGTGGCACTATGTTAAGAAATCATTATAATGCTTATCCCATAGTGAATCATAAATAAGTCTTCCTCCTATAATATGGCATAAATACACTCCCTGGAGATAGGGATAACCTGTTATTCATTATGGAACCCGAATGTCTAAAACAGCATCCAAAACATACTAGGAGCTCAACAAATGCCATTTGTGTTGATTGATGGCTAGATGAATGTGTAGATTAAATTTTATTAAATACTACTTCTCTTGGTAAAGTGACTGATAGGATTTAACTAGTTCAAGGCTACAGTGCTTGAAAAGGACTTAGAACACAGATTCTCTGCAGTTCACTGCAGGATGTCCCATAGTGACCCAGTAGTTTTGTTCTCTAAAGTTTTGAAAGATGCATTATAGTATGTTCTGTTTGCTCATATTAAGAATAATAAAATAGTGCAACTTAAATGAGTAACATTATAAATATGACTCTAACATCTTGGACAATAACCTTATATATCATATAGAAATACTATATATTCTACTTTTGCTACAGTGATTTCTGCTTCGTATTATAAATAGGCTTCCAAAGAGTGGAAGACTCTTAACTTCTATATAGGGGAAGTTTTGGAGCAGCACACTGGTTGCATGAGGTGTGCTTGTGTGGTGGGCACAGGGTAGGTTCTAAAATACTTGCCAGAAGCTGTGCCTGCATTCCAAGTGTGCTGTTTTTACATAAAATGTGTGCTTAACTTGGGGTGGTTTGGGAAAGCTATTGTAAATTTGAGTGAATATTGTCACATCTTCATACTCATGGTTAAAAAAATAATCACATATTGGAGACCATCATTTCCATAATCAAGAGCTTTAGTACAGCAATATGCTAATACATAAAATAAGTCCATCTTATCTTTATCTTAAATCTTTTAAACTAAAGGAAGATTGTGTACCTTAATGCATTTTCTGCAGCTATAATGGAATACTACAAATTGGGTGATTTATAAAGAAAATAGATCCATTTGGCTCATTGTTCTTGAGGCTTGGAAGTTCAAGTGCATGGTGCTGGCATCTGATGATGGCCTTCTTGCTGCATTATTCCATGGCAGAAGGGAAAGTGAACATGTGAGACAGAGAGAAAAAGGTGGCTGAACTCTTGAGATAACAAACCTACTCCCTCAGTAACACCATTAAACCCAGCAAGAGGGTGGAGCTTTCATAGCCCAGTCGCCTCTTAAAGACTTTGCCTCTTAATAGTATTCCAATGACTATTTAGTTTGTGATACAGGAACTTTTGAGGACAATATTCAAACCACAGCACCATGGAAAAGTATAAAAACATATTGACTATAATATAATTACTCTGTGTTATTTATAATGTAATAGAGAGCTGGGTCAGATACAGTTTTCTGTGCATCATTAGCATATTAGCTTCATTATATCCTACTTAATTAGAATTGCCTGTTTACTTGTTAGCCTCCCCCACTAGGTTATGAGCTCCTTGATGTAGAGACTATGTCTTTTTTATCATTTTCTCCTTCATGCTTAACATAGTCCTTGGTATTTAGTAAGCATTAAATAATTTTTTGGACTGAACAAATACTTATAAGGTAGATACTCTTCAACAAGTAGAAAAAGGTCAACATTTATTTTTTTAAAGTAGATATATGTTATGTGAATCTTTACTTGGCCTCCCATTTGAAGACTAAATCCATTATTATCTAACTCTTTTCTCATATTACTATTCCTTTTTTTTTCATTATGGCATTTTTTCACCCTTTTATCTTATTTAATAAGTGTCTGGAATGTCTAACAAAAATATTAGGAAATTCTTCAAAGAAGACATAAAAATGACCAGCAGGTATATTAAAAGGTCTCAACATCATTAATTATCAGAGAAATGCAAATTAAAACCATTGTAAGACTACGCCCATTAGGATAGCTATTATCAAAAAGACAAGTGATAACAAGTGTTGGCAATGGCGTGGAGAAAAGGGAACACTTGTAAACTATTAGTGAGAGTATAGATTGGTGCAACTAGTATTGAAAACATTATGCAGATTCCTAAAGGAATTACAACTAGAACTACCATAAGACCTCACAATCCCTCTTCTGGGTATATCCCCAAAGAAAATGAAATCACCACCTCATAAAGATATCTTGTGTTCTCATGTTTATTGCAGCATTATTCACAGAAGTAAAGAATTAGAAACAACCTAAGTGTCTATCAGTGGATGAATGGATAAAGAAACTATGGTGTGTGTGTGTACGTGTGTGTGAGTGTACTTGTGCGTGTTTATGTGCATGGGTATATGTATACATACATATACACTTGCACAAAATGGAATACTATTAAGCCTTAGAAAAGGAGATTCTGCCATTTGCCACAACATGGATAAGCCTGGAGAACATTATGCTAAGTGAAATATGCCAGACACAGAAAGAAAATATTGCATGATCCCAATTATATGTGGAATCCTAAAAAGAGAAAGTCAAATATGCAGAGATGGAGACTAAAATAGCAATTGTGGGGTTGGGGGAAGAAATGGGAAGATATAGGTTAGAAGTTACAATGAAGCAGGTATATAGGATGAACAAGTGTAGAGAGCCGATGTACAACATGAGGACTATAATTGATAAATTGTACTGTATTTGGGATTCCTGACAAAATGAGCAGATTTTAGCTGTTCTTGTCACACACACTCAAAAATAGGTAACTATGTGAGATGATGGATATGTTAATTTGCTTCTCAATAGTAACCTTTCTACTATATATATGTATTCTATTACATCATGTTGTATATCCAAATATACAAATAAAACTTATTAATTTTTAAATTAATCAATAAAAATAGTAAATTCAAATGTTTTTTCCATCCCTTTCTTGATAAAAATGCTATAGTAACAGAGAAAAAATCATTACAAACGGCATACATTGGAAAAATAAATGATTGCTATTTAATGTCTAGATTTAAACAACACAAAATTTACAGTCATAAAAGTCTATACAATTGTCATGTCATGGTGGCTTCAGGACCCAAATAAGAACTTGGGATCAAAGTCAGAAATATCACTATCTGAAATCATAACCAGCAAAAATGAATATAAAATGGGAGCACTTAACCATCTGCAGAAACAGCATATACAATGAGGTTATTATTCCCCTCCATACCTGGAATAGTGCTTCTCAAGGAGCTGACATTTTAATGCCCACTAAAATGCCACAGCTTGAGCAATGACCAGTGTAGACTACCTGCCAGGCAAATTTCCCATGGGGAATGTAATAAGGAAGCATTCAGGTTTATATCTACTTCTCTTCTGAGACCAGTTATTGTAGTAGGTTCCCCCAGAGCATAATCAGTTCTAGCTGAACTGATAAGAGGCCATTTCTAAATCTACAAAGCTTAGGAATGTATTCTGGACCCATGGTGACTACACTGATATTCAGACTCCTGTAAGCTCAGTCTAAATCTTTCCACAAACCTCTTTTACCATCTTAACTGGATGAGAAGAGAAGTGTCCCCTGAGAAAATAACTGCGTGGAGCATGGAGCCAAGGCCCTGCCAAGAAAAGCCTGCCTTCTGAAGTCACTACCACACCATTTGACAAATGGCAAAGAGCTTTATTTCCTCCCTCTACTAAACCTATTCATTATAAAACTATTATGGAAAACTGCACTTCTGGGAACAAAGTAACTAGAAATCCTAGTTGTCTAAGTATTTCAGTAAGTCCATGGTGGTCATGAGGAAAATAAATAAGTACTGACTTGTTAAACCCACATTTCTTAGAGTACAAAATGTAGCTTGCTATATTTCTTCAACATTTTTTTGATCTGTGGGACAGATTGTGACTGACTACAGTATTCAGCAGACAAACTACATTTCATAATTTTATCCTATGACTCATTCTCTCAACAAGATGGTTGCCTCCAGACAAATGAAATGGTTTGAATTCAAGCAAACAGAAGCTTCATAGCTTCCACATTATGCTGAATATAAAAGCAAACAAGCTCTTTTTCTAGGGGTCCTATAAGAAGCTGCTTTGAAGGGATCCTTAGACACACTTGAGAAACTAGATGACCATCTGTTCTGGATGATGCAGAAGTAATGTCTGCATGCAAATAGAGGGTCACACTAAACAAATTCCAAGTTGACTTCTAATCCTAAATCTGCTATGAAAGATTGTGTGGAAGACAATCAATCTAAGTGTCATTTAAAATTTCTTTTCTTCAATATAAATATCTACATCAACTTACAGAGAAACAAATTATGTTGGTCAACCCAATTAAAAGGGACAGTAATTAGAAAGACAATGCCCAAAACAAGATTCCCCTAGAACAGGGATGATGACAATGTTCCTGACGAGCAAAGATCTGTTTCCTAAAGAAGAAATGGCAATTCTCCTCAGGAAACACTGGCATCGATGTTTCCTGCTCTTTAAAAATAACATAAATGTGTGGGAGTCTTTTTTCTTTATGAAACTAATGTTTTATTGTTAGGTCTCCTTGGAGAAATATAATTTTTTTACAATTTTAACTGACATCTGAAATCTATTTTTGTGTCTTAACAAGAGAAGCAACACTACCATCGTGTGGCTAAAGAGATTAAATTTGTTATTTTTTTAAAGTTCCAGTCAGGGATGAAATTTAAATTCACAAATTAAAGTTCTAACAAAATGTACATTTACTTTTGTATCACTTGGATAATTAATATTCATGTCTCTCATTAAATAATTTGTAACTTAGCCAACTTCTTATAATAGAAGCAAAATTTATGTGAGAAAGAAAACCTGTTATTAATTCTTCTCATTTAAGTTACACTCCTAACAGTGGTTTCTAATTTCCTTGTGCAATACCAGTAAAACAAAAGAAAACATGTAAAAGCCCAGGAAAGTATCAGATTTTTCTGCAACAAGGCCGTCATACATACTTAGAACAAACAAATAAGCAAGCAAGCAAAGAACTCCGGGAAAATAATCAAGGAAAGGATAAAAATGAAAATGTACAATATTACTTTATTTTATAAAGTACTTTCACATGCATTATCTTAATCCTAACAACAACCCTTTGATACAGCTATTAATATTCCCATTTTACTCATGGGAAAACTAAGATGAAAAGATAACAAATAGTTTACTCCCAATTAGTTCGTTCAGCCCAAAGGTGAGACAGCTCACCACTTACTTTGTGTCAAGATTCTTATGAGGTACTAAGAAAAAATCAGTCCTTTCCTTTTCCAGCCCTGCAAATACTTTGTTCTAATTTCTGTATAGCACTTGCCACATTGTGTTGTAATGATGTGCTTTCTCCCTCAACTGGAAGTAGAATCCTTCAACTTGGTGATACTAGTTCATTTATTTAGTATACAGTATTGAAATGTTATCTACTCATAATGCATGCCCTGAAGCGACAT
The DNA here is from genome assembly GCF_000001405.40 of Homo sapiens. Lineage (NCBI taxonomy): Eukaryota > Metazoa > Chordata > Mammalia > Primates > Hominidae > Homo > Homo sapiens. The sequence continues at coordinate 68,570,173 of NC_000001.11, read as the reverse complement.
TCCAAATACAGCCTTCTCTATATTAGTGGTTTTTAAAGTGCAGATCCAGAATCTGCAGTATCACTATCACCTGGGAACTTATTAGATATGCAGATTTGAGACACCTCTCCAGACCTATTAATCAGAAAAGCTGAGGGTGGGGCCAGGAATCTGTTTTAATATGCCCTCCAGGTGGTTCTGATGCACCTCAGGTTTGAAAGTGCCTGCTCTACCCAGATCACCAAGATAGATACCATTGCGTGCAGCCCAGATCCACCTGCAGGGCTGAGGCGTTTGTTCCACCAGCTGCTATGAACCTTGGCAACTGAGTTTTTCTCAGAGAAATTCCCACACAAAAAAAGAATTCCCTCACCCAAAGCCACATACGAACATCACCTGTTCCAGGAAGCCCTCCTTAAACAATATGCTCTTCTCCACGTGAGTTGAGAGTCCCAGAGCATTTTGTTGGTTATGCCATCATAACCTGGCACTTAAATGGCACCTGACAATAAATATCTACTTAACAAATATTACTCATCACAACATATTTAAGTTGTCTGTTAAAATGTCTACTGATTACCTTCCTCTCTGGGCTGTCACCTGCTTGAGGGCCAGGACAATACCTCATTCATACTCTAGTGTCCAGTGCCTGGCACACTGTCTGACTGATCAGTGCTAAACAAGTACTAATTGAATTAATAAACATTCTACTTTCTAGGGGTTCATAGATGAATGAAATATGAACCCATCAATGGGAAGCTCAAAATCAAGTTCGAGAAAGAGGCATGTTAACAAATTGTGGTACAATAAGACAAATGTTACAAAAGAGTTAAGAACAAACTGTATTGCACCATAAATAATACCATGCCTTTTCATTTATTTCAATCCTGCCTATCTTTTGCATTTCAGCCCAAGAAGACAGGCCTATCCTTTTTTCTGGATTCCTATAATATATACTCTTGGCTTCCACGCATTTGGCCAGTGCTGAATGTGTGTTGTCAATTAGCGTTTTATGTATCTACCCTGCATGCCCATATAAGTTGCAAACTTAGGTCAGGAAATATGTCTTTGTATCTCCAATACCAATCCCAACAATTCAAAAATTGTCATATGGTCATCAATTTAATGAATGCTTATGGAAATACAAACAAAATTACCCCTGTCTTAGGTAGAGTTCCCTGGAAAAGAGATTCTGAACAGAGGTTTTCATGCCCTAGACCTACCAGGGTGTATCCTCTGGAACAACACTTGTAACAAGGTGGGGAAAGTAAATCAGGCAGAGGAAGAAATTTCACTGTAAGGCTGTTGTAACAGAGGTCTCATATGATCCTATAAGAAGCTCTGGAGCTGGGATGGCCCTTCAGAGTTGTCCTATATTGAGATCTGGGCCTTTGTGTCTCACATCAACCACTGGATGCAGGGTGTCCCCAAGAAGGGGTGTTAACCTTGGATAAGACAACTGCCTTCTGCACAGGGACTAGCTATGAACCATCAGACAACACTCCCAGCAGCTGCGAGAATAGGTATTTCGCTCCAGAAGAGAGGATCTGGGCAGTGCACCCCTGTAATATTATCAGTTCTTTAGTTGTGAGGAGCTTATATACGTGGGAAGATGTATTCACTATCATTTGTACTTTGCTTAATGCTTAATGTATTGAACTCACATTTCTCTTAAGCAAATTCTGAAAACCAGGTTGGCTCAATAATTTAAATGGTAACTACAAACTTTACACAATAAATTTATTTAAATAATTTAAACTGCTATTATTATGGCTGATTCTTCACTTTCCTTTAAACAGTAAACAAATATACACAGATCAAAACATAAAAATCTCAACTTTGTTCAGTATACTTAATGGATATAAATTGTCAACACCACAGATATAATTTGTTTACTATTTTCATACCTTCCAGAGTTATTGCTTTATTTATATTGCTATTTTCTTAGGATTTCTGAAGCATTTTGATTCCTTCCCAAAGAGTAATCATACCGGGTTTTAGGATCCAGTTGGGACATATAACCTGTTTGCTTAGTATAAGTGATTCAAATGAACTACTGATCATTAGATAGAGGCCATTTCTAAAGTGAAGATTTACTTGTTAAGACATGAATTTTAAAATTTCTGTCAGTTGGTGTTAATTATCAGAACTTAGTAGCTTTCCCAAAATGATGGATTCTTTTAATTTTGCATGGCTGATAGACCCTAACTCATTGTCTTTTTATTATGATATATCAGTATGGTCATTTTGTATTTTCAATGCATGCACTTACTATGAATGTTTTATCATAATTGCCAGAACCACGTATACATTTCATCTCATAAGACATAAGGAATTAATCTGCATAGTTAGCTCTCCTAGTCAGGCTATTTGGCTAACTTTTCATTTTGGAACATCATGCTGAACTTTCTTTACAATAAGGAGTCTTCAACCCATTAATATAGTACTGTTTATCTTTTTCTATATTCAGGTATTATTTAATAATGTCTTTTAATAAGGTCTTGGATTTTTCTCCATAGTAATCTTAAACTTTTTTATTATATTCAAAACACTGTTGCTATTGTAAATGATATATCCTTAAACTACATTTTCTAATTAGTTGTGGTGAGATATAAAAACAAAATTGACTTAATATCAATATTCTAACTTGAAGCCTTATAAAACATTAATTTTAATAATTTATCTCTAGATTTATTTTTTTACATAGATAATAATATTGGCTACAAGAATTTAGTTTTTCTCCTGTGTATTCCAAATGTTATTCTTCTTATTGAAATGACTGGTAGCTAGTTAAATGTTAAATTAAAGTGGTGATATCAGGCATCCAAGTCTTGTTCTTGATTTTTACAAAATTATCTTAGAAGTGATGTTTGGTGTAAATTTTTGTAGATACCTTTATTAGGATAAGGAAGCTCTCATCTATAATTTGCTTTCTAAGAGGTTTTTAGACTATTGATTTAGTGTTTAATTTTTTATTATATTTTATATTTTGAGATGATTACATCATTCTTGCTCTTTAAATTATTCGAGTAAAATACTTTGATTTTCTAATTCTGAAGCTCTACTAAATTCCTAGAATAAATCCAATTCAATGATGATGGATTACCTTTCGATAAATTCTATTCACTAATATTTGTTTATGTTTGCACATTTCTACGTGAAATGGGCCTAAAATTTTTTCTCATTTTTTTTTTCATTTGGTTTTGGTATCAAGGTCTTACCAATCTCATAATATCAGTTGAGAAATGTTAGATGTGCCAATTATGCCAAATGTAGATGTGCCAATTGTTTTATACATATTTAAAACTAGATATTAAGTGCATGTAAGTCGAGTACCGTATTTTCATAGGGAAGAAAAACTGTTATCAAGGTATGCTGATTTTTTTTTCATAATGCTCTGTCTTAAATTCTGTTTTGTCTGATATTTAAGTAGCAGGCTGTTTATTTGAAAGGTTTGGATCAAAGTAAAATAGATAAGAAATTCCAAAGCAAAAGGCATACCAACATCTAGATTTTCAAATGATGCACTGAGAACTAGTTTTACATATCTAAAGTCATTTGCATACAAAGAGTATCAAAACATATCAAGAGTGACAAGTAGGTATGATTTAATAAGGATGATTTTGAAGTTATTCAGTACACTGCTAGGAATCCACTCCCCTCATCTCACATTAGCCACCACAGGCGAAAAAAAAATATGTTGGAAACAGTTCTTCATGAATATTTCATGTTTCTACATTCATAGATATTAACAACCTATTCACTTCATTACTAATTTTTCAGAAATATTTTCAAGTGGCCCTGAAAGAAAAGAAACAGAGATTCACTCTGGAACAAATTTATTTACATTTATGAATAATAAAGAGAGACATCTTTCCTAGAGACATCACAGGATAATAGAGATGCCTCCCTCCTCTCCCCAGAGATTTTTGCTCACAGTCTAGGGTAATATAGATAATGTTTCTCTCCAGAGAGGATATGGAGTTTGTGGGTTTGTTAGCAGTCCCTTATAAGACTGGGTTTACCGAAGATCAGTGTTCCTCAGTTTTGATGCAGACCCACTGTGGATGCGGAATCTACCTGGATCCACATCCAGATAACCCCCTGGGGACTTGAAAGAAAAGGAAAACTCATGCGAACATGAAGGTCATTCTAGCTGCTGTGCTGTAAATAACAAACTCTGAATCTTTTCGGATTCATTGTGTGCTTGTCAGCCAAAACTATAGAAGTCTAGCAAGACAAGCTGGCATCTGTCATCACACTGCTGTTTTGAAACTATTTGAGAGGAATTTCATGTCTGCTAAAGCTAAAGAAGGCTACGGAAGCTTTAGTAACTTGTCCTCTACAAAAGATACCTAAGTCCCAGAGATCATACATGAAAATGATGATTGGAATATCAGTATGAGATCATTTTCAAAGACTCCTAGCCAAGAGTGTTTATTGCTAGGATAAGATGACCCTAACAGAAAGGAAATATAGAAAGTAACATCAGGGGCACATTATGAAAGGATATCATCTCAAGAAGAGCCATTCTGCACTAAGAAAATTGTAGTGAAATGGGAAAAACAAGTTTTCAGAGAAGCCATGAAAGGGCTCCAAAAGAAAAACACTCAGGTCTGAATATTAGTAAGGCCTAAATAATCAATTTAATTTAAAAATTACTCAAACAAGAATTTAGATATCTCCTTTTTTTCTTTTCCTAGTCTAACACACCTCCTACCCCAAACACTACCCAATTACAATGAAACCTTTAAACAAATACAGAAGTGTTAATTAATGCTTGGAATGGAATATGTTTTGAAACTCAATGTAATCTTAGAATTATTTCCTACGATCAAACATAAAAGTCAGTGGGCCTAGAATTTCACTGAGCAGCAAAGAAAGGATTAATGTACTTTAAACTACTGAACAAGTTTAAAAAACCAAGTTACAAAAGTGTTGGCTTCATAATTGTATTTCATGAGTCCTGATTGTTCAATATCCCATTATATGAAAAGAATTCAATTAGATTTCATTTAGTTTCCATTGCCTTCTACAACTTTTCTCAACTTTTTTTACTCTAGTCTGAAAATCTTTTACCTAAATGATTGAGTCCATTTACACTTCTTGTTTTGTAATTTATTTTACATTTTCGTGATTTTAGTTTTATCTTCCTTCTTGTGTTCTTTTGTATTTGTTGAATTCATTTATTTAATTTTTGTTTTTGAACTTATTCTACTTTTTCTCATGTACTAGTTCTGAAGTTAGGTTATCAGTCTATTTTATTTACTTTAAAGGTCACTTTAGAAATTTTAACACCAAAATCTAGAATTTTAGGAATCAACTTATAAGCTTAAAATTCTTTAACTACAATCATTATCTCTTGATTTCCATTCTATTGTTCAGTCCTTCATTCTACTGTTTTAGTCTTTTTGGAAATTTTCTAGTAATTTAAACTTTTTATAACCTCAAAAATGAGATACTATTATATTATTATATGTACTCACATTATTAAATTTAGCTACATTTACTATTTTCTTTTGTCATAATTTCAGGTCTCTATCAGTAGTTTTCTTATGAATGAAATGTATCTTTTAAAGATTCTTTAGTGAGATCTAAATGACAGTAAATTTTTTTGTATGCCTGAAAATTACATGGTAGCAATTGATTTCTCTGAAATCTTTGAAGATTTTATTCAGTTGTCTTATGGCTTCTCTTGCTACAATTGAGAAGTTTGTTGTCAGATCAGTTATAGTTTATGTGTAAAAATAAAAAGTATATATTCTTTTATTTCTAGATTATTTATTTGGTCTCTTTATGTTGTTCTGTGTTTAATTTTTTAAGATCTATCTTCTAGACCTCTAGGCTATTTAGCTTACCCATTTATAATATAAAATATCCAATTATTCACTTAAAGAAATTTGTCTGGCTTTTTAAAAGAATTTTATTTATTTATTATTATTTTTTAAATTAGAGACAAGACCTCTCTATATTGCCTAGGCTGGTCTCAAACTCCTAACCTCAAGTGACCTTCCCACCTCAGCCTCCCAAAGAGCTGTAATTACACATGTTAGCCACCATGCCTGGCTGGCTTTTTTAAAAAATATAATCACTTTTATACATTCTTGTTTTGTTAGTCAAAAATATATGTTATTTATATTTGAATAATATATGAGTTGGTGTATGAGTCTGGAATCACAATTTTCTTATTTTGGGATTTTTTTAAAGTATTGCACCATTGTCTTTATTGAGTGTTTAGCAGTGCTAAGAGGAAATTTTATAGCATTAAATGCCTATATCAAAAAGTTAGAAAGATCTCAAATGAACAACCTAATATTGCACCTAAAGGAACTAGAAAAACAAGAACAAGCCAAACCCAAAACTAGCGCAAGAAAAGAAGTAACTAAGATCAGAGCAGAACTAAATGAAATTGAGACCAAATATATATATACAAAGAACTAATGAAACAAGCAGTTGGTTCTTTGAAAAGATAAACAAAATGGACAGACTGCTAGCTAGATTAACCAAGAAAAGAAAAAAGAGAGGATTAAAATAAATACATTTAGAAATAATACAGGTGACGTTACAATAAATACCACAGCAGTACAAAAGACCATCAGAGGCTAATATGAACACATCTATGTGCACATACTAGAACACCTGAAGGAAATGGATAACTTCCTGGAAACATGCAACCTCCCAAGAATGAACCAAGTAGAAATTAAAATGCTGAACAGATCAATAATGAGAAACAAAATTGAATCAGTAATAAAACAATCTTCCAACAAAAATAATCTCAGATGACAGATAGATTCACAGCTGAATTTTACCACACAAACAGAGAAGAACTGGTACCAATCTTACTGAGACTATTCCTAAAAATAGAAGAGAAGGGATTCCTCCCTAACTCTTTCTATGAAACCAATATCACCCTGATACCAAAATCAGGAAAGGACACAACAAGAAAAGAAAACTATAGGTTAATATCCCTGATGAACGTAAATGCAAAAGTCCTCAACAAAATAGGAATGAATCAAATCCAATAGCACATTAAAAAGAGAATACATCACAATCAAGTGGGCTTTATTCCAGGGAGGCAAGGATGGACCAACATCTTCAAATCAATAAACATGATTCATCACATAAACAGAACTAAACAAAATCTATAGGATCACCTGAATAGATGCAGAAAAGCCATTTAACAAAATATAACATCCCTTCATGACAAAAACCTTCAACAAACCAAGCATCTAAGAAACATACCTCAAAATAATAAGTGCCATGGATGACAAACCAATTACCAACATAATACTTAATGAGCAAAAGTTGAAAGCATTCCCCCTAAGAGCTGGAAGAAAACAAGGATGTCCACTCGAACCACTCCTATTCAACATAGTACTGGAAGTCCTAACCAGAGCCATCAGGCAAGAGAAAAAAATAAAAGGTGTACAAATAAGAAAAAAGGAAGTCAAATTATCTCTGAATTCACCAGTGACATGATCGTGTACTTGGTAAACCCTAAAGACTCTCCAAAAGATTCATAGACTTGATAAAAAAAAAAAACTTTAGTAAAGTTTCAGGATACAAAATCAATGTACAAAAATCAGGGTCGGGTGTGGTGTGGTGGCTCATGCCTGTAATCCCAACACTTTGGGAGGCCCAGGCAGGTGGATCACTTGATCAGGATTTCAAGGCCAGCCTGGCCAATATGGTGAAATCCAGTCTCTACTAAAAATACAAAAATTAGCTGGACATGGTGGTACACACCTATAATCCCTACTACACAAGAGGCTGAGGCAGGAGAATTGCTTGAACCCTGGAGGTGGAGGTTGCAGTGAGCCAAGGTCACACCACTGCACTCCAGCCCGGGCAACAGAGCGAGACCCCATCTCAAAAAAAAAAAATTAGTAACATTTCTATAAACTAATAATGCTCAATCTGAGAACCAAATCAAGAATGCAATCCCATTTAAAATAGCCACACAAAAAAAAACAAAATACCTAGGAATATATTTAACCAAGAAAGTGAAAGATCTCCACAAGGCGAACTAAAAATATGGATGAAAGAAATCATAGATGACACAAACAAATGGATAAACATCCCATGCTCATGGATTTGAAGAATCAATATTATCAAAATGACCATACTGACCAAGGCAATCTACATATTCAAAGAAATCCCTATCAAATTTCCAATGTCATTTTTCACAGAATTAGAAAAAGCAATCCTAAAGTTCATATGAAACAAAAATGATAGTAGAATCAGAATAACCAAAGCAATCCTAAGAAAAAAGAACAAATTTAGAGACATCACATTGCCTGACTCCACATGTACTACAGCCTTATACTATAGTCTTATACTACAAGGCTGTAGTAACAAAAACACATAGTACCGTACAAAAATAGATATGTAGGTCAATGGAACACAATAAAGAACCCCAAAATAAAGCCACACACCTACAACCAACTAATCTTTGACAAGGTCAACAAAAATTAAAAATGAGGAGAGGACACTCTTTATTCAATCAATGGTGCTGGGAAAACTGGCTGGCCATTTGCAGAAGAATGAAACAGGACCTGTACCTCTCACCATATACAAAAAATAACTCAAGATGAACTAAAGACTTAACTGTAAGGCCTCAAAAAACCCTAGAAAAAAATGTAGAAAAAATTCTTCCAGTTATTAGCATAGGCAAATAATTTTTGACTAAGACCTCAAAAGCAATTGCATGAAAACAATAATTGACAAATGAAGCTTACTTAAATGAAAGAGCTTCTGCACAGCAAAAGAAACAGCAGATTATATGGACAATCTACAGAAAGGGAGTAAATATTTGCAAGCTATGTATCTGAGAAAAGACTAATATCCAGAATATACATAAAGCTTAAAAAAATTAACATGAAATAACCCCACTAAAAAGTGTGCAAAGGACATAAACAGATGCTTCTCAAAAGACGACATACAAATGGCCAGCAAATTTATGAAAAAATGCTCAACATCAATAATGTTCAATAATACTCAGAGAAACGTAAATTAAAACCACAATGAGATATCATCTCACATCAGTCAGAATGCCTAAAACAACAGATGTTGGCGAGAATGCAGAGAAAAAAAAAGGGACGCTTCTATATATATAGTGGGAATATAAATTAGTTCAACCTCTATGGAAAACAGTAATGGAGATTTCTCAAAGAACTAAAAGTAGAACTACCATTCCACCTAGCAATCCCACTAGTGGGTATCTACCCAAAGAGAAAAAAGTCATTTTATCAAAAAGATACCTGCACTCTTACATTTATCACAACATTATTCACAATAACAAAGTCATGGAATCAAACTAAGTGTCCATCAGTGGTTGACTGGACAAAAAAAATGTGGTACACATACACAGTGGAATACTGGGCAACCATAAAGAAAACAGAATGAAAGAATGTCTTCTGCTGCAGCACTGATGAAGGTAGAGACAATTATCCCAGTGAACTAACTCAGAAACAGAAAACCAAATACCACATGTTCTCACTTACAAGTGGGAGCTAAACAATGGGTACACATGAATATAAAGATGGAAACAAGAAATTAGGGATTCCAAAAAGGCAGAGGGTGAGAGTGGGCCGAGGGTTGAAAAACTATCTACTGGGTTTAATGTTTACTGTTTGTGTAATGAGTACACTAGAAGCCCAATCCCTAACAGTACACAGTATACCCATGTAACAAATCTGCACATGTACTCCCTGAATTGAAAATAAAGCAAATTTTTAAAAATAGCCCAAAGGATAGGGGGATAAAAGTATACAGTTGTAAAAATTTTATACTGTTTATGATGTGATATAATATTGCTTGAAGGTGAACTGTGATAAATTAAAAATGCATATTTTAAAATCTAGAACAGCTGCAAAAAGTATAGCTATTAGATCAATAGGAAAACAAAATGAAAGATTAAAATAGATTCAATCTAAACAAAGACAGTAATTGAAGAAAAAAAAAGAGCAAATCCCACAAATAGGAAATAAATAGCTGATAGACTTAAACCCAAACATAATGAAAATTATATTAAATATAAAGGTTCTTAACTGCCAATTAAAATACAAAGATTGCCAGAATGATTTAAATTCTCATATGGATTTTTATGATGACAATATGTCTTGGAATATGGTATGGCTTTTTAATTTATTGATTCAAATCTTTTAGTTCTGAAAACATTTCTTAAACTGTATTTTTAATCTATTCAATTCTGTTCTTCAAAGTAATTATAAATAATTGAAATATTCTTTGTCTCTCTTCCTTACCTATAAATTTCTCTCTAATCCTGTGTTATTTCCTACTGCTGCTGTAACAAATTACCGCAAATTTAATGGCTGAAAACAACACCGACTTATTATCTACAATTCTAGAGGTAAGAAGCCTGAAGGGGGTTTCACTGAGCTGCAGCCAAAGCATGGGTGAGACTGTGCTCCCTCCAGAAACTCGAGCAAATAATCCATTTATTTGCCTTTTCCAGCTTCTAGACCTGCATTCCCGACATTTCTTGGCTGCTTCTTCCATCTTCAAAGTCAACAGGGTACCATCTTTAAATCTATCTCTGCTTTGTCATTACATCACCTTCTCTTTTTCTGTCTCTATGGTCAAATATCTCTCTGCTCTCCTTTTATAGGAACACTTATGGTTACATTTAGAAATCTCCAGGATAATCTCCCATCTCAAATTTCCTGATTTAATCACATCTGCAAAGTCACCCTTACTACATAAGGTAACATTCACAGTTTCCAAAGATTAAGACTTGGATATCTTTGAATCTATTAATCAATTTCTCACAAATCCATTTAAATTACTTGTTCATTGACATTTCAATTTGCTTGATTCTCCCAATCTTACTGTGTTTTCAGTAGTTTTTATTCTTTTTTTATTATTCATATTTGATCTTCATTTGGGAGATCATTGTATTTTTCCCATCAATTTCTCCTTAAGGTCTGAGCTCATGGATTTTTTAAATTGTTATGTAATATTTAAAACCTTTACAAACGAATGTTTTTATTTTAAAATATGTTGGCAAATTCTTTGAATCTCATCAGAAATTGGAGCCTAATTTCCCTTTCTCTGAATGTGGGTTACATTTGTTGTCTCATTTCTTACAGATAGCATATGACATAATCAAGGAGAAATTGGTAGTTGGGGGGAAAAAAAGATTATAACAGAAGACATATTATGTGACTTTTGAGGCTATATCATTGCATGATTTTACCTTGTGGCCTTTTAATCACTTGCCATGGAGGAAGCCAACTACCACATTGCCAGGATACTCTGTCAGCTGGAAAGATGCCTGCATAGGCAGAAACTAAAGCCTCTCTCTAATAGTCAGAACCAACGTTTAGCCATTTGAGTGGGTAACCTTGAAAGCAGATCCTTCAGCCCCATTTAAACCTTCAGATGACTGCAGTCCTGACTAACATCTTGACTGCAACCTATTCATGAATTTCTGACCCACAGAAACTGTGAGGATAATCAATATTTATTGTTAAGTCACTAAGTTTTAAAGTAATTTGCTGTGGAGCAATAGATACCTAATGCATAAATGTAACATATTATAAATTAAGAAGCATAACAATAAGATATACATCCATAAAATATCCACCAACTTAAAACCAGTCGATTGCATCTGAGGTGTTGACAGCACTGTTTCTCTCTCACTCTGACTCATCTATTGACTGTTTTCTTAAAATAGGGCACACGTATAGGATCCCTCTTCTGGTTTCACCATATGTGATTTTCCTCTGTGCTAGTCTTAATCCAAGAAAGCATCTTTAGGAAGCCCAATCACCCTACTCCTCTTGCTTAAAACAAGGAATCGATATTTTCCCTTGGGTTATAGCACCAACTTTAGAGAATTGTGCTGTATTGATTTTCTTTCCTTTTTTTTTTTTAAATGCTTTTACTCTTCAAAAGACCAGCTTTTCAGAGCTGTTATATGAAAGCCATACTCTAAGGAATGTGTTAGCTTCTCAATATTTTAAGACTTTGACAATTTTATCCATATATTACAGCAAATAATTAAAAGTTGCATTCCTGAACCACTACATTCTCTAGTTTCCCTCTGCCCACCCAGTCACTAACCACTAACAATTTCCCCACAGAGCTTTACTTTCTCATTACTTCATTGATTTTCACTGATGGCCATTATAATAAATGATAAGTGGAAAAAACACTTTTGCATTTCTTCTAAAGATACTCCTGATTTCATTTACTATATTTACATATATTTCCTATATGTTAATTATTCTTACCCCAAACATTTGAATTGATAAGTTTATCGTAGGATTCAAGGCCAAGGAGGGAAAAATGGGTTTCTGATGAACGAGTATGTAGTCTTTAGTAACAAAAATTATATATTTCAGAGTTTATAGAAGTGGGATTCATGTGCATACATTTTGTGTCATCATTGAATTTAAGAAAAGTAGAAAAGAAGATTTCATAGTAGATGTACTAGAAAAAAAAGGAAGAATTGAGTCTTCATAAGAGAGCAATTAGTAAAAGATTCATACTGTTAACAAAAAATATGTTTTTTCAGAATATTGTTATTTGTAAGTGTATAGGCCTTTTCTTGATTAATATTTTTTGTAATAAGGAATGTATGAAACCAGTTCCAAATCTGTAAATCATGTTTCTGGCTCCTCCCATTTCTTTTAATATTCTCAAATCGAAATGCACAACAGTAGCCCTAGATAATGGTGTCGTCTGCACACTTTTGGTAAGTCTTTTCAATTACTGCCTTTTCATCTTATGCCCTGTTTTTGGAGGGGGAAGGAGAGGAGAAAAACTACAGAAAGAGATAGGTATATGAGCATGCCAAACCCAGAAGAACCTGTGCCATAGTAGTCAGTAATACATTTGTGTTGTAAACAGCCATTTAATGTCAGTAAACATCCAAATGTACTCCTATTTTTGTTTGAATTATATTTAATTTATACATTTCTTTTTCTTTTTTTAATTTCCTACTTTTATTTTAAGTTTAGAGGTACATGTGCAGTTTATGCAGGTTTGTTACCTAGGTAAACATGTGCCGTGGTGGTTTGCTGCACAGATCATCCCATCACCAGGTATTGAGCCCAGCATCCATTAGCTATTCTTCCTGATCCTCTCCCTCCTCTCACCCACTGGCCCTCCAACAGGCCCCAGTGTATTGTTCCCCATTATGTATCCATGTGTTCTCATCATTTAACTCCCACTTATATCTGAGAACATGCAGTATTTGGTTTTCTGTTCCTGAGTTCGTTTGCCTCCAGCTCCACCTATGTCCCTGCAAACAACATCTCATTCCTTTTTATGGCTGCATAGTAGTATTCCACAGTGTATATGTACCACATTTTCTTTATCCAGTCTATCATTGATGGGTATTTAGGTTGATTCCATATCTTTGCTATTGTGAATAGGGCTGCAGTGAACATACACATGCATGTGTCTTCATAAGAGAATGATTTATATTCCTTTGGGTATATACCCAGTAATGGGATTGCTGGGTCAAATGGTATTTCTGTCTCTAGGTCTATATTAGTCTGTCCTCACACTGCTAATAAAGACATTCCAAAAACTGGGTAATTTATAAAAGAAAAGGGTTTAATGGACTCACAGTTCCACATAGCTGGGGAGGCCTCACCATCATGGCAGAAGGTTAAGGAGAAGCAAAGCCATGTCTTATATGATGGCAGGCAAGAGAGCTTGTGCAAGGCAACTCTCGTTCATAAAACCATCAGGTCTTGTGTGACTGATTCACTACTACAAGAACAGTATGAGGGAAACTGCTCCCATGATTCAATTATTTCAACCTTGCCCCACCCTTGACACATGGGAATTATTACAATTCAAGGTGGGATTTGGGTGGAGACATAGCCAAACCATATCATTCTGCCCCTGGCCCCTCCCAAATCTTACATCCTCACACTTCAAAACCAATCATGACTTCCCAACAGTCCCCCAAATTTGTAACTCATTTCAGCATTAACTCAGAAATCCTCAGTCCAAAGTCTCATCTGAGACAAGGCAAGTCCCTTCCATCTAGGAGCCTGTAAAATCAAAAGAAAGTTAGCTATTTCCTAGATACAATGGGGATACAGACATTGGGTAAAAACAGCCCTTCCAAATGGGAGAAATTGGTCAAAACAAAGGGGCCACAGACCCCAAGCAAATCTGAAATCCTGCAGGCCAATCAGATCTTTTTTTTTTCTTTTTTTATTACACTTTAAGTTCTAGGGTACATGTGCATAACATGAAGGTTTGTTACATATGTATACATGATCCGTGTTGGTGTGCTGCACCCATTAACTCGTCATTTACATTAGGTATTTCCCCTAATGCTATTCCTCCTCCAACCCCCTACTCTACAACAGGCCTCGGTGTGTGATGTTCCCCACCCTATGTGCAAGTGTTCTCATTGTTCAATTCCCACCTATGAGTGAGAACATGCAGTGTTTGGTTTTCTGTCCTTGCGATAGTTTGTTCAGAATGAGGGTTTCCAGCTTCATCCAAGTTGCTACGAAGGACATGAACTCATCCTTTTTTATGGCTGCATAGTATTCCATGGTGTATATGTGCCACATTTCCTTTATCCAGTCTATCATTGATGGACATTTGGGTTGGTTCCAAGTCTTTGCTATTGTGAATAGTGCCGCAATAAACATACGTGTGCGTGTGTCTTTATAGCAGCATGATTTATAATCCTTTGGGTATATACCCAGTAATGGGATGGCTGGGTCAAATGGTATTTCTAGTTCTAGATCCTTGAGTAATCGCCACACTGTCTTCTACAATGGTTGAACTAGTTTACACTCCACCAACAGTGTAAAAGCATTCTTATTTCTCCACATCCTCTCCAGCACCTGTTGTTTCCTGAGTTTTTAATGATGGCCATTCTAACTGGTGTGAGATGGTATCTCATTGTGGTTTTGATTTGCATTTCTCTGATGGCCAGTGATGATGAGCATTTTTTCATATGTCTTCTGCCTGCAAAATGTCTTCTTTGAAAAGTGACTGTTCATATCCTTTGCCCACTTTTTGATGGGGTTGTTTGATTTTTTTCTTGTAAATTTGTTTAAGTTCTTTGTAGATTCTGGATATTAGCCCTTTGTCAGATGGGTAGACTGCAAAAATTTTCTCCCATTCTGTAGGTTGCCTGTTCACTCTGATGGTAGTTTCTTTTTCTGTGCAGAAGCTCTTTAGTTTAATTAGATCCCATTTGTCTATTTTGGCTTCAGGGCAGTCAAATCTTAAAGCTACAAAATTATCTCCTTTGAACTCCATGTCTCACATCCAGGTCACACTGATGCAAGAGGCGGGTTCCCATGGTCTTGGGCAGCTCCACCCCTGTGGCTTTGCAGGGTACATACCCCCTCCTGGCTGCTTTCACGGACTGGTGTTGAGTGTCTGCAGCTTTTCCAGGCACATGGTGCAAGCTGTTGGTGGATCTACCATTCTGGGGTCTGGAGGTCAGTGGCCCTCTTCTCACAGCTTCACTAAGCAGTGCCCCAGTGGAGACTTTCTGTAGGGGCTCACACCCCACATTTTCCTTTTGCACTGCCCTAGCAGAGTTTCTCCAGGAGGGCTCCTCCCCTGTGGCACACCTCTGCCTGAACACCCAGGCATTTCCATACATCCTCTGAAATATAGGCAGAGGTTCCCAAACCTCAGTTATTGACTTCTGTGCACCTACAGGCCCAATACCACATGTAAGCTGCCAAGGCTTGGGGCTTGCACCCTCTGAAGCATTGGCCTGACACAGGGCACCAAGTCCTGAGACTGCACAAAGCAGAAAGGCCCTGGCCACAGCCCACAAAACCATTTTTTTCCTCCTAGGTCCCCCAGCTTGTGATGGGAGGGGCTGCAGTGAAGACCTCTAAGATGCCCTGGAGACATTCTCCCCATTTTCTTGGTGATTAACATTTGGCTCCTGGTTACTTATGCAAATTTCTGCAGCCTGCTTGAATTTCTCCTCAGAAAATGGGTTTTCCTTTTCTATTGCATTGTCAGGCTGCAAATTTTCTGAACTGTCATGCTCTGCTTCCCTTTTAAACATAAGTTTCTATTGGAAACCATATCTTTGTGAATATATAAAACTGAATGCTTTTAGCAGTACACAAGTAACCTCTTGAACACTTTGTTGTTTAGAAATTTCTTCTGCCAGGTACCCTAAATCATTTCTCTCAAGTTCAAAGTTCCATAAATCTCTAGGGCATGGGCAAAATGTCACCAATCTCTTTGCTAAAACATAGCAAGAGTCACGTTTGGTCCAGTTTCCAACAAGTTCTTCACCTCCATCTGAGACCACCTCAGCCTGGACCTTATTGTCCATATCACTATCAGCATTTTGGTCAAAGCCGTTCAACAAGTCTTTAGGAAGTTCCAAACATTCCTACATCCCCCTGTCTTCTTCTGAGCCCTCCAAACTGTTCCAAGTTCTGCCTGTTACTCAGTTCCAAAGTCACTTCCACTTTTTCAGGTATCTTTATAGTAGCAACCCACTACCTGGTACCAATGTACTGTGTTAGCCTGTTCTCACACTGCTAATAAAGACATACCCCATACTGGGTAATTTATAAAGGAAAGAAGTTTAATGGACTTATAGTTCTACATGGCTGAGGAGGCTTCACAATCGTGACATAAGGCAAAGGAGAAGCAAAGTCACATCTTACATGGTGGCAAACAAGAGATCTTGTGCAGGGGAATTACCATTTATGAAAACATCAGCTCTTGTAAGACTTATTAACTGCAATAAGAACAGTGTGTGAGAAACCACCTGCATGATTCAATTATGTGAACCTGGCCCTGTCCTTGCCATGTGGAAATTATTACAATTCAAGATGAGATTTGGGTGGGAACACAGTCAAACCATATCAAGGTCTTTAAAGAATCACCACACTGTCTTCCACAATGGTTGTACTAATTTACACCCCCACCAACAGGGTAAAAGCATTCATTTTTCTCCACTACCTCACCAACATCTGTTGTTTTTTGACTTTTTAGTAATAGCCATTCTGCCTGGTGTGAGATGGTGTATCTCATTGTGGTTTTGATTTGCATCTCTCTAATGACTGGTGATGTAGAGCTTTTTTTCATGTTTGTTGGCCACATACATACCTTCTTTTAAGAAGTGTCTGTTCATGTCTTTTGCCCACTTTTTACTGTGGTTGGGTTTTTTCTTGTAAATTTGTTTAAGTTTCTTATAGATGCTGGATATTAGACCTTTATCAGATACATAGATTTGACAAATGTTTTCCTAATCTGTAGGTTATCTGTTTACTCTGTTGACAGTTTCTTTTGCTGGGCAGAAGTTCTTAAGTTTAATTAGATCCCATTTGTTAATTTTTGCTTTTGTTGCAATTGCTTTTGGCATCTTCATCATGAAATCTTTGCCCATGCCTATGCCCTGAATGGTATTGCCTAGGTTTTCTTCTAGGGTTTTCATAGTTTTGGGTTTTACATTTAAGCCTTTAATACATCTTCAGTTGATTTTTGTATATGGTGTAAGAAAGAAGTCCAGTTTCAATTTTCTGTATATGGCTAGCCAGTTCTGCCATCACCGTTCATTAAATAAGGAATCTTTTGCCCATTGCTTGTTTTTGTCAGGTTTGTTGAAGATCAGATGGTCATAGGTGTATGGCCTTATTTCTGGGTTCTCTATTCTGTTCCATTGGTCTATGTGTCTGTTCTTGTACCAGTACCATGCTGTTTTGGTTACTGTATCCCTATAGTATAGTTTGAAGTCAGGTAGTGGGATGCCTTCAGCTTTGTTCTTTTTGCTTAGGATTACCTTGGCTATTTGGGCTCTTTTTTGTTGCATATAAATTTTAAGGTGTTTTTTTTTCTAATTCTGTGAAGAATATTGATGGCAGTTTGATAGAAATGGCATTGAATCTATAGATTGCTTTGGGCATTATGGCCATTTTCATGATATTGATTCTTTCTATCCATGAGCACGGAATGTTTCTCCATTTGTTTGTGTCCTCTCTGATTTCCTTGAGCAGTGGTTTGTAGTTAACCTTGAAGAGGTTCTCCACTTCCTTTGTTAGCTGTATTCTTAGCTATTTTATACTCTTTGTGGCAACTATGAATGAGAGTTCATTTGTGATTTGGCTCTCAGTTTGCCTGTAGTTGGTGTATAAGAATGTTAGTGATTGCTGCATATTGATTTTGTATCTTGAGACTTTGCTGAAGTTGCTCATCAGCTTAAGAAGCTTTTGGGCTGAGACACTGAGGTTTTCTAAATATAGGAACATGTCATCTACAAACAAAGGTAGTTTGACTTCCTCTCTTCCTTCTTAAATACCCTTTATTTCTCTGGCCCTGGCCAGAACTTCCAATACTATGTTGAATAGAGGTGGTGAGAGAGGGCAACTTTGGCTTTTGCTGATTTTCAAGGAGAATATGTCCAGCTTTTGCCCATTCAGTATGATATTGGCTGTGGGTTTGTCATATATGACTCATTATTTTGAGGTATGTTCCATTAATACCTAGTTCTTTGAGAGTTTTCAACAGGAAGGGATGTTGGATTTTATCAAAGGCCTTTTCTGCAGATATTGAGATAATTATGGGGTTTTTGTCTTAGTTCTGTTTATGTAATGAATCACATTTATTGATTTGCATATGTTGAATCACCCTTACATCCTGAGGATGAAGCCTACATGATTTTGGTGGATATGCTTTTTGATGTGCTGCAGGATTTGGTTTGCCAGTATTTTGTTGAAGATTTTTGCATTGATGTTCATTAAGGATATTGGCCTGAAGTTTTTTGTTTTAATTGTATTTCTGCCAAGTTTTGGTATAAGGATGATGCTGGCCTCATAAAATGATTTAGGGAGAAGTCTCTCCTTTTCAATTATTTGGAATCATTTCAGTAGGATCAATGCCAGTTTTTCTTTTATCTCTAGTAGAATTCAGCTGTGAATCTATCTGGTCCTGGGCCACTTTTTTGTTGTTGTTGGTGGTGGTGGTAGGCTATTTATTACTGCCTCAATTTCAGAACTCATTACTGGTCTATTCAGGGATTCAATTTCTTTCTGGTTCAGTCTTGGAAGGGAGGGTGCATGTGTCCAGGAATTTATCCACTTCTAGATTTTCTAGTTTATATGCATAGAAGTGTTTATATTACAGTATTATCAGATGGTTGTTTGTATTTGTTTAGGGTCAGTGGTAATATCCCCCTTATCATTTATGATTGTGTTTATTTGACTGTTTTTTCTTCTCTTTTTTATTAATCTAGCTAGTGGCATATCTATTTCATAAATTTTTTCAAAAAAAGAACCAGCTGGATTCATTGATTTTTGAAGGGTTTTCCATGTCCCTAGCTCCTTCAGTTCAGCTCTGATCTTGGTTATTTTTCTTGTCTTCTGCTAGCTCTGGGTTTGTTTGCTCTTGGGTTTCTAGTTCTTTTAGCTGTGATGTTAGGTTGTTAACTTAAGATCTTAAGTATTTTGATGTGGGCATTTAGTGCTATACATTTCCCTCTTAACATGTCTTTAGCTATGTCCCAGAGATTCTGGTATGTTGTTTTGTTGTTCTCATTCATTTCAAAGAACTTCTTAATTTCTGCCTTAATTTCATCATTTACCCAAAAGTCATTCAGGAGCTAGTTGTCCAATTTCAAGGTAGTTGTATGGTTTTGAGTGAACTTCTTAATCTTGAGTTCTAATTTGATTGTGCTGTGGTCCTAGAAACTCTGAGTTCAGATATTTTTGCATTTACCGAGGAGTGTTTTACTTCCGATTATGTGATCAATTTTCAAGTAAGTCCAGTGTGGTGATAAGAATGTATATTCTGTTGTTTTGGGGTGGAGAGTTCTGTAGATATCTATGAAGTCCACTTGAGCCAGGGTTGAGTTCAGGTACTGATAGCTTTGTTAATTTTTTGTTTCATTAATCTGTCTAATACTGTCAGTAGGTTGTTGAAGTCTCCCACTATTATTGTGTGAGAGTCTAAGTGTCTTTGAAGGTTTTTGAGAACTTGCTTTATGAATCTTGGAGCTCCTGTATTGGGTGCATATATATTTAGTATAATTAGCTCTTCCTGTTGAATTGAACCCTTTACCATTATATAATGCCTTTGTTTTTTTGTTTTTTTTTTTAATCTTTGTTGGTTTAAAGTCTGTTTTGTCAGAAACTGTGATTCCAAACCCTGCTTTTTTTCTGTTTTCCATTTGCTTGGTGTATTTTTCTCCATCCTTTATTTTGAGCCTATGTGTGTCTTTGCATGTGATATGGGTGTCTTGAAGACAGCATACAAGTGGGTCTTGATTCTTTATCCAGCTTGCCATTCTGTGTCTTTTAAGTGGGACATTTAGCCTATTTACATTTAAGGTTAGGATTATTATGTGTGGATTTGTTCCTGTCATCTTGATGCTAGTTGGTTTGCAGACTTGTTTATGTGGTTGCTTCAAAGTGTCATTGGCCTGTGCACTTCAGTGTGTTTTTGTATTGGCTGGTAACCATTTTTCCTTTCCATACTTAATGCTTCCTTCAGGACCTCTTGTAAGGCAGATCTGGTGGTAATGAATTCTCTCACCATTTGCTTCTCTGAAAAGAATCTTATTTCCCCTTCACTTATGAAGCTTAGTTTGGCTGGATATGAAACTCTGGGTTGGAATTTCCTTTGTTTAAAAATGTTGAATATTGGCCCCCAGTCTTTTTGAGCTTGTAGGGTTTCGGCTGAAAGGTGCACTGTTAGTCTGATGTGCTTCCCTTTGTAGGTGACCTGGCCTTTCTCTCTGGCTGCCCTTAACATTTTGTCTTTCATTTCAACCTTGGAAAATCTGATGATTATGTGTCTTGGGGATGATATTTTCATGGAGTATCCTACGTGGGTTTTCTGCTTTTCCTGAAGTTGAATGTTGGCCTGTCTAGCTAGGTTTGGAAAATTCCCCTGGATGATATAGTGAAATACGTTTTCCAAACTGGTTTCATTCTCCCATCTCTTTCAAGTACCCCAATCAGTGGTAGATTTGGTCTCTTCACATAATCCCATATTTCTCGAAGGTTTTGTTTATTCTTTTTCATTCTCTTTTCTCTATTCTTGTCTGCCTGTCTTATTTCAGAAAGACAGTTTTCAAGCTCTGAGATTCTTTCCTCTATTTGGTCTATTCTGACATTAATACTTGGGATTGTATTGTGAAGTTCTTATAAAGTGTTTTTCAGCTCTATCAAGTCAGTTATGTCCCTCTCTCTATGGGCTATTTTAACTGTCAGCTCCTGCATTGTTTTATCATGATTTTTAGTTTCTTTGCATTGAGTTACAACATGCTCCTTTAGCCCAGTGAAGTTTGGTTTTATCCACATTCTGAAGCCTACTTCTGTCATTTCATTCATCTCAGCCTCAACCCAGTTCTGAACACTTGCTGAGAAGGTGTTGCAGTCATTTGGAGGGAAGGGGGCACTCTGACTTTTTGAGTTTTCAGCATTTTTGCACTAATTTTTTTCTCATCTTTGTGGGCTTACCTACCTTCAATCTTTGAGGTTGCTGATCCCTTTGAATGAAATTTTGTCATCATTGTTGTTGTTTGTTTGTTTTTCTTATAACAGTCTGACCACTGTTCTGCAGGGTTGCTGTGGTTTGCTGGGGGTCCACTCCAGACCCTAGGCTTGTACATTGAGGTATCAACAGGGAAGGCCACAAAACAGCAGCCTGCTCCTTCCTCTGGAAGCTCCATCCCAGGGGTATACTGACCTGTTGTGCTCAAACACACTTATAAGGGGTGGTTGGGGACCCTGGTTGGGAGGTCTCACCCAGTCAGGAGGGACAAGATAAGAGACCCACTTAAAGAAATAGTCTAGCTGTGTTTTGGTAGAGCAGCTGTACTGTTTTGGCAACCCCTTAAGCCCTCCATTGGTTTGGGCTCTCCAAGGCCCGCAGGGTGGACCGGTTGAGATGCTCAAACAATAAAGATGGTGGCCCACCCCACCCCATGGGAGAAATTAGAATTGCATCCCAGGGAGAAATTAAAACTCTGTTGGCCATAGAACACCTGCAGGAGGGGCAAGAGGCCGCAGCTAGGTGGATCCACCCTGTGAGGAGGAGAGGATGGAGTCCAGTTTAGCAGCCTGGCCACCCCTTGACAAAACAGCTGTATCTGCTGGGGAGCCACCTCTTTTCTGGTTGGCTTGGACTCTCCAAAGTCCACAGGCTGGAATGGCTGAGTTGTCCAAACAACAAAGTTCTTGGCCCACCCCACACCCTAGGCAGTCCATCCCAGGAAGAGATCAGAGCTCTGTTTGTAGAATACAGGCAGTTGGGGGTGGCTAGAGGCCCCAGATGGGAGGTCCCGCCTAATGAAGAGGAATGGATCAGGGTCCAACTTAAAGAAGCAGTCTGGTAATGTTCTGGCAAAGCAGCTCTACTGCGCTCAGGGGGACCCTTCCTCATCCAGACCATCTGGAATTGCCAAAGCCTGCAAGCTAGAATGGCTGTGTCGACCAAACAGCAAAGATGGTGACTGGCCTCTCCTTCTGGGGGCCCCATCCAGTCTCAGTCAGGCTCCACTTTGTTGCTAGTGGCTGGTTGGAATTTCAAGCCAGTGGGTCTTATCTTGTGAGGTGCCATGGAAGTGGGGCCTGCAGACCAATGCTGCTCAGACCCCTGGATTCAGTCCTCTTCCTAGGGGTATGTATGGACCTGCCTTGCCTGAGTTGCAGTCCCTTTGTCAAATACCCCAGAGCTGGAATATGTAAAGCTCTGAGGGTTGCAAAGGTTTGTGGGAGAAGCATGGTTTCCCAGGGCCACACATTCACTCACCAGTTCCCTTGGCTGGGAGTCGGGGGTTCCCCTGGCTCTGTGTTCCTCCTGGGTGGGCCATCGCCCCACCCTGCTTTTCTTCATTTTCTGTGGGTGAAGTTGTTTCCCTGATCAGTTCCAATGTGAGTACCTGGATATTTCCATTGAAGATCCTGTATTCACTCGCCCCTTTCATTCCTCTCCATGAGTGCCAGGTACCACAGCTGCTTCTAATTGGACATCTTGCCCTGGTATCTATATATTTATTTTTCTAGTTTTATATTTTTATAAGAGCCACAAACATAAGAAGTACATAATTTATGAGCTTTATTTTAGTTCCACTTAAGTAACATTATAAGACAGGTGGCTTGCCTCGACCTTATGAATCTATGAACATATTTTTCTTTTTCCCTAAAGTACTGATATTGATTCCTCTTTGTCTAGCTGCTAAAAAGGTCAGAAATAAGTTTCATAATCAATTGCCATTCCACCACAAATAGTTCTCTGTATAGTTTTCTTCTTTCCTCCTTATTATGTCTCCATTTATTTTTCTTTGGTAAGTTGTTTTTACCATATCATATTTGTTTTTTCATAAGCTGTCTGATATAGTTTGGATATGTGTCCCTGCCAAAATTTCATGTTAAATTGCAATTCCCAGTGTTGCAAGTGGGGCCTGGTGGGAGGTGTTGTAAACTGTGGCACCTCCCCCACCCCACTCTTTCTCTTGCCTCTGCTTCTGCCATGTGATATGCCTGCTCTTGCTTTGCCTTTCACCTTAAGTAAAAGCTCCCTGAAGCCTCCCCAGAAGCTGAGCAGATGCCAGTGCCATGCTTGTACAGTCTGCAGAACCATAAGCCAATTAAACCTCTTTATTAATTATTCAATCTCAGGTATTTCTTTATAGCAATAAAAGAACAGCCTAACACACTGCCTAAAATGAATTTTTTACATTGACAAAGTAAAAACAATCAGTAAGACATACACAATTTCTTTTTTTGAGAAAAGATCTGGCTCTGTCACTCAGGCTAGAGTGCAGTGGCACAATCTTGGCTCCCTGAAACTTCCACTTTCTGGATTCAAGTTACCCTCCCACCCTAGCCTTCCAAGTAGCTGGGACTACAGGTGCACGCTACCACATTCAGCTAATTTTTGTATTTTCTGTGGAGATAGATAGGGTTTTGCTGTATTATCCAGGCTGGTCTCAAACTCCTTAGCTCAAGTGATCCCCTAGCCTTGTCCTCCCAAATTGCTTGGATTATAGGTATGAGCCATTGCACCCAGCCTTCAAGTAGAACTTTCTGCAATGCTGGAAATGTTCTATATCTGCACCATCCAATATGGTAGCCACTAATCACATGTGCCTACTGAGCACTTGAAATATCACTAGTGTGCCTGAGGAACTGAATTTTTAATTGCATTTAATTTTAATTAATTTAAATCTGAATAGCAATACCTAACTGGTGGCTACACTATTGAACTGCACAGCTATGACATTAAAATAATACCATTTGCACTTAAGTGATTTTTGTCCTCTCCATAAGATGTAAACTTTTTGTGAAATTTTTATATTTTACATAATGCCTTAAGCACACCAAGGCAAGTTTATAAAGTTTAAATAAAAACTAAGATAGTATTTCTTTGTTCATGAAAGACTATAAAACCATCAAGCATGTTGACTTATTTTATTCTTAATGCAAATCAATACACCATTATGTTTCTTTATCTATAAAGTCCAGATATAATATGATAGATACTGTATCTCACAAATATATGTTAAAAACTGATAATATTTTATTACTGTACTGGAGACATGGGAAAAGAAGTAGTATACAGATGGTAACATTATTACATTATGACCTCTCATATAGTTTGAGTGATGAGTTAGTTAATGGCCATAATATTAAACAATTTAATAAAACTTTTGGAGATGGCTAAATTAAATGGTTTAATGGCATAATGTTGAGTTTAGAGTTAAGCAATTGAATAAAACTATAAGGGAGCATCTGTAATCAAGCCAGATTTAAGCAACATCTGATGCACATTTATAGAATAATAGTCTTGATGGTAAGCTAATTTAAGGAAAGTAGGTCCAGCTGTATATTCATTAGAAAGAAGGAAGATGCTTTCTCTAAAACATAAAGCCACACACACGAGAGGCAGTCTAGTAAAATATCCATTAGCTTAAGGGTATGTAAAAACAGTCTTAGCTCCATCCCTGACTAAGCAAGTTCATTTCCCTTCCTTTATTTATGTGCTGGTGCCTCAGGAAAATAGAGGGGAACAATAGCCTTACATTTGCCCTGCATATTTGATGAATAGATTGTTAATATAAGCATACTGATATGGAGATGGGGGATAAGGTGTGTTGCACATTTTGGAAGATACATTACTTCAATTTATTGAGATGAGAACTTGGGAACCTTTCAAATCATAAACTCTATTTCCAAAAGACAATATGTTATCATTAAAGATAATGTTATATTCAAGCAGTTCCAACTTATTTGCACTTACTGACATTAATAAATGCCTGTGAAATTCTTTTAATACCTTAGCAATTTCATAAGATGCTTTTGAATGCAGGTTTTAAAATGTTTACAAATCTGTGGTGAGGTGCTCGTTATTCCTCATTGTATTCTATGGCAGGACACCATGTAGTATATCACAAAGAAAATGAGCTTTATGTGCCACACGAACTTGAAATTGAGCCTCAACTGTTACAATGCATAATTTTTTACTTAGTAATGCTACTTCTTCATGTCTGTTTTCTCATCTGTAAGGTAGGCATTGTAAAACTCACCCGTGTGATGTGAAAGATTAAACGAAAAACATACATATCGCAAGGACAAAAAACCAAACACCACATGTTCTCACTCCTAGGTGGGAATTGAACAATGAGAACACTTGGACACAGGAAGGGGAACATCACACACCGGGGCCTGTTGTAGGGTGGGGGAGGGGGGAAGGATAGCATTAGGAGATATACCTAATGTAAATGACAAGTTAATGGGTGCAGCACACCAACATGGCACATGTATACATATGTAACAAACCTGCACGTTGTGCACATGTACCCTAGAACTTAAAGTATAATAAATATATATATATATATATAAAGAAAATACACACAAAAGCATTGTATTCTACAGTAGGCCTTAGTGTTATGCTGCAATTATAATTGGGTTAAAATGGCAAAGATGAGGAGCATGAAATCATAGTAGGAAGGCTTTTGAGTAAGGCTCTTTTCTTTCAGCATAATACTCTTGAAATTAACCCACAGTTGTGCATATCATTAGTTTGTTACTTTTTGTTACTGGGTAGTATTGTATTGTATAAATGTACCACAGTTTATCTATTCATCCTTGTTGACCATTTAGGTTGTTTCCAGCTTTTGGTGCCTATGAATAAAACTGTAGAAATAAAAGATAAAAATTTCATAAAAAAAAGAAATAAACTATAAATATGAAAAAAGAAAGAAAAACATACATATTTAGCACCTGGAATGACATAGATGTTTATCAATGTCTTCTTCATTATTAATTCTGAAATCATGTATTGTTTGTTCTGCCTTTCATCCCTGGCTCTGCATCCCTCATCCTCTGTCTATACTATAATCTCATCTTATGAGTCTATCAAAAGAGAATGATTGAAAATCCACAAGACAGCTTTGAAGAGAGAACATTTCAGTCACTTTCAAGTTTGTGTTTGGACTGTAATCATAAATCAGAAAATGATAGCCCAGGGGCTAAATTCAGCCTGAAGACTGTGTATGGCCCATGAGCTAAGAAGAGGTTACAATGGAGAAGAAGGAAAGAAGAAAAAAAAAATCAAACAAGGAAAAACATGGGGAGGAGGAATAGGAGGAAAAGAAGGGGTAAGAATATGTGAGACTGTATATCCTCAAAAAAAACCTAAAATATTTACTATCAGGCCCTTTAAAGAAAGAAAAATCTTGTCAACTTCTGGACTATATCCTGAAGTCTTTGTGATTGGAGGCCTCCTCTCGTTATACAGCATTGAGAATTCAGCATAATTATCTATAAGTAAATAATAAAAACCTACACTTGTAAATAATTGTGTTTATTAACGATAAAGAAATCAAAGGAAGATTAAAAGTATAACAAATCTGTGATTATTTTTAGATATTAGTAAGAATAATTCTTAGTTACCTAGAGTCTGAGTTAAAATTAAGTTCGTTTGAAATGCTGCATAAGTTACTGGAGGGCTTCCAGTTTTGCAACCAAAAAGCTCATTGCGTTACACATTATTTGAATATTGCGGTAAAGAAAGTTAACATGCTTAATTAAAATGTCTGAACTGTGATATTAGTAGTTATTTATTGAGCTGTTATTTCAGAACTTTACAGGAAATACAATTTATATCTTAGGCAATAAAACTCCAGCATTAAATTCAAACTTCCAACTACCTCTGACTCCAGCAGAAATTTAACTTTCTTGACAAACCCAATTAATTTTGTAAATGCAGGCATATGGAAATGAGCCCAGGACTGTATTAGTCAAAATTATCAAACTGTGAGCAAGAAATTTAATAAAAATTAGGAACATAATTCACAATATTGGTGGTCTTAAGTCTTAAGAGTTCTGATGTTCACTATGTGAATAGACACAGGCTGACTATTCAGTCCACAGCCCATTTTATGGGAAATGACTCACCACATACAAGTGTGAGGCCCCTCTGGCCCTGTGTGTCCCATGTGATCCTGTCAACCTGGCCATAGCTATTTAAATTGAGTCAGTCAAATCTTCCTTCTAGAATTGAGTTTCAGATACATTAATCTGTCTCTTAGCTTAAACTTTTATGGAGCTGAAGGAGGGCCACTTTCAGCACATGCATAGAGAAGTACAAAGAAAAAAGAAACTCCAAACAAGGAAAAATTCAGAAGGTTCGTAGAGCAAAGCCAAGACAGACCATGGCATCTTGTATCTACAAAGGTCTGCATCACTGCCTTGCCAGCTACTGACTTTTCTGTTTATTTCTCACCCCTCATGAAGGCCAGTGATTTTCCTGCTCCCTGCTTGTGTAAAATACTCTGGATCCATATGTAGTAAACTATGTTTGCTCCACAATACGACTCCCTAGAGTTTCTGATTCACAGGCCTGAGGTGGGGCCCGATCATTTGTATTTCTAAAAGTTTGCAGGTGATTCTGCTATGTGGAGAGGGGACCACAGTCTGAGAATCACTACCCTAAGGTCATGTATGTGTCTTGGATTGGAGTTAGGGGGAAGAGGTGATTACATAGTTCAACAAATTAGGGGGAAAAAAGACCTCTTGTCTTCAGTTCTAGATAATTCTAGTTCTGTGATGTGGTTTTCTAGTTCTACGAGGTTAATTTTCCAATCATCTAAGTACCCCTTTGTAGACTAGTGTTTCCACTCCCTCTGCAGTAACATGGGACTCCAGGAACTAAGTGTCCCAAGCCATGACTTTCAGTGGTACCACAATCCACTCAGCCTTATGGAAGAACTATCATTTCCAAGAATTATGAGAATTGGGGGAATAAGATGTTGGTTCCTATTTTTACTCCCAACAAGCTGTCCAACATCTGTGACACCCAACCTCAAAAACTCTTAATATTTTCTTTCTCAGAAAGGAGCACTTTCATGGACCACTTTCATTGGAATCTTTCCCAGTCTAAAACAGTCAATTTACATCACCCTGATGAGCCTAGCTTTTCAAAAACAAAGATTTTGTTTGATACCCTGTGAGGGCAAGAGGCTAGGTTGCTGAAGGAAGATGGGAAATCTCTGAATATGGAATGAACATACTTTTACAATGCATAAGCTTCATAAAGTACGAAGTCTATCTCCCAGTCTTGAGAAAATCCACCCACAATTCCTTAACATCAGAAGTCTTTTGGTTCCAGAACTTCAGGATGCCAAGTCACCTTGGCATCAAAACCGATTCCAGAAGATGCTTATTAATTGTCAACAGATATTTACTGAGCATACATACTTTCAGCAGAGGATCCAGCCTTTATGAGACCTTAATCTTAAACAATTTGAGAGAGAAAGAGACCCTTTAAATACATATATATAAATTATAAATGCAAAATTAGGTAAAAAAATATTTATTTGAAATGAGAAAACAAATCACAACAAATAATAAATTTTATTAAGTTGCAATCTCAAAAGCATAAAATCAGAAAAGTCACATATTTGTATTAACTTTTTTATTAAATTAACTGCCAAATTAAAAATTTGTCATTGGTAACAACATGTAAAATTTTCAGATTGTTGTGATATTTAGAAAAATTTCTATCGAGAGAACTGTTTGACTAGGTGTTGATGAAAACCCATTTCTATACTTATATTTTACTTATCTAATGTTTGGAAGAATTTTCTATAAATTAACTTCTGGTTCTGAACATTTCTAACTTTGTTCTCCCCCTCTACCAACATACTTGAGGAGCTGTGGCTATAAGATGAATTCATGTTAATAAAGTGACTGCCTGTGCTATATTTTATGTCTCAACACAGGTTGAGTCAACACAGTGGGATACAGTAATATTTGAATAAAACATCCTTGTATCAGGATGGCTAACAATTATTTAACTATACAAGGAGATAACTGAAAACCACATAAATAAATCTCTCTAAATAAAGTGTATTGCTAAATCAGTTTCCTCTAAGTCAGATCCAAAAACTGTCTTTAGCTAGTTAAATGCCAACCCATCACATGGGAAGCAAGACAGAGGTGAAGATGCAGTGGAAAGACTGCAGCTTGAAAAAAATCTTTCTTTTAAAAAATACTATAAAATTTGCCAGGCCAGGTGGCTCATGCCTACAATCCCAGAGCTTTGGGAGGCCAAGGCAGGAGGATCAGTTGAGACCAGCATTTGAGACCAGTCTGGGCAACATACTACGACTTTGTCTCTACAAAAATAAAAATAAAAAATTTAGCCAAGCGTAGGTGGCACACTCCTGTAGTCCTAGCTACTCAGGAGGCTGGGGCAGGAGAGAGGATTGCTTGAACACATGAGTTCAAGGTTTCAGTGAGTTGTGATTGCACCACTGCACTCCAGCCTAGGTGACAGAGCAAAACCCTGTCTCTCTCCAGAAAAAAAAAAAAAAAAAAGATACATGTATGTGTATATATATATATATATATATATATATATATATATATATATATATACACACACACACACATGCATATATTTATGTAAATTTATGTGTACATATATTTAGATTAAAAAATATAAATGTTTATGTGTACATGTATAACTTTACATAAATATATAAATATATACATATATTTGTGTATATATGTATAAATTTACATAAATATATGAACACTATTAGGGCTACTCCAAGACATTGGAATGGGCTTATGCAAGTGAGGGTGCCTGAAACTATACTTCCTTTAATTCATGATAAATCTACCACTGCATCTTCTTACTAGCAAGAAGAGGAGTTAACATGATTTTAGAAAAATGAGTAATATGCAAAAGGAGTATGCACTAGAATCAAGGAGATTGAATACAACTTCTGGGCTCTTGATTAACCCCTGTATGACCACAGCTAATGCACTTAACTTTAGTTTTCTCATCTCTATTATGAGACTGATGGCAATAATGTCTCCCAAAAGACAGAATTCAAAAGAGTGCAATTTTTAAACTATAGAGCAGGCTATCGAATGGATGTGTCCCCCTAAAATTTATATACTATAGCCTAATTTCCATTGTTATGGAAACCCCGTCTCTACTAAAAATACAAAAATTAGCTGGGCGTGGTGGCAAGTGCCTGTAGTCCCAGCTACTCATGAGGCTGAGGCAGGAGAATCACCTGAACCCCTGAGGCAGAGGTCTCAGTGAGCCGAGATCACACCACTGCACTCCAACCTGGGCAACAGAGTGACAGAGCGAGACTCCATCTTAAAAAAAAAAAAAAAAAAAAAAAAACACAGCAAGAAGATGGCCATCTATGCACCAGGAAGCAAGCCCTCACCAGACACTGAATCTGCTCACACTTTGATCCCAACTTCCAGAAATGTAAGAAATAAATATTTGTTGTTTAAGCTACCCACTCTATGGTATTTTTGTTACAGCAGCCCAAATGACTAAGACAGAGTGCTTTGTAAGTGTTTATAATTATTTTTGTTAATAGTGTAAGCACTACCATTAGCATTATTAGTAGTACTAATAATCAACTTAAAGTTATAAAAATTGCTTTTGCCCTTCTGCACTCTTAGCTTCTAGTCTCTACAGTGTTTTCTCCACTGTGGCTAACCTAGATAAAATTAAAGCATAGCAAGATTACAGTCTTGCCATATGTGGACTCCTAGTACACATTTATCCTTTTCCAGTGAGGAAGAGGTTTCCCTGGTAACTTGCCTTTCTAAGCCCACTCCTGATAAGCAATTGGCTGAGTTTGACAGTTGTTTCTTCAGTAATCTCTGTAAACTACTAGCAATTTTTTGAACATGACTTCTTAAAGAGGTTCATGTCTTTTTTCCTGTTCTAGGCATTGGAATGAAGGGCATTAGAACAGAATCATTTAATTATTTATATTTGCACTTTTAATAAAAATATGTACGGATTTGCTCATATCAAGTATTCCTGTTAATGTAACTAAATGTTGGTCACGGCTGATCTCTCAGGTATTATCAATCTACTTGGGAACCTAGTAATGTTCCCAAATTTTCTAAGGAATTATAAAACACAGCATTCAGTACTTTTTATTAAATTGTATTCATATTTATCTGAACAATTGAATTTAGATTTAAGTCTTCTCAGAATATATTGCTTAAAAATAAAGTTTTCAGAAACTTTGAATCTTAGAAAAAGAATCTGGCATTTAAAATGAATACAAAACTGACGAAATCACTTAAGTGCAAAAGGATCGTTTTAATGTGATTTGGGGAAGAATTAACAAAAATAAAAATATTTATTGAACTGTACCTTTTAATAATTCTGAATAGATTTGAGATCATTTCATAATCACTGCATTACAGCAGAACTCTCTATAGAAACACAGTAATGTTTTAAATTTATCCCCACAGTTCTCATAATCATTTAACTAATAAGTAGAAAATGAAACCAAAGCATAAAAGTATAAACATACAGAAAATAAACACAATGGTATTAAGGGGACCAGTTTAAGAACTTTCGTTGTTATAAGGTATTAAGATGATGATAGCAATTTCTCAGGGTGCATATTTCCTAGATTATGTTTTGTCTGTCTATTTTGTACCAAAGAATTTATAATCAACTTTTCTATGTATTACATTTGGCTTTTCATTCCTTCATTCATTCAACAAATATTTATTGAGTAGCAACCATTTTGCAGCTGCTTTGTTAGATATTGGGTATATAAAGTTAGAATGAGAAAATAATTTTCCTGTATCTCTGGTATTGACAATTTAATGGAGTATAACAGAAGGTTCATATGGGATTTTGTCCTGTTTTAAAAATCATTGCGGAAGCTCAAAACTGTATACAAAACATACCAAAAAATGCATCATAAGCTTAGAGAGTCACCAGGAGTTGGGGCCAGATACATATGTATTTTTAGGGACTAATGAGAGGCACTAATCCAAGAATTTTTTCTACCACGTCCAATGCTCATTCTTGTGACAGTCAAAACACATACAAGACTGTGAGGTAAGAAAAAAAGAATAAAAAAAGAGAAAAAAGACAAACAAAAAAAGTAAAAGAAAGAAAACTGTGAGATAGGAGAGCACATGGCCTTTTCAGAAGCCCAGTGTCCAAGCAGGAAGACTCTTCTTCCCTTCTCAGCAGAAGCCTACAGGAATGCCTCTCCTTCCAAACTCCACAGGGAATAGGAAGCTTCATGAAGATCACTTATGCAATACTAGGATTTCTGCAAGAAAAGAAGAGCATTTTGTTCTCTAGTTGTATACTTGTGGAACCAACAGGCTACTAATCTGCCCCTTGGTCACCGTGAGCTGAGAAAAGATAAGGAAGACAAGGCTAAAAGAGAGGGAAGCAGTGGGACTGCCCTTATACACTTAAAGCTGGGGCAAGCAGACACCTCAGAGGTAGCTGAATTTGAGCTATCTTGCAGGAACTTCTCCCAAGAGGGACCCCAGCAGCAAGATGCTGTGGAATAAGGGAAAGACGAGAAGGAGGACAATACCAAAGCAAAGCTAGATCTCCTATATCAGATAATCAGCAGGAAACTTGACCAGGGCCCTCCTGTGCTCCATGACAGAAATGACCAATGTGAGCTAGAGACTTCTCATCAGTTAACGAGTAACCACTTCTACTCCCAGTTCAGAAAGGAGAAGTTTGCCTGTTCCCTCTCCTTCCTCTCCACCTGAACCTAAGAGAGGATCTAGCACCTAGAAGATAAAGGAGGGTGGGGGAAACTCTACTCCAGCTGCTGAAGACATGAAAATTCTAACTATCCTTTGAAGAGAAAAGAGAGCTTTAAACGGAGTTTGAGGCCAAAGTCATAAAATATATAAGGGTAAAGATTAAATATTGAAACAGAATTGCTCCAATAACTGAAAGAACGTGGAATATTAAAGAGCCTATTCATGATTCCACTAGGCAGAGTGAATGGCATTGCTTTTTCCAGAGTTTAGGCCAAGTCATGAGCAAAGCTAACAGTCACAGAAATAGAGATAAGCAGATGCATTGTTTTGAAAGATAGAAGCAGGCCTGGACCCCAAAAAATGGATCTGAACTAAAGGTACAGACTTGGAAGCTCTCAGCTCTTCAAAATAATAACATTGATAAATAATGCAATTAGCAAAATATAATATTATTAACAATAACAGTTAACATCTATTAATCTCTTACTACTTGACTGGTACTTTACTGAGAGTTTTATATGAATTATATAATTTAATCTTTCGCACAATCTTACGAGGTGGGTCTGAAAAACCAACCACTTTGGGCCCATTTTACTTAGAAGGAAAGTGAAAATTTAAAGAATTTAAGGACTCTGCTTCACTTCCTAACAGAACAGGTATCTAAAATAGTTCTGACTACAATGGCCACATGCTGAATCCAATTTATTAAACTACCTTCTTAACAATTTCTCTTTTTTTTTTTTCTTAACTGGGTTTGTTTTAGGGAAGGGAAGTAGAGGACATGAGAAATTTATTCATTTTATTTTATTTTTTCTTCCAACTTCTATTTTAGGTTCAGGAGGTGCATGTGTGGGTTTGTTATATAGGTAAGTTGTGTGTCACAGAGATGTAGTATACAGATTATTTCGTCACCCAGCTACTAAGCATACTACTGGACAAGTAGTTTTTCGATACTTACTCTCCTCCCACTTTCCACCCTCATGTAGGCCCCAGTGCCTATTGTTCCCTTCTTAGTTGCTTTGTTAGATTGTATACTCAATGTTTAGCTCCTACTTATAAGCGAGAACATGTAGTATTTTGTTTTCTGTTCCTGCATTAATTCGCTGAGGATAATGGTCTCTGGCTCCACCCATGTTTCTGCAAAGGACATGATCTCATTCTTTTTTATGAATGTGTAGTATTCTATGATTTTAGGTACCACATTTTCTTTATCCAGTCCATTATTGTATATTTAGGTTGAATCCATGTCTTTGCTACTGTAAATAGTGCTGTAATGAACATACGCATGCTTGTGTCTTTATGGTAGAATGATTTACTTTCCTTTAGGTATATAACCCATAAGGGATTGCTGGGTCAATTGTTAAGTTCTTTGAGAAATTTCCAAACTGCATTCCACCATGGCAGAACTAGCTTATATTCCCACCAGCAGTGTATAAGCATTCCCTTTTCTCCCCAACCTTGCCAGTATCTGTTATTTTTTTTTCCTTTTTAATCTGACTGGTCTGAGATGGCATCTCATTGTGGTTTTTATTAGCATTTTTACAATGATTAGTGATGTTGAGCATTTTTTCATATGCTTGCTGGATATGTGTATGTATTCTTTTGGGAAGTATCTGTTCACATCCTTTGCCCATTTTGTAATGCGGTTGCTTATTTTTTTGCTTGTTGATTTGTTTAAGTTTCTTATAGATTCTGGACATTAGAACTTTGTTGAATGCATAGTTTGAAAATATTTTGTACCAGTCTGTAGGTTATCTGTTCACTCTTGATAGTTTCTTTTGCTATGCAGAAGATCTTTCATTTAATTAGTTGCACTTGTCAATTTTTGTTTTTGTTGCAATTGCTTTTGTCATCTTCATTATGAAATTTTTGCCAATGTTTATGTCCAGAATGATATTTCCTAGGTTTTCTTCCAGGGCTTTATATGGTTTTTGAATTTACGTTTAAGTCTTTAATCTATCTTGAGTTGATTTTTGCATATAATGAAGGAAGGGGTCCAGTTTCTATAATCTGCATATGACTAGCCAGTTAGCACAGCACCATTTACTGAATAGGGAGTCCTTTCTCCATTACTTGTTTCTGTTGACTTTGTTGAAAATCAGATGGTTGTAGGTATGTGGCTTTATTTCTGGGTTCTTTAACCTGTTGCAACGGTCTGTGTTTGTTTTTGTACATGTACCATGCTGTCTTGGTTACTGTAGCCTTGTAGTGTAACTTGAAGTCAGGTAGTGTGGTACCTCTGGCTTTGTCCTTTTTGCTTAGGATTGCATTGGCTATTCAGGATTTTTTTGGTTCCATATGAATTTCAGAATAGTTCTTTCTAATTCTGTGTAAAATGTCATTAGTAGTTTGCTAGAAATAGCATGAAATCTGTAAATTGCTTAGTGCAGTGTGACCATTTTAACAATATTTATTCTACCTATCCATGAGCATGAAATGTTTTTCCATTTTTTGTGTGTGGTCTCTGATTTCTTTTGGCAGTATTTTATAATTCTCATTGTAGCAATCTTTCACCGCATTAGTTAGCTGTATTCCTGGGTACTTTATTTTTTGTGGCTATTGTGAATGGGATTGCATTCTTGATTTGGCTCTCAGCTTGCATATTGTTGGTGTAAAGGAATGCTACTGATTTTTGTATCCTGAAACTTTACTAAAGTTGTTTGTCAGGAATAGGAGTCTTTTGGAGGGTCTTTAGGTTTACTAAGTATACAATCATGTCATTGATGAACAAAGATAATTTAACTTCCTTTTTTCTTATTTGGATAATTTTATTTTTTTCTCTTGCCTGATTGTTCTGTCTAGGACTTCCAGTACTATGCTGAATAGGAGTGGTGAGAATGGGCATCCTTGTCTTTTCCGGTTCTAAGATAAATGCTTCCAGCTTTTGCCCATTCAATATGATATTGGCTGCGGGTTTGTCATAGATGGTTCTTACTATTTTGAGGTATATTCCTTCAATGCCTAGTTTGTTGAGAGTTTTTAACATGAAGGGATCTAGAATTTTATAGAAAGCCTTTTCTTCATCTATTGAGATAATCATGTGATTTTGGTTTTTCTTTCTGTTTATGTGGTGAATCACATTTATTGATTTTTGTATATTAAAGCAACTTTGCATCCCAGGAATAAAGCCTACTTGATCACGGTGGATTATCTTTTTGATATGCTGCTGGATTTTATTTGCTAGTATTTTGTTGAGGATTTTTGTACTTATGTTCCTCAAATATATTGGCCCCAAGTTTTCTTTTGTTGTAGTTGTTGTGTCTTTGCCAGGTTTTGGTATCAGAATGATGCTGAGCTCATAGAATGAGTTAGGAAAGAGTCCTTCCTCCTCAATTTTTTGGAATATTTTTAGTAGGATTGGCACCAGCTCTTCTTTATACATCTGGTAGAATTCAGCTGTGAATCTGTCTGGTTCAGGGCTTTTTGTGTTGGTATGATTTTCATTACTGATTCAATTTCAGAACTTGTTATTGGTCTGTTCGGGCTGTCAATTTCCTCCTGGTTCAATCTTTGGAGGTTGTATGTTTCCAGGGACTTATTCATTTCTTCTAAGTTTTCTAGTTTGTGTGCAAAGTGGTGTTTGTAACAGTAACTGAGGGTTTTTTTTTCTTATTTCTGTGGGGTTTGACAGTAATGTCCCCTTTGTCATTTCTAATAGTGTTTATTTAGATCTTTTTTCAATTTAGCTCTGATGTTTGTTATTTCTTTTCTTCTAGCTAGCTTTAAAGTTGATTTGTCTTGTTTTTCTAGTTTCTCTAGGTGTGGTGTTAGGTTGTTAGTTTGGGATTGCTCTTAACTTTTCTATTAATACTGTTTTAGCTGTGTCCCAGGGATTTTTTTTTTTTTCCTTTCTTATTTTTTTAGACAGAGTCACGATCGGTCACCCAGACTGAAATGCAGTGGTGTGATCTCAGCTCACTGCAACCTTTGCAAGAAATTCTCATGCCCCAGCCTCTCAAGTAGCTGGGATTACAGGCATGCGCCACCACACCCAGTTAATTTTTGTATTTTTAGTAGAGATAGACTTTCACCATGTTGCCCTGGCTAGTCTCAAACTCCTGGCCTCAAGTGATCTGCCCACCTTGGACTCCCAAAGTGCTGGGATTACAGGCATGAGCCACCACACCTGGCCCATCCCAGAGATTCTTATATGTTGTATCTTTGTTTTCATTAGTTTCAAATAATGTCTTGATTTCTGCCTTCATTTAACTGTTTACCCAAAAGTCATCCAAGAGTAGGTTAATTTCAATGTAATTGTATGATTTTGAGAGATATTCTAGGTATTGACTTCTCTTTTTATTGCACTGTGGTCCAAGAGTGTGGTTGTTATGATTTTGGGTTTTTTTAATTTGTTGAGAATTATTTTATGGGTGACTGTGTGAGCAGTTTTAGAGTATGTGCCACGTGCAAATGAGAAGGATGTATATTCTATGGTTGTTCTGTGGAGTGTTCTGTAGATATCTGTTAGATCCATGTGGTCAAGTGTTGAATTCAGGTCCTGAATATCTTTGTTAGTCTTCCGTCATGATGATCTATCTAGTTCTGTCAGTGAGGTGTTGAAGTCTCCCACACTTATTCTGTGATTATCTAAGTCTCTAAGTCTCTTCATAGGCATCTAATAACTTTTTTAAATGAATCTGGATGCTTCAGTGTCTGGTGCATATATATTTAGAATAACTAAGTCTTCTTGTTGAATTAAACCCTTTATCATTATGTAATAACCTTCTTTGTCTTTCCTGATTGTTGTTGATTTAAAGTCTGTTTGTCTGAAATTAGCTCCATCTCTTTACTTTGAGCCTATGGGTGTCATTGCATGTGAGATGGGTCTCTTGAAGACAGCATAAAATTGGATCTTCCTTCTTTATCTAGCTTGCTACTCTGTGCCTTTTAATTGGGATATTTAGCTCATTTACATTCAAGGCTATTATTGATATGTGTGGATTCGGTCCTGTCATCATGTTGTTAGCTGGTTGTTATGCAGACTTGATTGTAAAGTTGCTTTATAGTGTCAACAGTCTGTGTACTTAAGTGTGCTTTTGTGATGGCCAGCAACAGTCTTTCATTTCCATGTTTAGCACTCCCTTAAGAACCTCTTGTAAGGCTGGTCTGGTGGTAACAAATTCTCTTAGCATTTGCTTGTCTAAAAAGAAAGTTATTTCTCTTTTGCTTATAAGGCTTAATTTGGCTGAATACAAAATTCTTGGTTAGAATTTCTTTTTTTAAGAATGCTGAATATAGACCCTCAGTCTCCTCTGGCTTGTAGAGTTTCTGCTGAAAGGTCCATTGTTAGCCTGATGGGGTTTCCTTGCAGGTGACCTGCCCCATCTCTTTAGCTGCTTTTATTTTTTCTTTCACATTGACCTTGGAGAATCTGATGACTATGTGTCTTGGGGATGGTTGTCTTGTGTAGTATCTCACAGGGATTCTCTACATTTCCTAAATTTGTCAAATTCTCTAGAAAAGTTGAGGAAATTTTCTTTCTGTTCCTCTCTTTGAGGGATACCAATAAGTCACACATTTAGTCTCTTTACATAATTCCATCTTTCTCAGTGGTTTTGTTGATTCTTTTTACTCTTTTTTCTTTATTTTTGTCTGACTGAGTTGATTTGAAGAACCAGTGTTTGAGCTCTCAGATTCTTTCCTCACTTTGGTCTATACTGCTATTAATATTTGTGATTGTATTCTGAAATTCATATAGTGAGTTTTTCAGCTCCATCAGATCAGTTTGGTTCTTTCTTAAAATGGCTATTTTGTATTTCAGCTCTTGTATCATTTTATCAGTTTCCCTAGATTCCTTAAATTGGGTTTTGACTTTCTCCTTAATCTTGATGATCATTGTTTCTATCCAAATCCTGAATTCTATGTCTGTCATTTCAGCCATCTCAGCCTGGTTAAGAGCCATAGCCAAGGAACTAGTGCAATCACCTGGAAGTAAGAAGATACTCTGGCTTTTTGAGTTGCCAGAGTTCTTGTGCTGGTTCTTTCTCATCTGTGTAGCCTCATGTTCCTTTAATCTTTGAAGTTGCTGCCCTTTGGGTGGGTTTTTTTTGCTTTTACATTATTTAAGGCCCTTGAGGATTTGAC
The DNA here is from genome assembly GCF_000001405.40 of Homo sapiens. NCBI lineage: Eukaryota > Metazoa > Chordata > Mammalia > Primates > Hominidae > Homo > Homo sapiens. The sequence goes on along the minus strand of NC_000001.11, from coordinate 68,531,090 downwards.
TGTGGTATAAGCTAACTTCAGTTGACTGGCTTTGTTTCTGATAGATTTTCAGGGGCTCAAGACTCACCTCAGCACTCCTGGGCTGCATGCTCTAGCCCTAGGGAACTGGTATTAGGCCCAGTGCTTTGTTCTTTGGCCCCTCAAGGTTAAGCACCTGCTGCACTGGAGGGGCTGAGGTATTCCTGGTCTGCTGACAAAAACACTCCAATGGGAGGTGCCAGCCAAAGCTTTCCATTGAGGCAGTGGCAGCAGCGTCTGCACTCCAGTGTGCATGCCAACAAATCAGCACCTGAACATTTTCAACAGTGTGAAACTAAATATTATCATCAGGACATGAATAAAGTAAAAAGAAAGACAAACTCCAAAAAACACTTAAAGCAGAGAAGCCAGGAAGATGGGTGGAAAATCAAGAGAGGTTAATTTAGATATTTTGTAAGATGAGGCTAGCATGATCATTACAGAGATATTAAAGACTTCTTTTTTACCTCAACTAACTAGTGTTGACAGCCCCATTTAGGCTGAAAATAATGAATTTATAATATCACATTCCTTTGCTGGTGGTTCATATGTTTTCACAGGTAAAATGCTTGTTTTGTTTACAAAATAACACTTCATTTAACAGCTCTATTTTCTATTATTTGATAACAGCTGCATAAAGAAAAGTGCATAATTGATAATTTCATCAGATGTATGTATATGGAAAAGGTATAGTTAGATGGATATATATGGCTTTTTAAAAATTGAACACATTTTGTAGATCACATTCTTTAAACATGATTATTTTCATGGGTTGCAGAACATTCTCTGTTCACAGTTTGATGCAGAAACTGAATTAAGACTGTTGTGGTTCATTTTGTAACTAAATATCCAAAGCTATTGCATTCACTATCCCTCATTTTATATAGCCACACTTCATTTCACTGATATCGCCCAGGAATAAGGTACTCAACATCGATCAATTTTTCAGGTAGCTGAAGCTTACCCACTATATGAGTGAACTGACTTTATTTTAATTTGAAGGAAATCTAAAATATGTCATACACTTTCAGTCCTTCTTACAGAAAGTATATTATATAAAAGTATATTATATAAAATTTATAAAATTTATCTTTTTCTTGATGGTCTTGAATCATTATTATAAACTTCAGGGTTTGCATTGCACTACAATGTAGCAATGCCCTGAGGGGCGAGTCATGTAGAGCTGTTTACCTTTAGACAAAGATCACATCATGATTGGCATAATCATTCTGTATAAAATAAAGCAAAACTAAGAATGCCATGTGCTTTGAATCCAGCCATATGTGGTTTAAAATCTTGGGTCGCTTATTTAAGGTCAGGATTACTCTTTAGGTAAGTTATTAACCACTTATAATTCTTTGTTTTCCTATTAGTAAAATGGGTATAGAATTAAAAGCTAATATTTAATATGTACTAATTGTCAGATATTGTACCACAGCATCGACTCCACAATGATGAGAAATAGTATAGTGAGATTAAAAACTCAGACTTTGGAGTCAGACCACTTCCTATCTCTGTGACCATATACAGATTATTTGACTTTCCATGTCTTATTTTCCTCATTGGTAAAAATGAGATCATAAAAATACCTACCTTCTGGAGTTATTGTTGGAGTTAATATATTTGTAACACTTAGAGGAGTGCCAGGATTGTAGTACGCATTGAGTAAGTGATGATGATGATGATGATGATCCCATTTTATCCTCATAGCAGTCCTCAGAGTTCATTAATATTATGACTTCCTTATCCTAGAAATGAAGAAACTAAGGCTTAGAGATGTTAAGCAACTTGTGAAGGTCACAGCACTAGTAAAAAAGTACTGATTCCAGACCCAAGGAAACATGGGCCACTAAGAGGAAAATCCAAGATGTATTGCTCACACTGTCAGAGATGGCTTTGTTGTTCTTCAGGGTACAACCTGTATAGCTCTGTGAAACAGCCCTGCCACTAAGATAGGCTGCCTCCCTATTTCATGCAACATTTTTTGAAGGTTAACTGAAACAAAGTGTATGGAGGCAGCCAACACAGTTTCTTGTATATAGACCTAATAAATGCGAGGTGCTTTGCACCTCTTCATGCTTCAGTTTTGTTTAACCCTTTTGGCTGCATACAATCTGGTACATTCTGCACCTAAGGAGAAATTAGATAATTTGTCAATTCAATAATTAACTATAAGCTACTTTTAGGCCTGAAAAATACGCTCTTATCTTCTTTTAGAAAAAGTTTAAGGATATTTTGATAGATTTTTTTATTCTGGGTGTGATAGGCAGCTTCCAAAATGGCCCCCAGTGATCCTTACCTCCTGTTATTTATTCCCTTGGGTGATGTCTTATTTTTTGAGTATAGGCTGAACCTAGTGACTTGCTTCTAACAAATAGAATATGGTAAACGTGATGGATGACACTTCTGAGATTAGGTTAGAAAACTATGACTCCTTGCTTGCTTGCACTCTCTCTTGCATACTTATACTTGCTCACCTGGATGAAGCCAGCTGCCCTGTTGTGGGCCGCCCTACGGAGAGGCACACCTGATAAAAGCTGAAGGCAGCCTCCAAACAATAGCAGCAAAGAACTAAGGCCTTCAGTCCAAGAACTCGCAAGGAACTGAATCTTGCCAACAACTACCTGAGTATGCCTGGGAGCAGATCCAGCCCAGACAAACCTTGTGATGACTACAGCCTCAAGGTTGATGAAAGCATTGTTAGTCAGAGGACCCAGCTAATTCAGGTCCAAATTCCTGGCCCACAGAAAATGCCAACTAATAAATGGTTTTTTAGGCCACTGAATTCTGGGGTAATTTGTTATGTAGCAATAGAAACTTAATACACTGGGGCTTTTTCTACTTAGTCTCAAATCTCTGCTTGTGTTTTATATGGTTAACCAAGATCATACTACTAAAAAGAGACATGGAACCAGCAATAATTTCTAACATAACTTTTGCCACACAGTATTGTCATTTTCTGATTCCTTTCTTGCCAGTCATGCTAGACTGTGAGCTCCTTGATGGCTGAAACTGTATCTTTTATCTCTATTTTCTAAAATTATAATACTTGTTATCTAGTAATTAAAATATCTGGAGCCAAAGATGAAGTACAAACTCAAAAGAAGCAAAAGTGTGGGAGGATATGGGGAGAAAGAAGAAAAGACTGTAATTCAAGAAGGGATTTCTAATTTTGAAATCCTAAAGAAAACAAACCAGAAGGAGAATAAAGTGTGAAATGTGACAGTAATTTTGCTTGGCATACAAGCCATTTTTAATTAGCCTAGAAGTAGTAACTTATGATAGGCAATAACCACATGTGGAAGAATTAGTGGTGGGCAAAGCTCCCTCCTTGCTTTTGAGAAACACCTAGAGTTAATCGCTAATAACCTAACCCCTCTCTAACACTTCCTGGCCTCAGAAATGAGAGCCCAGGACCACAGCATCACATCCGGTTCTATTTCCAGACACATCATGGCAAAAGGATGGGGAAAACACCTCAACACATCACTTAGATCTGGCTGCTGGTCAACAAAACAAATTGTCTATATGGAGTTTCATGAGGAGAAGTTTAAAAAGCTGATATTGCATTGCCTTAAGAAAAGGCACTTGCAGGCCAGGCGTGGTGGCTCACTTCTGTAATCCTAGCACTTTGGTAGGCCGAGACAGGTGGATCACTTGAGGTCAGGAGTTCAAGACCAGACTGGCCAACATGGTGAAACCCCCATCTTTATTAAAAACACAAAAATTAGCCGGGAATGGTGTCTTGCACCTGTGGTGCCAGCTACTCAGGAGGCTGAGGCAAGAGAATCGCTTGAACTCAGGAAGCCAAGATTGCAGTGAGCCGAGTTCACACCACTGCACCACTACAGCCTGGGTGACAGAGTGAGACTCTGTCTTAAAAAAAAAAAAAAAAAAAGGAAAACACTTGCTTAGTATACTTTATCTGACCAAGGACCAAGTTGACCTGATCTTTGATAAGAATTCATTTTTCCTTAACTTCTTGGGATTTGGTCATAATTGGGTTTTGTGTAATTACTGTAATAGCTTAACTAATTTGTGCTTTTAAATTAATAGCAAAATTATTAGAATTATCCATATTTTTCTAGTCTATTCCTTGTTACTTACATTATCAGGGATAAAATAGGAAAGAGAAGACATCCTATGGACCAGAACACTGGGGATTTGGCCTCAAGTCTCAGATATCCAGCTAATCAAATGTATCCTTAGATGATATTTAACTTCTTTATGGCTTAGTTTCTTTATTACTCCAATTATTATGGTAACTGCTATTGAAATTTTGTCTAGATAAAGTGAGATGCTCAAGGTGAAAAGCCTTTGACAAGGTTAAATGAGCTGCTCAATACAAATTAAAACACAGACGTCAATCTGCATCTATTACAACCCTCCAGAAAGGATTAACCTTCTATAAGAAATTTTTCTTAATTCTAGCTTCATCAGCAATCTCCTTTCCCTAGAGTTCTTCTGTACTTTTTACATGTTTTATATTATCATGTGCTTATTTCTAATTATAATAATTTTCATTCAAGTTGATGGTACAAAAGTCAAAAATATTGTAAGATAAATATCAATGTGAACTTCCACTTGCCCATTAGCACCAAGCCAAACTACACCTGTGCCCTTGTGTAATTTTTTGACCTCTCCAATAACTTGATTAAATATTATACATCTAGAATGTTCCACAGCACCTACTTTCACCACCAGCAACAATCGGTCAATGCCTTCAGAGTCACATTTTTCAGGATGCCTTATACTATTATTCTAGGATATACAAAGTATTATTTCCAGGAAGTTGGAGTTTATAGAGAACCAAACCTCCCAGTTTTAGGAAAATCCATGCCTGAGACAAGGCCCCTTTAAAAAAAGAATTTTTTTTTTTAATCTTCATTTTGGTCCTAAGAAGCCCAGGTTACTCTCTCCAACTTTACCTGATACCTGATTGGAACTAGGCCATGGTACACCCTTTCAACACACAAGTCCAGTACTTGTGCCTATAACTCTAGGTAAACATCAAGATAGACACTTTGTTTGCTACCCCCAGGCCAGTGAGGTAAACCTTGCTGGATTAGAGAGCCCAATACCAGCATGCCTTCTTCTGCTGCTGCTGTAAGAGGAGCTCTTCTCCTCACCGTTTCTCTAAAACTCATCTCCCTGGCATCTAGGGAGTTCCTCCGCATTTGGCACAGGTAAAACTGAGTATACACATGTCATAACATAATTCTTAGTTGATTAATATATCATCTCTATTTTTTCTTAGGTTCTCTACTCTCACTGCTTCATTGTACCAGATTCACTTTTCCTTGTCTTTGGGAGACTGAAGTAATGGGAAGGAAGGTGAAGAGGAGAGGTTCACTATCTCCACAAGAGTACCTATCTGAGGGTCCTACCTCAACAAGAACATTATAGAGATGCTGAGTCACCATGTCACCATGGGGTTGGTTAGCATTGCAGTCCCTCAATTATAATCATGGTGCCCTATTCTGGAGTTACTTCTGTGGCATGAAGGCATCTGCCAGTGCCTTCCAAACCACCCAAACTTCCAGGGTAAGCACTCTTATCTCCCAGGGTACACCAGTTATTCCTCAATATTATTCTGGATTTTAGAGAGTATATAGTGAAGAGCCCTAAACTGTGCTCTTTTATAAGCCAGGAAGCTGGTCCTAGAAAAATATCATGTTCCATCCAGCTAATGTTAAGTTTCCTCTTATGTGAATGCTGTTCATGCCATTATCAAAGCACCAAACACAGCATTGTATTGAAGTTATCCCACCTTTTTTGTTAAAGTGTGCATTCTTTACAGACAACTACCAGATCACACATATTTCTTAGAGCTGTATGTCTGCATATGTCTTTTGAATTGAATTGCATTAAGTCAGGGATGTGATCCTGGGAAATTCTGAATCTCTGAGTTCTCTTTGCTATATTTTATATTATCAACAAGAAAATGTTCCTAAAAACCTCATAATAAAAATATTAAGCAATTTTCAATATGAATTTTCTAGAACATTGAACTTATGATTGTAAAAATTATTTCTAATTCTTTAGTATTGCTGTCATTAAATTTTTCAAAAATATGTACATCTCAATATCAATGTATATTAATATTCTAATTCTTTGACCTAAGTAAATGTTGCTTTATTCAACTACCACAGTAAGATTCTGTCACTATAATAAAAAATCCAGTACTTTTCATTTTAAAATAAATATGGTAGTACAAAACAGTATTATAAAAGATTGTGGATGCTTGGATAAGCAGTGGTTAGGAAGTAGAAAAGCATCATATTTCCTGTATTAATCATGATTTAAAGACATAATAAAATCTTAAAATTAAGCAACTGAGTAATTGAGTAACAGAATAGAAATTGCTTTCAGTGAAAAAGCTAGTCCATCATTTTCAGTTTTAGACCATTAATTATAGAGTATTCTTACTTACTGCTTTCTGTTAGTAATAGATGGTTTCATGGTAATAAATGCAACGTAAATTTAGCTCTTTATAATTCCTTATGACCTCTTGATTTTAAAGTTGACAAATCTCCTTAGATTATAATGTTCTGTAAAATATTCCATGTATATAGGAGTCAAATGCTATCCAAAGTATTTACCTCTCCAAAATTGCCCCTAAACTACCCACTCAACCACAAATACACATAAAGAACCTATAGAGGTACAATCTTTATTTTCTTTTGTATGATAGTACAATCTCACTCTCTCTAAAGTGGCAGATAAGGTTGCCTTTTGTGAAAGAGCAGAGTATTGCAGTTCATGTCATATTTCTTCACTTATTCTACAGCATTTATTGATAGACACAATATGGCCTTTCATGGAAACTACAGTCATTGGACTGTCATTGGCATATATTAACACTCGAGCTCACTGCATTCTTGAGACTGTGTCCATTCAAGCACAACCTGGGCAACTTGAGTAGTTCTTCTTTAAGTACTCCATTTAATAGAAGCCCACCTACTCATACATTTTGTAACACCCAGGTTCTCCATCAGAGCATCTAGGACCCCATGTGCTGTCACTCACAGAAGTCTGAAGTTCACCTGCAAATAACCTGAAGTAAATTATCATGATCCCAAATCATTTTGTCCATGATTACAAAAATATTTAGTTATACCACCACCTTTCATTCTTGCTCTTTCTCTCTTGAAGGCTTTGGACTCTATAGGCTGGTCTACACTCCATTCATCACCATTGGCCAGCCAAACAAGATTGTTTTTCTCTTACTATGCTATAGAAGAATATTCAGAAATTAACTTGAAGGCATGCACTCAGAAATGTAACTTCCAATGACAAGAGGAGGAAAAGAAAACAAAAGTTATCTGAGAGCAAGCTAGCAGAGAAATTAAAATAATATATTCTACACTTCAAAGCCATGGTGATTTGTCTGGAAAAGTGAGGATAAAATGAGTAATGAATTTAACAGAGATGGTATTTATATTTCACAAGGGCAGAATGATCCCTAAAGAATAAGAAATGTGGAAGGAAACTGGAAATAAAATGGTAAGACAAGCAAATATATAAATGGATCTGCTGTCAGACAAGATAACAGTGAAGGTAAGCTGTTAACAGATGCCATCAAGAAGCATTGTAATATGATTGGCCTAGGAGACAATATACATATAAAATTATTTATTAGTAGTTGACAGCAATGTATGAGAACATTAACGTTTCTTTATGATTGATCACTGTTTTTATTCATTTGTATCTGATCAGAATTTTGTATTAATTAGAACCTCAGCATTATTTAACGTAGAGAAAAAGTATAAATTTTGCTGGGCACTCACTCTTTAGAAGAGACAAAATAACCTTGAAGTGGGACCATAAAGCATCACGATTTACAGGCTACAAGTCTCAGGGGAGGCCCTTATACAGAGTTTCTCACAAGGCAAAAAGCGTTTCTAACACCTCTTCACGTGGTTGATTCATACTTGGTGTTGAATATTATCCTAGGCCTTCTTTGAGCTAAATGTCCCTCCAATATACCTCCACAAATCGTATACCTCTTTTATCAGAGCAACAATTAAACCTTATTTTATTGGCTTGTATTTCTTGCTAGACTGTAACTTGGAGTGAAACTGTATTTTCCTGACTAATATAGACCCAGATCTAACAAAGTTACCAGAACATAGTAGGCAGTCAACGAATATTTATTGAAGTAATGAAAGAGCACTTAGATAGGAGTGATGACTTACAAAAGAGTCAAAAATATCTAGTTTTTAAACTAGATTTCTTTTAAGAAATTTGTCATTTCTTGATAGGCACTCCTAAAGAATCTTAAAAAGGATTGATGTTATGGCCCCTAGGAAATGTATGCCTATTAGAAGCTTAGGCTTCTAGGAAGTAGACATCCAACCTAAATACATTTTCATTATGGTGACAGAGAAAGGCAAATATGCTAGACCCATTTCTATCCAAGCCTGATTCTCAGAGTCTAGCAGTTCATTTTATAGTGTCCATGATACCATGTTTCCTATATTTAGAATTACTTCTAATAACTGAAACCCAATGTCTAAATTCTCCAGTGTGCAGTGAAGATAGAATTACATTAAAAGTTCATGAGCTTTAAAGTGCCAACTGCAATATAACCCCATTGCAATTGCTTGTAACTGTACCATAACCATGTTTTATGAAGAGACAACCTATGAATAAGTTAGCATTTTGATCATTATTTGGTACATATGAACACTTTATTTTTCCCCTCTATTTTTTAATAGTTAACATATGCCTTGAATAGTAGTTTTTCAGTTATAAATAACTTCTCTTAATATAAGACTAAAAAAGATTTTTAGTCCTTGTGTCTGATTATCCAAGAATTTCATTGTGAATAATTTTATTTTTAAATTTATTTTCAAGTATAAAAATGAACCTATTAATTTTAAGGAAAAAGGAAACAAGTGTAGTAACACACAAAATGTTATATATTATATTTAAATTTTTTAAAGAACAAACACTACTAAAATGGTTGGGATGATTTAATTGATAGGGTATTTTTGTACTGTGGTTATTATTTTTGCTACATAGTGTAACAGTTTTATTATTTCTGCAGAAACACTGAAGCTTTTTTAAATTTTGAATTATTTGAATACAAAGATCTACAAATAAGAATGTAGAAAAATGTAAAAATATTTAAAAAATCAATTACATACTGAGCCTGCAGCAAATACTATGAGAACTAAACAGCAATGTGAAGATTATTTCTTTCAGAATAACAAAGAACAATTATCTTAATATCTAGAAAAGGAATTTTACAAGAGAGAAATTCAATTTTCCCTCATAAAAAATTATTGGCAAAAAATTCATTTAAAAATTCTTTATTTGATAAGTTATGATATCCTCTCACTCAATAATCAAGGAACTATTTATTAGTAATTCACTATTGTACCTAATACAGGTATAAAACCTGAACAGATGCATCCAGCAGCTGTTTGAGAACTCTGAAAAGTAAGTGGCAAGGAGACTGGGAAGAAAATCAGATATCAAAGTACCACTGAAAGGGCAGTGAGTTTTAACTTTTATTTTACTCTAGCATCTCCTGTCCTGGACTCAATTCAGCAGGAAATCTGGAAATAGAATTTGATTGTAAACAGATAAAGTGCCAGGAGAATTCCTCCAGTTCTGGCTTAAGAAGCTCAAGGAGTGGAAAAGCAATCTCCCAACACTCAGAGAATGCAGGAACTCCATTTTTCTTTCTTGTTCTCCATTCTCTCATGTCCCTGCCCCCAAGCAATCCAACAGTGGCTCAAAGACCATGACTGAGGTAGCATTGGGAGGTACAAGGGCTGAAAACTCTAAGGGAGGAAAACTTTCATTTCCAGTCACAGGAGCTGTAATTAAAGGAAGTAAGGTAATTTTTCCCCACCCTCTTTGAAATGGTTTGGCCCTGTGTCCCCATCCAAATTTCATATTGAATTGTAATCCCCACGTGTCTAGGGAGGGACCTGTAATGCCACAGGTCAAGGGAGGGAGGTGATTGGATCACAGGGATGGTTTCCCCCATGCTGTTCGCATGACAGTCAGTGAGTTCTCAAGAGATCTGATGATTTTATATGTGTTTGGAAGTTCCTCCTTTGGTCTTCTCTCTCACCTGCCACCCTGTAGGACATGCCTGCTTCCCCTTCCACCAGAATTGTAAGTTTCCTGACACCTCCCCAGCCATGCAGATCTGTGAGTCAATTAAACCTCTTTTCTTTATAAATTACCCAGTCTCAGGCAGTTCTTTATAACAGTGAGAACATGTACTAACACACTCTTATTATCTTGTTGCTTTGTACCAGATGTGGAGAGAGTCACAAGAAGTGCGTGTCAGAGTGGAGTAATAAAGATACAGTAAGAGGACTAATGAGGGGAGCCCCAGGAAACAGGAAAGTACAGGAAAGAGTGCAGATACAAAATCTTGAAATCTTGAAATAAAATACAGTTGATATTTGAACAACAAAAGATTGAACTGCATGAGTCCACACAGTGGATATTTTTCAATAAATACAGTCAGCTCTCTGTATTGGCAGATTCCATATCCACAGTCAAACATGAATTGAAAGTACAATATTCATGGAATGTGAAACTTGAGCATACAAAGGCCACCTTTTTGTATCTGAGGGTCCCACAGGGCTGACTGTGGAACTTGAGTATGCACAGATTTTGGTATCCACAGGGGGATCTTAACCAATCTTCTGCAGATAGGGAGGAATGATTATAGAAAATATAAAGAAGAACTAGATGGATATTTTAGAACTAAAAGATGCAATAACAAATTTTAAATCTTACTAGTTGGGCTCAGTAGCAGAATAGAGAGGACAAAAAAAAAAACTACTGAAGATAGAACAATAGAAATTATCATCGTCCCCCCTTATGCAAGGTTTTGCTTACCCATGGTCAACTGCAATCTGAAATATTAAATAGAAATACCAGAAGAAACAATACACAACTTTTAAAACATGTGTGGTTCTGAGTAGCATGATGAAATCTCACACCATCCCACTTTGTCCCACTCAGGACATGAAATCATCCCTTTCTCAAAGCATATCCACACTGTGTATTCTACGTGTCCATTAGTCTCTTAGTGGCCATAATTGTTGTCACATCAACTGTTGTGGTATAGCAGAGCTTGTATTCAAGTAACCCTTATTTATTTACTATTGTTCCCAAGGTACAAGTAGTAATGCCGGCAATTCGGATATGCAAAAGAGAAGCCATCAGGTGCTTCTTTTAAGTGAAAAGGTTGATAAAAACTTCAGTTGAATTAAATTTGGAAGAGTTTAATTGAGCAATGAATGCTTTACAAATTGGAAAGCATCCCAAGCCAGGGTATGCTCAGAGACTTCAGCATAGCCATGTGGTGGAAGAAGATTTATGAACAGAAAAAGGAAAGTAACTTACAGAAATCGGAAGTGAGGTGCAGAAACAGCTGGATCAGTTACTGTTGGTGTTTGCCTTATTTGAACATGGTTTGAATAGCTGGCTACATTTGATTGGCCAAAGCTCGGTGATTGGCACAAGTATAGGCTATGGTCTGTTACATCTCCACTTGTTATAGTTCACAATGTACAGAGAACCCTTTAGGCTGAACTTAGATTATATAAGGATGCAGCTTTAGGCTAAACTTGATTTAATAAGGTGAAAGTTTTCAATTTAATAAAGAAATGAAATAAATCATATGCCGAGATTACTAAGATTACAGTAAGAATGAATGTTCTATTTGTGAAATTGTAAAGAAGGAAAAGGAAATGTGCACATAGTCTATACAGGGTTTGATACTGTCTGCCTTTCAAATATCCATGAGGGGTCTTGGAACGTAACCCCTGAGAATAAGGGGGAACTATGGTATATGATCTGAAAAGCAGGGGAAAAATGATTGAGAAACCTCAGGAACATGTGGTGCGATAATGAAAGAGCTAATATTCTGTTATTTTAGTCACAGAGACAAGAAAGAATATGTTAATTTTAAAAACCTTGAAGAAATAAGGGCTGAAAATAACCCAAATGTGAAGAAAAGACATTAAGCTACAGATTCAAAAAATTCAGCAAACCCAAACAGAAAAATAACAACAACAACAACAAAATCATGCCCAGAGCCATCCTATTCCAACTGCTGAAAACTAAAGACAAAGAAAGTATCATGAAAAAAGCCAAAGAAAAATGATGTATTACTTATAGGGAAACATTTATTCTAATGACTGCAGCTGTCTCATTGAGGCCAGAAGGAAGTGAAACAACATTTATAAAGTGCTGAAAGAAAATAATTTCAACCCAGAATTCCATATTCAGAGAAAATGTCTTTTAGGAATTAAGATAAAATATTCTCAGATGGATAATAAACTAAAAAATGTGTTGCCAGCAGATCTGTTCTAAAAGAATCATTAAAGGAACTTCTTCAGACAAAAGGAAAATAATACCCAAAAGATGCCTGTAGCATGGAGAATGAAGGAAGAACAACAGAAATGTTAAGCATCTCAGTAAATATAACAAAGTCTTCTTGTCTTCTGTAGTTGTTTAAAGTGTGTTTGATCTTTTAAAGCAAAAATTGTAACATTCTCTCATGCATTCTTAATGTATGTAGATAGAATACATTATGGTAAATACAACTGAAGAGGGAACTATATGGTGAAAAGGTAACTGGCTGTTTTATGCAGGATAAACTTTAAGGAAACAAAAGTAGACGTGGGAACTACAATTATAATGTGGCTGCCTACAGGAAAGTGATCTTTAAAGTCAGAAGCAAGAATTATCAGGAATAGATTTGAAGTGGTGTAAAGTGAAATTCTTAATATAGCAAATACATTATCAGAATCTGACCCATGCTTACCATTACAGCTTCATATCAGTCTCCTTTTCCTTGTACTATATATTCTACTTATGCAAATTACCTGCAATTCTCTGTATATTCTATACTTACATGCCTCTATGACTCTTGTATAAGTTGCTTCTTCTCGTGAGATTGACCTCCTTCCTTCCTTTCTCCACCTGGCTAATTAAATTCATTCATCAAGATTAGCTCAGGTGTTTCCTCCTGACATAACTTCCCCCAAAGTTAGGTTTCATGATGTTCCTAAGCATCCCACATAGTTTATTACAGTGGCCATGGTGCTTAAAAAGATATACTATCTGTTCATTTGCCTTCATATTTAATTAATAAAGAAATATGTGCTCAATATAAAAATTTCAAACAAGAGAATAAAATACATCTTAAAGAAACAACGAATACAAATTTTACATGGAGTAAATATTTACTTCATGTACCTTTGCCTCCCCAGATAAGTGTGTGTTTATCAAGTTTTTTTTTTCTTTTTACTTAAATCCTTTCTCAGATGGAGCTTTTCATTCCAGCGGGTGAAAACAGATTTTATAAAATATACATATATTACGTTGATGCTGATAGTATCTAAGAAGAAAAATTAAACAGGATAATAGGGAAAAGAAGGAGTAGGATTTATAATCATTCCACAACAGTGTCCCCTTTGCCACACTCTGCCTTACATATTATAAATTTTGTAATGTGCAAAAACTGGAATATACTATTTAATTAGAATTTCTCTGATTATTAGTGTGTGCAGATATTTCACAGGTTAACTGACCATGCAACTGTCAGTTTACATGATTATTTCATTCAACAGAACATAAGCTCCTTGAAGCCAATAACTGCAAGTTTCGTGTCCCTGGATCCTAGCATAGTACCTAGTATAAAGTAGGCTGAATGAATGACAATGTAAGAAACATTATATATGTGTGTGTGCATGGCATGTGCATGTGTGTCTGTATAAAGCAAAAGTTCTCTTAAATCAATGCATCATAAAAACAATTTGAAAATAAATGAACATATTTAAAATAAATTTAGATTAGTTTAAAAATGCATTGAATATGACCTCTAGTACTTCTCCTATTTAGTTGTACCTTGGTACCATTATTAGAATGATCTTAACTAATGTGTTAAATTAAATGCCCAAAGGTAAAATTACTTTTATGAATAATGTTTAATGATCCAGCAGAACAAAATCAAACCTAGATTTTAGGATAATTTTCAAAACATATTTTTAAAACTTAGTATTTTAAAGTCACTGTTGAATAAATGCATGTTCTGAAATTTGGTAAATTTATTATAAATTCCTGGAACTGGAAGAATCTTAGATATCTACTTCAACTTCTTCATTTTACAAATGAGAAAATTAAGAACCAGGGGAGGGATTTGCCAAGGTCTCATAGTTAATTAATGGCAAAGCCAAGATTAGAATCAATATTCCTTGACTCCTTCCTAGAGCAGTGCTCGTTCTAGCACACTACAAAGCCTTTCATAGTTACAGTAAATTCTGAACTTATGAATGGATTGTACTTTAAATATTCATTTATGAATCATTTGTGGCTAGAACTGGGAATTCATTTTCCCCTGGAAATAATTCTTAAAATTTGACTGAGTTTCTAATATAACACCCACATAAAGGTCCTGTAAGGAACTAATAGTTTTTAATTCAACAGCCTGCACAATGAGGAAGAATTAAAGTTAAAGGGAAGGCTAGTTTTATGTGAAAGTCCTTACACCTCATAGATGAAGCTTCCTGAACACATGTTACTAATGATTCTTGCAGTTGAAAAAGGCAGGATGACTTTCTAACCAGGTATTACTGTGATTCTAGAACACTTTCCCACCTTTAATATCCAACTTCGTAAGGATTAGATTTGGGGATATTTTTCCTTTGTACTTAGAATATCTGCCAGATGTCTTGTAGTTGCCAGCCATCCTCAGCTGCGTGCCTGCCTGACTCCAAAACTTTTCTGTAGGAGCTGGCAAGACTTGCATTAAATATGACAGTTTCAACATACTTGTTGGCTTAAGTCCAGCCAACACTGACTACCCAGGGTAACTAAATGTTCTTATTATCTTAAATAATCTAGGCCTACCCCAGATATGGCAGCAGTGTGACTATCTCCCTAAACTCATAGGAAGTATATAAAAGAGATGAAAGACCTAAGAAAAATCTGGGTATTATAAGGGAAATAGATGCTGAGTGATCAATCAATAAATGTCTGCTACAGCAAGAGAGAATGTTCCTTGTTTTATGAATTTTCTTCTAGACACAGTGTCATTTCCAGATTTCACGGCAGTCTTTCCTCAACACAAAATTCACAAACTACCTTCTCCTCTATAAATCTCCTTCTACCAGTCATTTTCATACCCTGAGTTTGTCAGATTTCCCATGTATACAATATAGTTACAAAGCAGCCAGCCAAATCATTTTTCTGCTTTATGAATGAACATAAACATAATGCATATATTCATATCTGTGTCTTAGACCTATATAATTGTACAGCTAAAGATCAATTGATTTTAATAAATCAATCTTATTGAAAAACATAAAAATTACATTAAACAAGGGCAAATCCAGACATTTGATGGTTGTATATTAAATTAGCATTTTTCATGTATATTAACTGAAATTCATTAATGAAATTTGCTCCCTGCAGATAAGCTCTGACTAAGCAAAGTTAAAAGAGAATAAAAAGTTGGCATTAGAGTTTAAAGAAAAGTAGAAGACTATAAAATTACATATGATATGAAGACTAGAATTTCCTACAGCCACATCCCTTACTTCCATCTCTCTGCAGAAAAGACAGAAGATAAAGAAAGAAAAGCAAAGCAGACAGAATGAAGGAAGATGTAAGAGGAAACTACTGCATGTGAATGATTGTAATGGAAAAACTGAAACTCTGTATTAACCATGGAATATAATTTACAAAATGGCATTACTTTTATTATCATGCACTAAACACACACACACAAATTCGAATTATTCAGAGAGAAGAAATCCAAGGGAAGCTAAAAATAATAATATTCAAGTATAGTAAAACCCAAGCAAAACAAAATTAGGAAGTGCTTAATTAAAAACTTTTTCACATAATTTTTAATGCACATATTAAGCATTAACAGGACATCAAGGGAAGTGATTTATTTTAGGAGGATTTTCAACAATTATGTTGAAACCAATAGTATTTTGATTAAACAGAAAACTCTGATTACTATACCTCATACATACTTAAGTATTATTTTAATCTGAATTTCAAATATATACATGTATGATGTATAGAAGTAGATATATGGATATATAGTTAGTATGCTTAAACAGTCTTTTCACAAAGAATAAACTCTAAAAT
This sequence comes from Homo sapiens, assembly GCF_000001405.40. Lineage (NCBI taxonomy): Eukaryota > Metazoa > Chordata > Mammalia > Primates > Hominidae > Homo > Homo sapiens. The sequence goes on along the minus strand of NC_000001.11, from coordinate 68,514,926 downwards.
GCAGTATTTACATTTGGAAAGTCTAAGATATTGGTATTCATCTTTTAAAACCAATTTGAATTCCCTATCTCTGAAGACTTCTAAATGGGGTATGAGTTAAAAGTAGTCAAGCTTAAGTGTGTACATTGATATGCTACTACAGAGAACTCCAAAGACCGTCCACCAAAGATCTAATACGCAAAAAGCTCAGCCTGGTGCTTTGGATTCATTTCTATCTATTCTTACAGTTGCTAGTCAGACCTCAACAGTCAAAATGGTGAAGCATATTGAGAACAAGTATGCTTTTCAGGAGGCCTTGGACAATCTAGGAGACAAACCTATAGTAGTTGATTTCTCAGCCACGTGTTGCAAGCTTTACAAAATAATCGAGCCTTTCATTCCCTCTCTGCAAAGCATTCCAAGATGGTGTTGCTTGGAGTAGACATGGAAGACTGTCAGGAAGTTGCTTCAGAGTGTGAAGTTAAATGCATGCCAATTTTTGAGTTTTTTTTAAAGGACAAAAGGTGTGTAAATTTTCTAATAAGAAAAAGCTTGAAGTCACTATTAATAAATTAACCTAGTTATGTTTTCTATTTCTTTTTTTTTTTTTAGACAGGGTCTCACTCTCACCCAGGCTGAAGTACACTGGTGCAACCATGGCTTACTGCAGCCTCCACCTCCTGGGCTCAGGTGATACTCCCACCTCAGCCTCCCAGGTAACTGGAACTACAGGCATGTGCCACCACACCTGGCTAATTTTTTGTATTTTTTGGAGCAGTGGGGTTTCTCCATGTTGCCCAGACTAGTCTCAAACTCCTGGGCTCAAGCAATCTGCCTGCCTGGGCCTCCCAAAGTGCTGGAATTACTTTGTGGTAATACTTTGTGGTGTGAGCCACTGCACCCAACCCTAATCATGTTTTCTGAAAACATAACCAGCCATTAGCTACTTAAAACTTGTAATGTTTTATTTATAGGAAGGGTGAACTATGGAGCTCCAGCTGCCTTGTGATTATGAATGAGAATAAAATATTAATTCTAAGAAAATAATATGCAATTATGTGAAAGCATTCATATAAACCACAGGGAGAAAAGTGACAAGTAATTTTCTGTGTTGTCCCATATATGACTGAGGTTTCTTAGACTCATCATTTATCATCATTGCATTGCAATTTTTATTATCATAGCTATCCTTAACCAGCCCAAATATAATTCTGCTTCTCCTTCTAGTTTTCATTAAACATTTCCATGAAGTCTTTCTAGTCTCTCCTGAACAGATATGGGTCCTTCTTTTTACTGTGTTCCCATAGCACTTTGAACACACCTCCATTATCACAGTTAAATAACTGCAGTTCAGTGCTTGTTTACATGACCATTTCCGAAGTAGGTTGTAATTTCCTAGAGAGAAATATTATATTATTTTGCCAAAGTAACTTCTACTTTGGGGAGTTCAATATATACTTGTCAAATAAATGAATAATTGAAACTGTGCCAAAGAGTAATTTCTTCAATAAATTATATAATATAGGTAGGAGTTGAGACACAAGACAGTTTTTCTGACACATTTTCCATTCCCACACTCTCTCTATTACAATAGAAAAGGCCTATCACTGCCTCCTTAATACAAAAAAGGAAGTATTTCCTGCTCCTTTAAAGGCCAGTCTCTCCACTTCTACTCTATTCTCAGTTTCTCATAGAGCTTGCATTATCTGTCTGTACATTATCAGTTATTCTCTTAAGCTTAATTATTCCCATCTTTAAATAATAACTATCACAGTTTTCATAAGTAATGTATGTAAACTATTTTAAAAATTAACTAATTAGGTAAATATAATGGAATAAATGCTTATAAGTAAACATGTCAAATAATTTAGAATCTAAAGTTATATTAAATTAAATAACAGATATTAATTAAATGTCTGGGTTATTTCCCATCTAAAAAATTATAAGAAAACATTTTTCTCAAAAAAAGTGTTCTTAAAGGAAAATGATTTTTGTCTTATTCAAGGTTATGTAAAGGTTATTTATAAAACAGGGCAAAAGGTACCAGTAAATAAGAGACATATAAAGAATCTTATAACTATAAAGAGCTACTTTGGGTAAGAAAAATTGAAGGGGGAATAATTTTATATGAAAAAAATCTTATATGGTAAACTTTTGTCCTAAAATAAAATGAATAGGAGGTTAAGGATAAAATGAAAAACCTAAGCAAGTCATAAATGGTGTGTGTAAGTCAATAAAATTTGTAAAAAGAGGCTTTATGGAAAAAAAACTTTATGTGATCAAGTTGGCTATAATTAAAAGAAAATTAGTTATAATAGTCTTTCTAGAGATTGGTCTTTGATATTTAAAATACACTAATACACTAAATAATTGGTTAGAACTACAAAATTTTCTTAAGGTATTATCTCTTAATAAAATTACAAGAGGGCTGGACATGGTGGCTCACACCTGTAATCCCAGCACTGTGAGAGCCCAAGATGGGAGATCACTTGAGCCCAGGGGTTCAAGACCAGCCTGGGCAACACACTGAAACCCATTTCTACAAAAAAAAAAAAAAATAGAAAAAATTATCCAGCATGGTGGCATGCACCTGCAGTCCCAGCTACTCTGAAGGCTGAGGTGGGAAGATCTCTAGAGCCCAGGAGATCAAGGCTGCAGTGAGCCATGATCACACCACTGCAACACAGCCCAGGCAACAGAGTGAGAACCTATCTCAAACAACAAAACAAAAAATAATTAGAAGAAATTTTAATTTATTTTTAACCCAGAAGTTCAACTTTTATTGCATCTTGCTGTTTTGAGCTTTCTTTCCTTTTTGAGAAGGGCTGAAGTAATAACGCTCAACTTTTTAATCAGCTCCTATAACGTTTTCCTCAGGTTCTAACTATTGTTGTAGCCTGATGCTAAAAATGTTTTATCTCAAATGTCTAAAGCAAATGTTTTCTTCCAATATAACATCCTGTGCATTGGCTTTAAATTGTTCTATTAAACTAAAACTTTTCACTTATGATCCAGAATACATTCTTCCTATGTCTAACTAATTCAAATACCATTTTCTTTAGTTTTGACTTGCAGGTTATCTAAGTGGACTTCCCATAGGGGAAAGGAATCACAGTGCAGAAGGTTTTTTTGGGGGGGGATTGTTTGTTTTTGTTTTTTTGCCTTTTGGTACCTGGACTAACAAACAGATTTTACATTTTATCAAAATTATTACTATTTAATTATTATTAAGTTTTATTATTATTTTTAATAACTTAATTATTATTAAATTTATTATTGATTTGCTTAGGAAAACTGAGGTTTTTAAAAACTCTTTAAAATTAAGTTTATTACATCCATGTAACTTTCTGTATTACTTTTATTTATTTGTTAACCTTAATTTAAAATTTAAAAATGCTTTATTACTGAAAAATGCTAGCAGTTATCTGAGCCTTCAGTGAGTCATAATCTTTTTGCCAGTGGAGTGTCTTGCCTGGATGTTGATGGCTGCTGACTAAACAAATTTGTGATTGCTGAAGGTTGGGGTGGCTGCGGTAATTTCTTTTTCTTTTAACTTTTGTTTTAGGTTCAGGGGTACGTGTGCAAGTTTGGTATAAATTTGTGTCACAGAGGTTTGTTGTACAGTTTATTTAATCACCCAGGTACTAAGCCTCATACCCAATAGTTATATTTTCTAATCCTCTCCCTCCTCCCACCCTTCACCCTCAAGTAGGCCCCAGTGTCTGTTATTCCCTTCTTTCTGTCACTGAGTTCTCATCATTTAGCTACCACTAATAAGGGAGAACATGCAGTATTTCTGTAATTCTTTTAAAGTCCTTATGCTATTAAGTTACAGGGCTTCAATTCTTGGGTCTAAAAAGGACATCAAGTCCTGCTAAATCTTAAACAAGGGCAGTAGTTAAAGCATCATCTTCAGACTTGGGGGAAGATGATAATCAAAACAAACTGTGTTCATGAGACACAGGGCCAAGAATTAAAAGTATTCCACCCTTCTAGGCCTAGAGACTATTGTGGAAGAGGTAGGCACATGAAATCATAAGGGCCAATTTTGAGAGATAAAATTAATTCAGTTTCTTTATAAATTAAATGTTAATGTTGAAGGCAAACTGATACAAGACCAGCATCAGGGCCTCTGTGTCAGATTAACAAGGTTTTCTTGGAGCATTAAACTGCCTTTTAAAAAACTTATAAATGGTTACAAAGATGTTTGATGGAAATTATGTCTTATGGTCAAGATTATTAAAATTTTATAGATGTTTACAACATTTGAGAGACAGACTTAATTGGCCTCATGCTGTCTTTGTTAGGGCTTATTGTTTGGGAAATTAAGTCTCCTCTATCAATGAGTAAAGGTTTTTTGCCTTTTTAAAATTTTGAGTTATCATTTTGGGTAAATAAATGACTTATAGTGACCTGGAATTCTATTTTGTAATATCAAGTGTTTTAAACTTTGATATTTGACAAACTTTCCATAATCAAATTTTAAATTATGTTTTTTTGACCTAATTAACCCTTTGAGATATTAGGTCCCCCAAAGACCAAAAGAGACATATTCAGTTTATTTGATACATTAAATTCATATAGGAAGCATTGTCAAATGTAAAATGATGTGTAACTTTCTTTCTTTAAGTTATAATCACATAAATGTTATTAGTATGCATTACAAAATCATATAAAATTTCTATATTCTGATATGTCTCAGTATATATTGTCAGTAATAATTGTAATTGTTATGTTAAATTGCTGTATACCACAGAGGTGACCAGATTTTCTTGTCAATTGGGTTTTTAATTGTGGCTGTTCTAAGACTTTTGTCATCCAAAGACAATTGTTGTCTTGTTTTAATCCTCTTCAAAAGGCAGTTTATAATCAGCCATAGGACTCTTGGACTCTCTGATAACTTTGAAAATTGGGCCATTGAAGTAGAAAAACAAAACAGATAAAACAATTTCCAGGACTCTCATAGAAAGCTAATATATTCCAAAGGATTCCTGACACGGACTAAACTAATAAAAGGCTGAAATAATCTTTTAGTGATTTTTTTTTTTTGCTTAAAATGTTGCTGATCCTTTTCATTTTGTTTTTCAGAGTCAAGAAAACTTTTGTTTTCTTTTGAGCTATTTACAGCTTTTAGCAAGTGAGTAAATATACTCCTGTAAGAAAAATTTGGAGCATATTTCTTTCTCTCTATCTGATTTCTCCAGAATTTGGAAACTATTTGTGAATATTCTTAACTTATGGCAATATAGTTTTTGCATAAGTGCAATAAGAATCTGTTTTCTTTAGTACAGGACCCAATTGGAGACACTGGTTATTTTACCAAGGCTTTGACTGGAATGGCATATTTTCAAATATAAACAGACTGCTTTGAATAATCAAAGGTGACTTATAGAGTGAATAGAAGCCCCTTGAGAAAACTGGCCTCATACCTTGTCTACACAGTCCCTGTACAGGGTTCCTGACCTGCGGTAAGCAAAGAATGTCACTTTCCGACAGGCTCAGGAACCTCAAGTTATCTTGTCACCTTGAGAGGAGAGTGATTTACCCAACTCATACAAGTATTTGCGAGCACAGATAAATCTGTGGCTGGGCTCAATGCTTTGAAAAATCTAATATGAGATTCCTTATAGAACAAACTTCCATCAAAGCCGATTTAAAAAGAGCCTATGTGGCAAATAATTTATTCTTGTTGTACTTTATGCAAATAATCAGGCCAAGTATAAGACTAAAACTTATTTTGCAATAAATTGGTCCTACTATGATTTTGTCTCTAATAAAGTTGGGGAATTAGAAAAAGAAAAATCATGTTTCAAAATAAACTAGAGTACACCTGTTACTAGGTTCTGGCCTTGCCTAATATTTTTATGTTTTTATTATTTTCTATAAATTGGACAGAATTCTAAAGTTTTTCCTGGCTGCAAGTTCCCAAAATAATGTCTTACATTTTTTCCTTCTTTCTTTTCCTTTTTTCGTCATTTTTCCTGATTTGAAATCACTGAACATTAAACTGAGAAAACTGGAACTAGACAACTTAAACTTCAGAAGAAAATAACAGCAACATATATATATATGTACTTACAACCACTTACATATATATGTGTGTATATATAGATATATGTGTGTGTATATATATAATATATATATAATATACCATTTCATACCTTCCTACTGATGTATGGACTTTAGAATAATATGGCCTTTATGGGTTTTCCAGGATTGCTCTCCCTTTTTTTGTTCATTTGTAGTTTTAGTTCTCTCTTCCTCCCCCTATTTTTTTTCTTTGTAGGACGTGAGACTGCACAACCTGTTAATAATGAGCTTTTCTAACATGAGAACTTCCTAGGAATAAACCATCCTAGCCATGAGAGATGAGACAAAACTCAAGACCACAGACTCATTTTCTTCTAAAATGTTTTCTCTGAAGATTTTAAAAAGAAAAGGGGAGAGAATTTCGAAAGAAAAAAAAACCTGGGAGCCCAACTCACTATGCCAAAAGGAAAAAAATTACCTGAAAGCTGAATCATGCAAGAAGCTGCCTTTCCTTTTGTTCCTAAGCAAATATCTACGGATAAAAGGTTAAAAATCTTCATAGGAGGCCGGGCGCGGTGGCTCATGCCTGTAATCCCAGCACTTTGGGAAGTGGAGGCGGGCGGATCACCTGAAGTCAGGAGTTCAAGACCAGCCTGGCCAACATGGTGAAACCCGTCTCCACTGAAAACACAAAAATTAGCCAGGCATGGTGGCAGGCGCCTGTAATCCCAGCTGCTCGGGAGGCTGAGGCAGGGGAATCACTTGAACCCGGGAGGTGGAGGTTGCAGTGAGCCGAGATCGCACCATTGTACTCCAGCCTGGGTGACAAGAGCGAGACTTTGTCTCAAAGAAAAGAAAAAAAAAGTCTTCACAGGAAGTTACTATGTTCACCTTATCTTATGTAAAGTACCAATATACTGAGCTTGAGGTGAATACATAATTGACTATTCCCCTACCTGTTCCTTTTCTCTTGCAATATATGAGTTCAGTAATGTGACCATACCCTCTCTCTTTCCCCTCCAGCCTGCTTTTCCCCTGAAACCTTCAAAATCTCCTATGGAGAAAGTACAGACCTGTCTCATGGGCATGTCCTCAACCTTGGCAAAATAAACTTTGAAAGTGATTGAAACCTGTCTCAGCTACCTTTTGGTTTACACCCAAATGATTTTTTTTCCTGTAAATCATCCTATTACATACAAATACAGCACAGAATTATATGGGATATGGCAACATGACTACAAGTACCTGTCACTGTCCTCCCAGTTTTTCTCAGTAGATGTGGATGGTCCATTTCATACTACAGTCTTTACCAGAATCTTTGGAGAATTTAGGGACTTCCATCTACTTTGTACTAGGTGGGATATCAGTGGTCTCTGAAGGTAAAACTCCTCACAAACACTCAAAGGTCTCAAGATCACTTAGCTGTCAAACATCTACATTTCTCAGGAAGAGAGCACTTTATTGTGAGCAATTATATTAGGCCATTCTTGCATTACTATAAAGAAATACCTGAGACTGGGTAATTTATAAAGAAAAGAGTTTAAATTGGCTCATGATTTTGCAGGCATTATAGGAAACATGGAACTGGGCATCTGCTTGGCTTCTGATGAGGCCTCAGGAAGTTTACAAGCATGGTAGAAGGCTAAGGGGGAGCAGGCATGTCATATGTCCAGAGCAGGAGCAAGTGAGAGAGAGAGTGGGCAATTCCATACACTTTTAAATGACGATATCTCCTGTGAACTCAGAGAGAGAGGTTACTTATTACCAAAGAGGATGGCCTAAGCCATTCATGAGGAATCTGCTCCCATGATCCAAACACAACCCACCAGGACCCACCTCCAGCGTTAGGAATTACAATTAAACATGAGATTTGGGAAAGGGCAAATATCCAAACTATATCAGCAATCCTGAAAAATCTCTCAAATACAATTATATAGTTGCTCTGACGTCTATGTAGAGTGTTGTAACGTACTGGAATGATATAGAACCTTACCTAGGAGCTCAATGGCATCTGTGCCCTTGAGAAAAGTCATTGTCATTAGCATTCTTGAAAACGTGTCTTTTACTGGAGACCTTTGGAGGGTAGATGAAAGAAATCTAAACAAACTGACTTGTTTAATAAAAAATTGTTATTGTCCCACTTAATAAAATTTCAGGAGTCTAAGTGAACCGCAGAAAGACTAAAATTAGCACTCTCTAGCTCTCCTTTCTGCTTCTCTTTGGTCATCAGTGCATTTCACCTGACTAGAGAGTCTCCATTCAGGTGTAACTATAACCACACTGGCTCCTGGCTCATAGCCTCTCATCTTAGTCACCAGAAAGAGAAGGCTTTTCCCTCTTAATCCAGTTTTTAAAAATCTTACTGACTCAGCTTGGGTCATGTGACCGCCTCATTGGAATTGGGTGAGCAGAACTGTGACTCAGTTGGAGCAAGTGTTCACTCCTAGATCCCTGAGACAAGAAAGAAAAGTTCTCTCAGAATACATTTTAGAGCTAGAAAGGGCCAGACGCAGTGGCTCACACCTGTAATCCCAGCACTTTGGGAGGCCATAGGTGGAAGGATCACTTGAGGTCAGGAGTTTGAGACCAGCCTGGCCAAATTTTTAGTAGTGAACCCCGTCTCTACTAAAAATACAAAAATTAGCCAGGCATGGTGCCACACACCTGTAGTCCCAGCTACTCAGGAGGCTGAGACAGGAGAATCACTTGAACCTGGGAGGTGGAGGTTGTAGTGAGCCAAGATCGTACCACTGCACTATAGCCTGAATGACAGAGCAAGACTCTGTCTCAAAAAAAAAAAAAAATGCTAGAGAAGTATTTTCCCAAATAAGGAGGTATACTTTTCCCAAAGGAAATGAGAGCTGATTGCCAGACAAGACAATACATGTCAACTGTACTTCTAATCCTAAACTACACCAGCTGTCTGAATACTTGAGGATGCAGGATTTGGGGAATGACGGTTGAAAAATAAAAAGTCATTATCTGAAAAATACTTACATGGACATAACTGATCTTCACTGAGGCTTATTTCAGTTACTGATGTTAAATTTTTAAAAAAAGCCTTGTATAAGAAAACATAAATTTAAATTAAAAGCAATGCAAACAATAAAATAATCAGCAGTTCAAAGAAGAGGGTCATTCTGAGCATTTTACTGTGAGCTAGTTTAAGACAAAAGGGAAAAATAATTAAAGTCTTATTCATAATTCATATCTCCAAGCCTAAATCAAGAGCAGGCAATACAGAAATAAATAATAATGAGAGAATAGAAAAGTCTTCCTGGAGATGAATGAAAAACTGAGCATAAAAGAAAATTAAATAGAAGCTCAGCTGGAAGAATTCTCTCAGAATTTGAAGAAAAAAATAATAAAAGGAAAATTATAGAAGGAAAGACATCAGAAAAATAAGATAGATCCAGAAGATCAAATAATTAATAATAGTTTCAGGCCGGGCGCGGTGGCTCACGCCTGTAATCCCAGCACTTTGGGAGGCCGAGGCGGGTGGATCATGAGGTCAGGAGATCGAGACCATCCTGGCTAACAAGGTGAAACCCCGTCTCTACTAAAAAAATACAAAAAATTAGCCGGGCGCGGTGGCGGGCGCCTGTAGTCCCAGCTACTCGGGAGGCTGAGGCAGGAGAATGGCGTGAACCTGGGAGGCGGAGCTTGCAGTGAGCCGAGATTGCGCCACTGCAGTCCGCAGTCCGGCCTGGGCGACAGAGCGAGACTCCGTCTCAAAAAAAAAAAAAAAAAAAAAAAAATAGTTTCAGAAGCAGGCAGGACAACAGCCAGGAGCAATTTAAAAGAAAAAAATTAAAAGAAATTTCAGACCAGACCAAATATTAGACAAAATTCACGAAATAAGACTCATAACTAGACATAGCATGGTGCAATGGCTAACTTCAAGGATAAATAAATTTTACAGACTTTCAGGAATATTTTATTAAAGGTTACCTAGAAAGGAAAGACAATTATATTCCCTATATATAAACTTTCCTTTTTGTGATAAGAAAAAATTCATCCTTTCACCAAATATTTATTAAATTCCTACTATGTGCTGTTTAGGGGCTGGAGATAGAGCACTAATCAAACTGGATAAAGTCTTGGCCATGGAACTTATTTTCTAGTGGGAATATATGAATTCCATGGGCAGAATGAGGAAAGCCTACTAGAATAGATAATTTCTGTCTAGGCGGAAAAAATTTGTCTCACTATATATAATACAGGGTACATGCAATTCATTTTCTTTTTTAAAAATTTTTTTATTTCCATAGGTTATTGGAGAACAGGTGGTGTTTGTATATGAGTAAGTTCTTTAGTGGTGATTTGTGAGATTTTGGTGCACTCATCACCTGAGCAGTGTGCACTGCATCCTATTTGTTGTCTTTTACTCCTCACTCCCTTCCCACCCTTTCCCCTGAGTCTCCAAAGTCCATTGTGTCATTTTTATGCATTTGCATCCTCATAGCTTAGCTCCCACTTATGAATGAGAATATACAATGTTTGGTTTTCCATTCCTGAGTTACCTCACTTAGAATTAAGTCTCCAATTTCATCCAGGTCGTTGCAAATGCCATTGATTCATTCCTTTTTATGGCTGAGTAGTATTCCATCATATATGTATGCCAAAATTTCTTTACCTACTTGTTGATTGATGGGCATTTAGGTTGGTTCCACATTTTTGCAGTTTCAAGTTGTGCTGCTATAAACATGTGTGTGCAAGTATCTTTTTCATATAATGACTTCTTTTCCTCTGAGTAGATATTCAATAGTGGGATTACAAAATCAAATGGTAGTTCTAATTTTAGTTCTTTAGGGAATCTCCACACTGTTTTCCATAGTGATTGTACTAGTTTACCTTCCCACCAGCAGTGTAGAAGTGTTCCCTATTCTTTGCATCCACACCAACATCTATTTTTTTTTATTTTTTTATTATGGCCATTCTTGCAGGAGTAAGGTAGTATCACATTCTGGTTTTGATTTGCATTTCTCTGATCATTAGTGATGTCGAGCATTTTTTCATGTTTGTTGGCCATTTGTATATCTTGTTTTGAGAATTGATTATTCATGTCCTTAGCCCATTTTTCGATGAGATTGTTTATTTTTCCTTGCCAATTTGTTTGAGTTCATTGTAGATTCTGGATATTAGTCCTTTGTCACATGTATAAATTGTGAAGATTTTCTCCTACTCTGTGGGTTGTCTATTTACTCTGCTGACTGTTCCTTTTGCTGTGCAAAAGCTCTTTAGTTTAATTAAATGCCAGCTATTTATCTTTGTTTTTATTGAATTTGCTTTTGGGTTCTTGGTCATGAAATCCTTGCCTAAGCTAATGTATAGAAAGGTTTTCCAATGTTATCTTTTAAAATATTTATAGTTTCAGGTCTTAGATTTAAGTCGTTGATCCATCTTGAGTTGATTTTTGTATAAGGTGAGAGATGAGGATTCAGTTTCATTCTCCTACATGTGGCTTGCCAATTATCCCAGCACCATTTGTTGAATAGGGTGTTCTTTCCCTACTTTATGTTTTTCTTTGCTTTGTCAAAAATCAGTTGGCTGTAAGTATTTGGGCTTATTTCTGCATTCTCTATTCTGCTCCATTGGTCTCTGTGACTATTTATACACCAGTACCATGCTGTTTTGGTGACCATGGCTCTACAGTATAGTTTGAAATCAGGTAATGTGATGCCTTCAGATTTATTCTTTTTGCTTTGGCTATGTGGAATGTTCTTTGGTTCCATATGAATGTTAGGATTCTTTTTTCTAGTTCTGTGAAGAACAATGGTGGTATTTTTATGGGAATTTCATTGAATTTGTAGATTGCTTTTGGCAGTATGGTCATTTTTACAATATTGATTCTACCTATCCATGAGCATGGGATGTGTTTCCATTTGTTTGTGTCATCCATGGTTTCTTTCAGCCATGTTTTGTAGTTTTCCTTGTAGAGATCTTTCTTCTCCTTGGTGAGATATATTTCTAAGTTTTTTGTTGTTATTATTTGTTTTTATTTTGTGCAGCTACTGTAAAAGGGGTTGAGCTCTTCATTTGATTTTCAGCTTGGTCACTGTTGGTGTATAGAATAGCTACTGATCCGTGAACATTAATTTTGTATCCAGAAACTTTGCTGAATTATTTTATCAGTTCTAGGAGCTTTCTGGAAGAGACTTGAGGATTTTCTAGGTAAACAATCATATCATCAGCAAAAAGTGGCAGTTTGACTTCCTCTTTGCTGATTTGGATGTCCTTTATTTCTTTCTCTTGTCTGATTGCTCTGGCTAGGACTTCCAGTACTATGTTGAAGAGAAGTGGTGAGAGTGGGCATCCTTGTCTTGTTCCAGTTCTCAGAGGGAATGCTTTCAACTTTTCCCCATTCAGTATTATGTTGGCTATGGGTTTGTCATAGACGACTTTTATTATATTGAGGTATGTCCCTTGTATGCCAATTTTGCTGACAGTTTAATCGTAAAGCAATGCTGGATTTTGTCAAATGCTTTTTCTGCATCCATTGAGATGATCATGTGATTTTTGTTTTTAATTCTGTTTATGTGGTATATCACATTTATTGACTCGTGTATGTTAAAACATCCCTGTATCCCTGGCATGAAACCCACTTGATCATGGAAAATCATCTTTTGATATGCCATTGGATTTGGTTAGCTAGCATTTTGTTAAGGATTTTTGCATCTATGTTCGTCAGGGATACTGGTCTGTAGTTTTCTTTTTGGTTATGTCATTTCCTGGTTTTGGTATTAGGGTGATACTGGCTTCATAGAATTTGGGATGATTCCCTCTTCCTCTATCTTGTGGAATACTGTCAATGGGATTGGTACCAATTCTTCTTTGAATGTCTGGTAGAATTCTGCTGTGAATCCATCTGGTCCTGGAGTTTTTTTGTTGGTAATTTTTTAATTACCATTTCAATCTCACTGCTTATTACTGGTCTGTTCAGGGTATCTAATTCTTCCTGATTTAAGCTAGGAGGATTGTATCATTCCAGGAATTTATCCATCTCCTCTATTTGAGCTTATTTGAATTTTCTCTCTTCTTTTCTTGGTTAATCTTGCTAATGGTCTATCAACTGTATTTATCTTTTCAAAGAATTAGCTTTTATTTCATTTATCTTCTTTTTTTGTTTCAATTTCATTTAGTTCTGATCTGATCTTGCTTATTTCCTTTCTCTGCTGGGTTTGGGTTTGGTTTGTTCTTATTTCCTTAGTTCCTTGAGGTGTGACCTTAGATTGTCTGTTTGTGCTCTTTCAGACTTTTTAATGTAGGTGTTTAGGAAGATAAATTTTCCTCTTAGCACTGCCTTTTCTGTATCTCAGAGGTTTTGACAGGTTGTGTCACTATTATTGTTCAGTTCAAAGAAATTTTTAATTTTCATCTTGATTTCATTGTTGACCCAATAAAGGATGCAGGAGCAGTTTATTTAATTTCCATGTATTTACATGGTTTTGAAGGTTCCTTTTGGAGTTGATTTCCAGTTTTATTCCACTGTGGTCTGAGAGAGTGCTTTATATAATTTTAATTTTCTTAAATTTATTGAGGCTTATTTTGTAGCCTATCATATGGTCTATCTTGGAGAAAGTTCCATACGCTGATGAATAGAATGTATATTCTGCGGTTGTTGGGTAGAATGCCTTTTGTTAAGTCCATTTGTCCCAGGGTATAGTTTAAATCCATTGTTTCTTTGTTGACTTTCTGTCTTGATAACCTGTCTAGTGCTGTCAGAGGAGTATTGAAGTCCCCCACTATTATTGTGTTGCTTTCTATCTCATTTCTTAGGTCTAGCAGTAATTGTTTTATAAATTTGGGGGCTTCAGTGTTAGGTGCATATATACTTAGGATTCTGATATTTTCTTGTTGGACAAGGCCTTTTATCATTATATAATGTCCCTCTTCATCTTTTTTAACTGCTGTTGCTTTAAAGTTTATTTTGACTGATATAAGAATAGCTACTCCTGCTCATGTTTTGTGTCCATTTGCATGGAATGACTTTTTCCACCCCTTTACCTTAAGTTTATGTGAGTCCTTATGTGTTAGGTTAGTCTCTTGAAGGCAGCAAGTAGTTCGTTGGTGAATTCTTATCCATTCTGCAATTCCGTATTTTTTCAGTGGAGCATTTAGGCCATTTACATTCGACATTAGTATTGAGATGTGAGGTTCCATTCCATTTATCATGCTATTCGTTGCCTGTATACCTTAGTTTTCTGGGTTTTTTTTCAATTGTATTTTTGTTTTATAGGTCCTGTGAGATTTATGCTTTAAACAGGTTCTGTTTTGATGTGTTTCCAGGATTTGTTTCAAGGTTTAGAGGTCTTTTTAGCAGTTCTTATAGTGCTGGCTTGGTAGTGACAAATTCTCTCAGCATTTGATTGTCTGAAAAAGACTATATCTTTCCTTCATTTATGAAGCTTAGTTTCACTGGATACAAAATTCTTGGCTAATTGTTTTGTTTGAGGAGGCTGAATATAGGACCCCAATCGTTTGAGGAGGCCGAATATAGGGCCCCAATCCCTTCTAGCTTACAGGGTTTCTGCTGAGAAATCTGCTGTTAATCCAATAGGTTTTTCTTTACAGGTTACCTGGTCTTTTGTCTCACAGCTCTTAAGATTCTTTCTTTCATCTTAACTTTAGATAATCTGACGATAATGTGACTAGGTGATGATCTTTTTGTGATGAATTTCCCAGGTGTTCTGTGAGTTTCCTGTATTTGGATGTCTAGGTCTCTAGCAAGGCCAGGGAAGTTTCCCTCGATTATCCCCCCAAATATGTTTTCCAAACTTTTAGATTTCTCTTCTTCCTCAAAAATGCCAATTATACTTAGATTTGGTTATTTAACATAATCCCAGACTTCTTGGAGGCTTTGTTCATACTTTCTTATTCTTTTTTTTTTTTTTTGTCTTAGTCGGATTGGGTTAATTCAAAAACCTTGTCTTTGAGCTCTGAAGTTCTTTCATCTGCTTGTTCAATTCTATTGCTGAGACTTTCCAGAGCATTTTGCATTTCTATAAGTGCGTCCATGGTTTCCTGAAGTTTTTATTGTTTTTTAATTATGCTATCTATCTCATTGGAAATTTCTCCCCTCATTTCTTGTATCATTTTTTGGATTTCCTTAAATTGTGCTTTGCCTTTCTCTGGATCGCCCTGATTAACTTAATAATGAAACTTCTGAACTCTTTTTTAGGTTAATCAGGGATTTCTTCTTGTTTTGGATCCATTGCTGGTGAGCTAGTGTGATTTTTGGGGGGTGTTAAAGAACTTTGTCATATTACCAGAGTTGGTTTTCTGATTCCTTCTCATTTGGGTAGGCTCTGTCATAGGAAAGGCCTAGGGCTCAAGGCTGTGGTTCAGATTCTTTTGTCCCATGGAGTGTTCCCTTGATGTAGTGGTTTCCCCCTTTTCCTAGGGATGTGGCTTCCTGAGAGCCAAGATGTAGTGATTGTTATCTCCTCTGGATCTAGCCACCCAGCAAGTCTACCAGGCTCTGGGCTGGTACTGGGGGTTGTCTGCACAGAGTCGTGTGATGTGAACTGTCTGTGGGTCTCTCAGTCATGGATACCAGCCAGCACAGTATTTGGGGTGTCTTCCGGGTCCTGCAGGAGCAATCCACTTCCTTCAGATGGTCTATCAATTCTCTCAGCTTTCCTGATTTATTCCTGCAGTCATTCTGGAGCAAAAGTTCACAGTGCAAGCCTCCACATTCTGCTCTTTCCATCCAAGTGGGAGCTGCAATCTAGTCCTGCCTCCCATCCACCATTATCTCTCCAGCTACCTGAATTAAGTTCTGTGTGGCTTGGGACGCCTCACGATCATGGCAGAAGGTGAAAGGCACATCTCACATGGTGGCAGACAAAAGAAGAGAGCTCATTTTCTTTTGTGATACTCATTGTATCACAATGAGTAGATTAGGTTAGGTTCAGCTAGAAGAGTAAATTAACAGAGGCTCATATTTCTTTCATATATAAGTCCACAGCTAGGCAGTTCATGGGCATTACAGCATCTCAGCTGCACAGTCTTCAGAGATACAGCCTCCTCCAACCCTACACATTTACCCTGTACTCTCCCTCCCATGACAAACACACACACACACACATACATACACATATATACATACACCCCAATCAGGATTTGGGGAATCCCAGGAATCAGCATTTTAACAGGTATTGCAGGAAATTCTAAAACATGTAGTTTTTAACCCACTCTGAGAAATTCTAATGTAGGAGAATTAGGAAAAGGATGATAAAGTGACTCTCGCAGAATTGGTAATGAGAGGAAATAAAATGACTTCCAAGATTTAAACTATGCAATCAATGAATAATTGTTAAGAGCAAAGGTATGTAAAGTTACCTTAAAGAAACTCAGACCACTCACATTTAACAAAAACCTAACTTTTAAATATTTTATCATCTAAAGACACTATAAATGTGAAAGTGGATGGTGCAGAGTGAATCCACAGCCACAGTGGATTATTAAGGTACTATTAAGCTGTGGCTACCTATATCAAAGGCTGTATGTGAGATGATTTTCAACTTGGGGAGCTGGGCAAAAATAAATTTTGGCTTCCACAGTCTCATCTCCATTTCCTTCTGAAAGGAAAAAGAAAAGAAAAACGAAAATCCTGGGACAATGTATCATAAAGCCAGGTAAGAAACAGTTAACATTATTTTGTAACATCAATCATTTTACTTTTCCTTAACATAAGTGGAAAATTGAGTAGATTGTTCCTGTTTACCAAGTATGTTTTTGAAAATTCCTACCCACTGGTCCTGGTAGAAAATAGATGTGCTTCTGCCCAAATTAAGGAAAACTCCACAGACCTACACTACCACTCCCTGAACATTTTTCTTTATCTCTTCTTTTTACTGCATCCTATCCTCTTAAACTGCTATTTAATTTCCAAGTGAATTCTTCCACAGCTTCAAATCACTCAAGCAATCTCCCACTTTACTAAGGGATTCTTAGCATCAGATAGTTTCAGACTGGTGACAGGGTATTTATTAAAAGCATGAAGTCTGTGCTTTGCCAAGGAGACCTAAGACTGAGTAAGTCTCTTCAACTCTCGGAATGTAGTTTTTGTCATTTGAAAATTGACTTCTGTTGAAGATTTATTTTCTAAGATCCTAGTGAAATTTTAAGTGTATAATCACGATCCAAACATAACCAACATTCTTATACAGTGGTAGAGTTTAAGGGAAGCAATTTGACAAGTTGTACACAACCTTTCCCAAGCCCCACATTGTATGTACTTAAGAAAGACTACCTATAATCCATTTTATTACCCAACTGGGGGGTTCTGAATGATCCATTTTACTGCACAATTAGGGGGTTCTGAACCTAGATTTTAGCACTTCAGAGAATCATGGCACCTGCTGAGAGAGAGGATAGGCAGCAGAGAGAGAAACTGCGACACATATCCATCAGGTTGCTTTGCCTTCTAAGCTAACTGCTGAAGATCCTGTAGGGCCAGGCAGAAAAACCGTATTTTCTTGTCTTTTCAAATTTCAAATTCCCTTAAACCAAAGGCTGGACTCCAAATAATTTCGTTTGGAACTAAAGAGCTCATCCCCTCTGAGCACGAAAACAGGACTCTGTGACTCCGCCTCGCCGTAGACCGCAGGAGGGAGAAACAGCGCCAGGGAAACCCGAGCCTGTCCCATCGAGGCGGTCCCAGGCCAGCCCAGCCCACCCCAGCCCGCGCCAGCTACTGGAGCCCCAGGACGCAGCCGAGCGGCCCTCGCCGACTCCTTCCCGAGCCTGGCTGTGGCGTCACGTGACCCGCGGCGCGGCCAATCCGCGCAGCCCTCTATGCTATTCAAATCGGCGGCGGGGCCAACGGTTGTGCCGAGACTCGCCACTGCCGCGGCCGCTGGGCCTGAGTGTCGCCTTCGCCGCCATGGACGCCACCGGGCGCTGACAGACCTATGGAGAGTCAGGGTGTGCCTCCCGGGCCTTATCGGGCCACCAAGCTGGTAAGACAGCTCGGATAGACGGGACCGGTCAGCGGGCTGACGGCAGTCACCACTGTTCGCAGTTTTACCTCGACCGTTCGCAGTTTTACCTCGGTCGGAGGGATGAGTCCCAGGATCCCTAGGTTCAGTGAAAAGGCTGGCGAGGAGAAGTAGCGGGTATGCAACCCTTGCCAGACTCACCGCTCCCTCTATTTTGAGGGTCTGGGCCTCAGGTCCGAAAGGAAGCGCCGCGCGTAGGCCGCACCAGACTCGCTATGAGGAGCGACTCCTGTGCCTGGTGTGGCCGGCGTCCCGTGGGGGCGTCTTAGAATATTCCGATTTGGCCGCTCACCTCGCCTGATTTTCTACCCGCCTCAGAATTAGGGAACAATTGGGAATGAGGTCCAAAGCTTTGTAGGGTTAGGTGGGGGGCAAGCCCGAATGTGGCAATTTTGTTTATTGAACCCATAGAATTTAACGCAGGATGTATCGGCCGAATAGCACTAGGATAACAGCTGCCTGTTTCAAAACGGTATTTCTGAGTACCCATCAGTAACCACTGCTGGTGGTCCCTGAATTGCACGTACAGCACTCCTAACGCGTTTTGTGCAGTTGGGTCTTCGGTTCTATAGGATACTGTGGTGCTGGTTATGTGACGTTAGGTGAGTCCCCTACCTTCTGTGAGCCTGTTTCCACATTGGTAAAGGTTACTAATACATGCTTGCCTTAAGGGGTTTCCCAGGAGGATGCTGTTTTTTAAAGTGTGTTGTGATCTGCAGAATAACAAGCATTTTCCTCTTAGGAATGCCCTTCAGACGAGCATGTATTATTAGCCCTACTTTATCAGGTGCACACTGAGGCTCACAGACGTTAAATGCCCTCTAGAGTCACATCAACAGCAAGTGGCAGAGCTAGAATTCAGATCTTCCTGGTATGGCGATCTTACATGGATTCTGCTACTTAGTAAGTTATTGGCTATATTTACCAATATGAAGGATAGAATTTAGGACAGGAAGGAACCTCAATCAGTAGTCCTGCCACATTATTTAAAACCCATTAGATGAAAGTAGTATAAGCACGCTGAAAAAGAAAACATGCACTGAATGCTTACTAGTACTTCACATATATTACATCATTTTATCATTCCAATAAGCCCATTCGTTAGGTCCTTTTGTCCCTGTTTTGTGGTTAAGGAGATTGAGGCATAGAGATTGAAGATAGGCCCAAAAAGTCATAAACAATAGTGGCAGAGCTAGAGCTGGGAAACCAGCCCTACTAGTCTAACTCCAGAGCCTGTTCTTAAAGCCACTACCCTGTACTGCATCTCAGGAAAGCCGTTCTGTAATCTCCCTTAGTACAGAGTCCCTTTCTGTCATTTTTATTACTGTGTCCTCAGGCCAGTACAGAGTGAGCAGCTCAATATCAGTTTCTAGAGTCAATCACACCTGGGTTTGAATGCCTAGGTTCATCACTTAGCTGTGTGACCTTGGTCATTTTATTAATCTCTCTGCTTTATTTTCCTTATGTGAAAAATGAGAAATTAATAGTACCTATTCATAGAATTGGGGTAATTAAAGTGAAATAATGAATGTGAAGCACAGTGCTACCAACATTAATATTAATTGAGGTAAAAAACAGGGATGAATGTTTTCTCTATTGATTGTAGTTCTTCCTTATTTCCAGATTTCTTAAATAAGCTCAGGATCTTAAATAAGGATCTTAGATCAGCCAATGAAGTTCTTCTAATAAAAAAGCTATTACATAAAAATATTACTACAGCACTAGAATTAATAAAAAGAAAGCAGTGTAAGATATAATTTTTTTTTTTTTGAGACTGAGTTTTGCTCTTGTTGCCAAGGCTAGAGTGCAATGGTGCAATCTCAGCTCACCGCAACCTCCGCCTCCCAGGTTCAAGTGATTCTCCTGACTCAGCCTCCTGAGTAGCTGGGATTATAGGCATGCACCACTATGCCCAGCTAATTTTGTATTTTTAGTAGAGACGGAGTTTCTCCATATTGGTCAGGCTGGTCTCGAACTCCCGACCTCCGGTGATCCACCCGCATCGGCCTCCCAAAGTGCTGGGATTACAGGCATGAGCCACCGTGCCCGGCCAGATATAAAATTTTATATGGCACAAATAAGATGAATGATTCTTCAAGAATTTTTATGATATAATCAGATGTGAATTAAAGAATTTTCTTTACCTAATGTACTTCAAATCAATATGAGATTTAATTTTTCTTCAATTTTTTAAAAATATTTTCCTTCTTTTTACAGTGGAATGAAGTTACCACATCTTTTCGAGCAGGAATGCCTCTAAGAAAACACAGACAACACTTTAAAAAATATGGCAATTGTTTCACAGCAGGAGAAGCAGTGGATTGGCTTTATGACCTATTAAGAAATAATAGCAATTTTGGTCCTGAAGTTACAAGGCAACAGACTATCCAACTGTTGAGGAAATTTCTTAAGAATCATGTAATTGAAGATATCAAAGGGAGGTGGGGATCAGAAAATGTTGATGATAACAACCAGCTCTTCAGGTAATGAACAGATATGTAACTGTAAAACTGAATTACTGTAAAGTTTTATCTCTACTTATATTATACTTTTACTATAACAGCAGCTTCTTCAAAGAAGTTTTATTTCTTTGGAAAACTATTAATGCTGTTAGTTCAACTAAAATCATTTAGAAAAATTGTAATGTGAAAGTTAATTGCTACAAAATTTAAAGTTTTTAAGTGTTAGCATATATAATAAAGTAGGGAATTGGAAGGGAAATACTGATGTATTATCACTTCCGCATATTCTGAACACTTTATAACATTTTAAGGACATATTACTGACCTTTAGTTGCATAGTTTCTAGATTATAAGTTCACAGATCCTTCCCTTCAAACATATAATTTAATTTAAGAATACATGTAATAGGATAATAGCAAATCTTACATAATAAATAACAGACAAATAACAGGACCAGGTAAAGTGGCTCATGCCTGTAATCCCAGCACTTTGGGAGGCTGAGGTGGGCGGATCAACTTGAAGCTAGGAGTTTGAGACCAGCCTGGCTAACATGGTGAAACCCCGTCTCTACTAAAAATACAAAAAATGAGTTGGGTGTAGTAGCACACACCTGAGACTGAGGCACGAGAACTGCTTGAGCCTGGGAGGTGGAGGTTGCAGTGAGCTGAGATTGCACCACTGCACTCCAGCTTGGGCGACAGAGCAAGACTATCTCAAAAAATAACAATGATAACAGAAGAAATATACCACAGGTTAAAGAGAATATTTATTAAGCAGTTAAGATATAACAGAAACTCTGTTTGATGATTTACATATGTGTTCTTACTTAATTGCTATAGTAGCCAAGCAGGGTAGGTATTAACCCCTTTTAACAGATGGGGAAACTGAGACCATGCTTCAACAAATCTTGTTCTGTCTGCCTGAAATGTTTTTCCACCGTGAGACACTGTACACATTTGTCAGGCTAGTAAACTTATACATTTCTTTTAATCTCAGCTCCTTTATAGCCTCTTCTGTGGAGCTTTTCTGATTCCCACAGGTCAGCATAATTGCTTTTTCTCTTATGACCTACGGTTCTTTGTTATGTATCCATTAAACTAGGCCTGTGGAATCTAATGCCCATGCTTTTTTTTTCCTACAACATTAGGTACTTTTCAAATGAAATGTCTAAGAATTTATTGTTTCCTATGTACCAAAAATGATTTATGTCATACAAGTAAACTACAATAACAATCATATGAATAATCCATTTTGTATAGCACTCTACAAATCTTCCCTCTCTTAACTACTCCCCAGTTATCTTTGTGGGCTCCTTTACTGCTGCTCATCCTTTAACTCTCCCATCTTCAAGTTCCTGCCCTTGTCCTTACTTCACCTTCTCCCTAGGCAATCTCATGCCATGTCTTCGCCTACTTTTCTTAAGACTTTCAGGCCTCTCCTGAAATATCTTTCCTGAGCTTTCGGCCCATGTTTTTTCATCTGCCTCCTGGAAAGGCACTTCAAATAAACCATATAGAAAAATGACTATCACCCTCTAACCTAAGTTTTGTCTTCTTAGGTTTCCTATCTGAATAAATTGCATTGCCTTCCCTATAGTTGCCTTGATTCTTTCCCTTTCTTGTCCTTTAAATATGATTTAGTCTATTGTGCTCCCTAAGTAGTTCTCTGATCTGTACACATCTCTCTCCAAGATGAATCTTCTTTTTGTTAGGCTATAATTCTTACCTGGATTTCTCTTTATTTGTTTTGCTTTTGTTTTACCTGGATTTCTGCATAAATCCTCAACTAGTCTCTCTGCCCCTAGTCTTTTCTGCCTCCTGGGTTCAAGCTATCCTCCCACCTCAGCCTCCAAAGTAGTGGGGACTACAGGCACACACCACCACGCCCAGCTAATTTTTGAATTTTTTGTGGACACGGGGTTTCACTATGTTGCCCAGGCTGGTCTCAAACTCCTGAGCTCAAGGGATCCACCCACCTTGACCTTCCAAAGTGCTGGGATTACAGGCATGAGCCACCACGCCCGGCCTCTCCTAGTCTTTTACGATCGTAACAAAACTATAAAGTACATAAAAATAAAGTTTACCAAAAATGTGTAAGACCTTATTGGAGAAAAGTATTAAATTGTATTAAATAGAATAAATGGAGAAAGATACCCTGTTCATGAATGAAAATACTTAGTACATGTATATACAAGTCAATTCCTCCCAAATTGAAATAGAAATTCAGTGCATTTTCATTCAAAACTTCAATATAGTTTCTTTGTGGAACTTGATAAGCAGATTCTAAAATTCATTTGGTAAAAGTCTAAGAGAATTTTGAAGACCAAGGTCAAACTTCTGAGGTGTTCAAACTTTTGAGGTCACTACAAACTTTTTGAATAAATTTGATGTATGGGGCCAGGCAGAGTGGCTCACACCTGTAATCCCAGCACTTTTGGAGGCCAAGACAGGAGGATCACTTGAACCCAGGAGTTCGAGACCAGTCTGGATAACATAGGGAGACCCTGTCTCTACAAAAAAAAAAAAAAAAATTAATTAGCCAGGCATGGTGGCATATGCCTGTGGTCTCATCTACTTGGGAGGCCGAGCCCGGGAGGTTGAGACTGTAGTCAGCCGTGATCACACTACTGCACTCCATCCTGGGTGACAGAGTAAAACTTGGAGAAGAAAAAAAAATTGATATATGGTAAAAGATATGATAAAGTGAAAAAACACCAAACCACATATTGTTTATATACATTTATTAAAAGTATAAAAGCATGGAAAAGAAATACAACTATAGGTTTATTTTATGAAACTGTAAGTTTATATTTTACTCTCCCTTAGAGGGAGATATGAATGAGCAAAGAATTTCATTTTTTTTAAAAAAGGAGTTATTTACACTCCCACCAACAGTGTATAAACATTCCATTTTCTCCGCAACCTTGCCAGCACCTGTTATTTTTTTGTTTTTTAATAGTGTCCATTCTGACTGGTGTGAGATGGTATCTCATTATAGTTTTGATTTACATTTCTCCAATCAGTAATATTGAACTTTTTTCATATGCTTGTTGGCTGCATATATGTCTTCTTTTGAAAAGTGTCAGTTCATGTCCTTTGCCCCCTTTTTAATGGAGTTGCTTTTAAATTTAAGTTCCTTGTAAATGCTGGATACTAGACCTTTGTCAGATTCATAGTTTGCAAAAATTTTCTCCCATTCGATAGGTTGTCTGTTGACTCCATTGATAGTTTTCTTTTGCTGTGTAGCTCCTTCATGTAACTACAGTCCATTTGTCAATTTTTGCTTTTGTTGCAACTGCTTTTAGCATCTTCATCATGAAATCTTTGCCCATTCTAATGTCCAGAATGATATTGCCTAGGTTTTCTTCCAGGTTTTTTATAGTTTTGGGTTTTACACTTAACTCTTTAATCCATGTTGAGTTAATTTTTGTATATGGTGTAAGAAGGTGTCCCATTTCAATCTTCGGCATGTAACTTACCAGTTATCCCAGCACTATTTGTTAAATAGGAAATCATTTCCCCCATTGCTTGTTTTTGTCAGCTTTGCTGAAGATCAGTTGGTTGTAGGTGCATGGCCTTATTTCTGGGCTCTGTATTCTGTTTCATTAGTCTATGTGTTGGTTTTTATACCAGTACCATTTTGTTTTGGTTACTACAGGCCTGTAGTATAGTTTGAATTCTGGTAGCATGATGCCTCCAGCTTTGTTCTTTTTTCTTAGGATAGCCTTGGCTATTTGGGCTCTTTTTGGTTCCATATGAGTTGTGGACAACAGTATAATGATTCATTAAAATCCTAAAACCAAAACTACCATTTAACCTAACAATCCCTTTACTAGGTATATACCCTAAGGAATATAAATCATTCTGTCATGAAGACACATGTACACGTATGTTCATTGCAGCAGTATTCACAATAGCAAAGACAATGAGTCAACCTGAATGTCCCTCAGTGGTATACTGGATGAAGAAAATGTGTACATATACACCATGGAATAGTATGCAGCCATAAAAAAGAATGAGTTCATGTACTTTGCAGGAACATAGATGGAGGTGGAGGCAAACTAAGGAACAGAAAACTGAATATCACATGCTCTCACTTACAAGTGGGAGCTAACTGATGAGAACACATGGACACATAGAGGGGAACAATAGACACTGGGGCCTATTGGACAATGGAAGGTGTGAGGAGGGAGAGGTTCAGGAAAAATGACTAATGGGTACTAAATACTTGGGTGATGAAATAATCCGTACAACAAACCTCCACAACACAAGTTTACTTATGTAAGAAACCTGCACATGCACCCCTGAACTTAAAATAAAAGTTTAAAAAAATTAAAGGAGAAGTCTGGCAAAATGTCAACAATTACATTGGTTGCCAGTTACATACATGGGTATTGTTTTATTATATCTTTGAAGTATTTTATATTAAAATAAAAGGAGGCCAAAACATTACAATCAAAAGAAGCAATAGAAACTAAGTTCCAGAAATGAGGACAAACACAAACAAAAGAGGGAATATACAAACTAGATAACTCATCAAAGAAATTTAGAAAATGTAGCATTCTAGAGCCATTTTGTGTGTAAGCAATACCCCTCTACCAGAATTGACCCTAATAATAACCCTGAATTATCCAGAAATAAAGTTAAAATATACACAATATACTAAAGAAAAAAGGAACCTATTTTTTTTAAAGGTTTAATGGGAAAATTTATTTGTCTAGAATCTTTATTACTTGGTAGTATTAATAAGTCAGGCTCTTTATGTGAATTTTAAAAAAAAAATAGGCTCTAAAAGTTTGTTTCTAATCTCACATTATTTAATTGCTTATTGTTTTTAAACCAGATTTCCTGCAACTTCGCCACTTAAAACTCTACCACGAAGGTATCCAGAATTGAGAAAAAACAACATAGAGAACTTTTCCAAAGATAAAGATAGCATTTTTAAATTACGAAACTTATCTCGTAGAACTCCTAAAAGGCATGGATTACATTTATCTCAGGTAACACATCCTTTTACTAATTACTAGTTTAAATATAATTATGATGTACTCAATGATAGAATCATTAAAAGTAAATTATTCTTTAATATTTAAAGCCAGAACTGAAACCTCCTAACCTACATTACATTCTAAATATGTATATATAAAATTGTTTGTAACCCATAGAAAGAATAATAAAAATGATAGTGAGACATAATTGAAAACAACAGTTATATAATTTAAGTGTGTTTTGGTTTAAATTGATTTGAGGGTGGTAGGGACAACTGCAAAATTAAAAACTCCATTACCATATTACATTATTTCTTTGGGAGATACTTTATAGCTCCACAATGGACTGATAGTAATAGAATTATTGTTGCTTTCAATATTTAAAAAATTTGAGCATAACAGATTAAACCAAAATAATCCTTTTTTCAGGAAAATGGCGAGAAAATAAAGCATGAAATAATCAATGAAGATCAAGAAAATGCAATTGATAATAGAGAACTAAGCCAGGAAGATGTTGAAGAAGTTTGGAGATATGTTATTCTGATCTAGTAAGATAAAATTAAGCTTTAATGAAGTTCCTGATGTGTTCTGATTATTAATTTGACATTTTCATCAAAATATGCAAATGAATCAGAACAGATTAATTCTGAAAGCTTAGAATGCAACCTGTATATGTGTTTTTAAATAAATACTCTTGTTATAGCTCTAGTAGAGTAGAAATTGAATGTTTCGGTATGATTCACCTTTTCTTTGAATCAACATTATGGCCATAGTTTGGGATATATATTGGAATCCTTTTAAGATTATTGAGATAAATGTATTTGAAAGGGGATACTAAATATAAGTCTTAGAAATTTGGTTAAAAAAATAAAATATTCTGATGGCTTTGTTTACTAGTCATATTCATATGTATAATCTATTTATGAAGAAAAAAAGTTAATATTCTTTCTTCTATTTAGCCTGCAAACCATTTTAGGTGTGCCATCCCTAGAAGAAGTCATAAATCCAAAACAAGTAATTCCCCAATATATAATGTACAACATGGCCAATACAAGTAAACGTGGAGTAGTTATACTACAAAACAAATCAGGTTGGTATTAATAAAATAATTGGACTTTTAAAAACTTGCCAACAAGGTTGCAGCTATAGTAGTGTAAAGAGAGACCCAAATATTGAAAGTAGAATACTTTCATGGAGCATCAGAGGGGCTATCATAAGTTCTTTAGTAATAACAGTGGAATAATTTTTAAGTGAGTATTATTCGTGCTAGTATAAGAAATATTTTGTCTGCTAAGATAAATTCATGCATGGTATTTAAAAAAATGACAAAGTTAAGCATCCAAAAGGTATACAAATATAAGAAAAGTTTTGATTAAGCACATTTTTGTTGAGGGCCTCCAACACGTCAGAGATTGTGCTAAAGATTAATGATAAGTAAGATAGAAATGGTCCATACTCTCATGAGGCTTACATGAGTAGTTATGTACAAATTAACAGGAGTCAAACATATATACAAAACTGTAATAACACAACAAAATAAGCTCAGACTTTCAAGATGAGGATTCTAAAGGGACTGGCTTTTTTGTTTTATATATTTATATAGTTGATTGATTTCAGATTTAGATACAAAAATCAGGGAAATAATTCAAGCTAGATAGATGTATTAGAAAACTTAGATTATGAGAAAGGTATCCATAAATCTCTCAAAATCGTAGCTGATGTTTTTATGATAAGTTTCTGTCTGTGGAATTAACTGACATATGCTACTTTGGTTTTCTTTTTATGGGCAAGAACTTTGAGTTTTTAATTGTAGGAGCAAAAGGTAAATGTTAAAACTGATGAGTTTGCTATGTGGCATATGTATGTGGCTGTAGACCAGTCCCTTCTTCCATTACCTAAAATAATATGGTTAACAGTATATTCCCTCATTTAAGATTTCTATTCTTTGTAACCCTGTGTAAAAAAAATGCTAGATTTCTATGGAACATATTTTATTTAGTGGCACTCGAAAGATTTTAAGCAAACTTCACTATAAAAGCAGCATAATAGTGAGATACAGTTCATTTCAATCTTAGGTCTCACCCAAATCAGTAATATTCAAATAGCATAGCAATAGGCAGAATAGAAACAAGGATGAAGAAAAGATAGTGGTAGTAGATAAAAATGAACGTGGAGTTTATATCTAAACACTCCCTCAAAATAATCCTCAATTTGGCAGTATTTAATTGTTATGTGTAATATGAATCAAACTCAGAATCCATAATTTTTTCAGACTTTTTCTATTTTAAAATATTGACTTGATCCTGTGTCTTATTAAACATATAATACTTTTTAATCCTGGTAATACACACATATACAAATGTAACATGTATGTGTATGTGTATATACATATATATAATTGCACGTAAGTGTGATATTTTAAAATATACTATCATAAAAAATGTATGGTTTACTTAGTAATATTTTTCTTTTTGTGTAGATGACCTCCCTCACTGGGTATTATCTGCCATGAAGTGCCTAGCAAATTGTAAGTTAAATATATGTGTGTGTGTGTGTGTGTGTGTGTGTGTGTGTGTGTGTGTTATATTGATAGTATTTAACAAGAACCAAGGAAATTTAATAAAGTCCTGATAAAATTAAAGTATATCATTTCTCTTTATTTATAAATGAAAGTCTAGTGGAATTTATTACATTATGGAGCCCTTAATTTTTTCTGTTTAGAAAGGTGGCGATTTTTTAATTCAAGCATATTATTTATGGTTTAGTTCACATATATTATAAAGTCATAGCCTAGAGGATCTCAAAGGATTTTTTAAGTGAAATCCACACTAATTGCCTCAGTGAGGCTCAGAGTTCAAATGGCTTGAACTCCTTGGTATTTCTATAGTGTAGAAGCATAGAATACTAGATATATTAATGTGACTTTATGTTATGAAAAAAAAAGATTATCTGTCATTGTATTAGTTTGTTCTCGTGCTGCTGTAAAGAAATACTTGAGACTGGGTAATTTATAAAGCAAAGAGGTTTAATTGGCTCATGGTTCCACAGGTTGTATAGGAAACATGGCTGAGGAGGCCTCAGGAAACTTACAACTTACAGTCATGGCAGAAGGTGGAGGGGAAGCAGGCATGTCTTACATGGCTGGAGCAGGAGGAAGGTTGTGTGCAGAGGTGGTACGCACTTTTAAACAACCAGATCTTGTGATAACTCACTCAGTATCACAAGAACAGCACCAAAGGGGAAATACACCCCCATGATTCAATCACCTCCCACCAGGCCCCACCTCCAACACCGGGGATTACCAATTTGGCATGAGATTTGGGTGAGGACAGATCCAAACCTTATCAGTCACTAATCCAGAAATTTTTTTAGCATTTAATTGATCAAGCTTTTCGTAGTGATCAGTGATAATTGATTTTTGTAACATAAAACCCTAGTATGAGTACAAAATCCTAATTGCTTTCAAAGTTAATTTTTTAAATGTACAAAGATATAAGCTAAATCATCAAAAGCTAAATTATGTTTTAATAGTTACAAGTATAATTTTCTAGTTCATACAAAATTAGCATTTTCTAAATGCTAATAGGGTTTTATTAATGTTCAGGGTAACTTTATATTCCTTTGTTGTCCACTGGGTGTCAATATGATAAAATGACATTGAATAAATAGCAATAAATTAAATATATTTACAGAAACATTTTATCAAATTAAGATTAAAATCTTTATTATGAACTTAAGACTTGAATTTGTCTTTCTACTTTCCAGGTATAGTTAGCTATTCCTCTCTTTCATTCCTTTGCTCATGGTTAGGAATTCAGATAGGCATACTGACAGGGATTTCTCTGACATCTGGTCTTCAGGGATTCTGTCTTCCTTCTCGTTTCAGTCTATGTAATACCTAAACGATACCAATTATATAACTTACTGGATTCCAAATTAGCAACAATGTATTTAGCCAGAGGCAGTGTTAAGACTTACTTTACTTGTTATTCGATCCCCCAGAGTAATTCTGTGAGATGTAGGAATTAGTAATCAGTATACCATCCCAATTTTTCCAACAGAGAAAGCCAAAGCTTAGAGTATCTTCTTTTAGTGCAAATGAGCTAGAGCTCAAACCTAGATTCTCTATAAATTCTATATTTTTAATATTTTTAATTCCTGTAAACATGTATTTTCTGTCTTAGAGAACTTTCTAATGATTATCAAATCTTTTATTCCACATACTATTTCTTATGTCCTTAGAAAAATATCTATTTTGCTCTGTTGTTAAGAGTGTGTGTGTGTGTGTGTGTGTGTGTGAATTGTTTTCTTTAATTCTTTTTCAGTGTGTGCTCACATTTGTGTGTCCATACAAAAGTTTGGAAACAGAGAAGTAAGAAATATTATTTGGACTTGGGAAGAGAAACATTTTAACTTGAAAGATAGTATAATGGCTCTAAAACCTAGATGCATACCACAGTCACTAAAGAGACTCTCCAGAGATTCTGTAGGTCAGGAATCTTTAAAAAATATATATATATATATATGCCTCCAGAAGATTACTATAGTGAAGATTCTCAGGTTAGTGTTTGGAAAACACTCAGTGAACCAGAAGCAAACATTTCTAGGTCAGTAAATTTCTGGCCCCGCCTTCATGGATTATGGTCTCCATAGAGGACTTTGTATTTTTAATAGGCACATTGGATGATTCTGTGATATAATCTATGAACCACACTTTAAATGTTGTTGTAGCTTTAAAAGTCCTGGGCCTTGTGCTTATTTTACACTGCTCTAACTTCTAATTCAAACTTTGCTACCAGAGTCTTTTTCATCTTGGGCAAGGTACTCTCAGCCTCAGTTTTCTTATCTATAAAATGAGATCAGATCTTATTTTTGAGGAAAACACAAATGAGTAGGTATGATTATTTCAATAGTTGTGTCAAGCTTAAGAAACAACAATGTAAAGATATTATTTAAATTCATTAAGGCTATGCTTCATGTCAGACAAAATATATTCATGAACATGTAAATTTACAAAAAGACAATTTGAAGGAATTATTTGTGTTGTCCAAATATTCTTTCCTTTACAAAATGAATTACAATAAAATCTTATTAAACTAAGCTTCCCTAATGCTTTTAAAATGATATTAAAATTTTGCTTTATGTATGATTTTTCAGGTATACAAATGTTAAACAAAATACTAGCAATTGACTGCTTCCAGTGGAAAGATAATGAGGAAGAATGAAATACACCCTTTAAATTTTTGAACTGTGGCAGAATTTGTTGTTAAACCTAGCTCCTTCATGAAATACAGATTTTATACTTTTTATGTTTAAAAATTGTATTTAAATTAAAATATACTTTACCTTTTTCTCTTGCCTTCTACTTCTTAGGGCCAAGAAGCAATGATATGAATAATCCAACTTATGTTGGATTTGAACGAGATGTATTCAGAACAATCGCAGATTATTTTCTAGATCTCCCTGAACCTCTACTTACTTTTGAATATTACGAATTATTTGTAAACATTTTGGGTATGTATAGATTTTACTGATTTTAGTTCATTTTGTTAAAGTTTTCAACTTTCTTATAATTTAGAAGATCTAAAACCATAGGTAAATATAAAGGTGGCAGCCTACAAATTATTTTAAAATTCAGTGAAATAAGGTTCCGAGGTTACTCATACTTCCGCCCAGCCAACTACCAATTCGGGACTTCCCTCAACCCCCTACCAGACTCAATAATTCACTACAATGATTCACAGAACTCAGAAAAGCACTTTAACTATGACTATTAGTTTATTATAAAAGCTAGACCTCAAGAATAGCCAAATGGAAGAGTTACACAGAGCACGGTATGAGGGTGGGGGTGGCACAGAGTTTCTCTACCCTTTCTGGTCATGCCGTGATCCCAGCACATCCATGTGTTCACTAACCTAGAAAACTCCCTCAGCCTGCATGTTTTAGAGTTTTAATTGAAGTTTAATTACCAAGGCATGACTGACCAAATCATTGGTCACTGTTGTCAATTGAACTCAATCTCTAGCCCCTTTCTCCTCCCACAAGGTTGTAGTTGGTGATGAAAATTCAAACCATGGCCGGCCCTCAGTTACCTTAGCATGAACTCAGATACGCTGAAATAGGCTTGTTATGAGTAACTAAAGACTTCTATCATTCAGGAAATTTCAAGGATTTTAGGAGCTCCATACCAGGTACCAAGGACAAAGATCAAATATATGTATTTTATTATACCACAATTATCTTATATTTATGAGGTTTCTAGTACTTGCAGACTGAGAACAGATTTTTTAAATGTATTCTGGCTCAATCCATTTAATTAGGCTGTTGAAATAATTTTTTAAAGTTATATTACAAATGGGAAAACCACTCATCTGTCTTGCACGTTTGTAACCGAATGTTGCATGTGTCCTATTTAAGTGGCTTCTGAATTAAGCAACTACTGTGTATACTATACTAACAATATATACTATAGTAATGCTTTATTTTTTAACTTTACTATTGTTTTTGTTTTATTTTTGTCCACTGTCATACAGTTGCATCTTAATTTTTGTTTCATTTCCTGGTAGTTGTTTGTGGCTACATCACAGTTTCAGATAGATCCAGTGGGATACATAAAATTCAAGATGATCCACAGTCTTCAAAATTCCTTCACTTAAACAATTTGAATTCCTTCAAATCAACTGAGTGCCTTCTTCTCAGTCTGCTTCATAGAGAAAAAAACAAAGAAGAATCAGATTCTACTGAGAGACTACAGATAAGCAATCCAGGATTTCAAGAAAGATGTGCTAAGAAAATGCAGCTAGTTAATTTAAGAAACAGAAGAGTGAGTGCTAATGACATAATGGGAGGAAGTTGTCATAATTTAATAGGGTTAAGTAATATGCATGATCTATCCTCTAACAGCAAACCAAGGTGCTGTTCTTTGGAAGGAATTGTAGATGTGCCAGGGAATTCAAGTAAAGAGGCATCCAGTGTCTTTCATCAATCTTTTCCGAACATAGAAGGACAAAATAATAAACTGTTTTTAGAGTCTAAGCCCAAACAGGAATTCCTGTTGAATCTTCATTCAGAGGAAAATATTCAAAAGCCATTCAGTGCTGGTTTTAAGAGAACCTCTACTTTGACTGTTCAAGACCAAGAGGAGTTGTGTAATGGGAAATGCAAGTCAAAACAGCTTTGTAGGTCTCAGAGTTTGCTTTTAAGAAGTAGTACAAGAAGGAATAGTTATATCAATACACCAGTGGCTGAAATTATCATGAAACCAAATGTTGGACAAGGCAGCACAAGTGTGCAAACAGCTATGGAAAGTGAACTCGGAGAGTCTAGTGCCACAATCAATAAAAGACTCTGCAAAAGTACAATAGAACTTTCAGAAAATTCTTTACTTCCAGCTTCTTCTATGTTGACTGGCACACAAAGTAAGGCTGTTGCTTTCAATGCATGCAATATTAACTTTGAGTGTTTACTAACTCTGTGTTTTGCTTACCTGGCTTTTCTTCCTTGAAGTTGCTTAATTTTTTTTCCTCCAAGAGGAATTATTTAAAAAGACTTTTGTCTGTGACATAACCAAGATTTATTCTGTTTACCTAAGGAACTTATTTTCTTTTTTGCAATTTCATTTATTCTGAGTCACTTTATTTGTAATAAGTGAAGAATTTTAATACTTAGAAATAAGTTGTAAAGAAAATAATGAGAATCTTACCATGCTTTAGAGGAACGTAATTTCTAGAAATAGTTAAAAGATGAAATACTAAGATATTATTTTACCTTCTTTATATAGCTGTATATACTGGTAGTATGAAAGCAACTAGTGTCATTGATGATTTTTGGGGGGGTATTTTTGTATTCTAGGCTTGCTGCAACCTCATTTAGAGAGGGTTGCCATCGATGCTCTACAGTTATGTTGTTTGTTACTTCCCCCACCAAATCGTAGAAAGCTTCAACTTTTAATGCGTATGATTTCCCGAATGAGTCAAAATGTTGATATGCCCAAACTTCATGATGCAATGGGTACGAGGTCACTGGTAAGTTGATTTCTTATAGAAAGAATAAGTCTGATTCATAAACCAAAATAACAAAACCAAACTACGTAAAAGTACTACTCAAGTGATGTCTTAGTCTTAAAGTGCTAGATTCTTAGGTTGGAAAGGCTCTTTAACCTTTCCTAGCAGCAGAATTTTGGTGTATTAATCTTTTGTGCACACTCTGTTATACTTTCACATGCTGATGTTAATCCTGGCTAAGGACTTTGCCTGCTCATTCATCCTGAATCACTTCATAGTGATTGACCAGTCAGACCACGTTATGTTGCCTTGTGCCAATTCTGTTTGGTGGATAAGGAAGAAGAAATGTAGGTACTGTTGAAAGCCTAAGGAGACTATAACTGTGGACGCAGAGAACTAATGGAACTTAATACAGTAAGTCAGTGTTTCAGAGAATATAGTAATGGAAAAGTAGGTCATCGTGGACAAGAAGTTGGGAAGCACTATTGCCAAACAGCCTTAGGCTCCTTGTGAAAATGAGGATAAGGGCATTTATATGCAGACAATTGATTGGAAATGAACTCTTGAAATAGTATCTTTAATCTCTTTCTTTTTTTTTAAGTCACCACTTCCTCAAAATGCAACTTCAATTTACAAGAGGTTCTTATAGCAAGGAATCCGGAGTTATGCTTTCTTCCACGCGTTATTAAAGATAGTTCTTTAACAATGACAGACCTAATATAAAGAAGAAGAATTATTCTTGAGTAATTATAGCACTATTAAAAAGCTAGGAAGTTTATAGAGGAAGATGTTTTCAGAGACATGACTGGGAAGGTGATAATTTTGGTTTTGCACTTTTAAGATTTGAAGTCATAGGACCTCCAAGAGAAATTGAAATTTGTCCAACAGAATGTTGGAAATATGAGCCAGGTGAAGAAAGATCAGGGGAGAATGCAAATTGATTTGGTCATTTACATAGGGATAGTACTTGAAGCTATGAGAGTAGATGAGCTCTACAAGGCTAAGAGTGTGAAGAAAGAGCAAAAGGCTGAGGTCTGAGCCATGGAAGGAGACAGGAAACCCCGAGTGATGTGTAGGAATAAAACTAAAAATGTATCAATTCTATAAATATTCTGATCATCTACTATGTGTGAAATATTTAAAACAATTCTGATTTCTAAGTATTTTAGAATGAGGGGTGTGTGTGTGTGTGTGTGTGTGTGTGTGTGGTACAGTTAGAGGGTTGCATAGATATAAGTGAAAGTAACGAGAGTAATAAGTGAGAGTAATCAATTTTATCCCAGGATTTGAAGATCCCATAAGATGGAATTGAAAAATGTGTGTTTTAAATTGCTGTCTAAAGACTGACAGAATAAACATTTTTAAAAACTATTTTCCAGCATTTCAAAAGCTAAATGGCATCAGCTTTGCAACCACTTATGAATAGAAGTGTTCTATATGTTACACATTCTCCTGGTTTGTGTTTTTCTGTGGGATTCATTTAATGTAATTAGTTATTGTTCTCTGACAATCTTTAAGCTTAAGCAACATATATATGTGGTATTAATAGAACCTATGGTGTTTACTGATAAAATTGTGACAAAATTGTAGAAAAACCAAAGCCTTTTATAATTCTTGGGAATTACATTAAGGATATACTTTTTTTTTTTTTTTCTGGTTACACAGGATCACGCTCTGTTTCCCAGGCTAGAGTACAGTGGTGTGATCATAGCTCACTGCACCCTGGAATTCCTGGGCTCAAAAAATCCTTCTGCCTCACTCTCCCAAGTAGCTGGAACCACAGTCATGCACCATCATGCCTGGCTAGTTTTTTATTTCTTCATAGGTATAGGGTTTCACTATGTTGCCTAGGCTGGCTTCGAACTCCTTGCCTCAAGTGAGCCTCTCACCTCAGCCTCCCAAAGTGCTTAGATTACAGGCATGAACCACCATGCTCAGCCATGGAAAAACTTTAAAAAGGATTTATGTATAATCAAATTCTTACATTTCTAACTGTATAAATCGTTGTCCTCATTTTTAAACTGAGGGCTGCTTACCACTTTTTCCCAATACTTCACATAATGCTACCTGGAAATTACCGATATTCTAGTTTGTATGCAACCTTAGCTTTTTAAATTCACATCTTTTAATATTTTTCTAGATGATACATACCTTTTCTCGATGTGTGTTATGCTGTGCTGAAGAAGTGGATCTTGATGAGCTTCTTGCTGGAAGATTAGTTTCTTTCTTAATGGATCATCATCAGGAAATTCTTCAAGTACCCTCTTACTTACAGACTGCAGTGGAAAAACATCTTGACTACTTAAAAAAGGGACATGTAAGTATTGTGAGTCTTAAAATTCTCTGCAATAGTCAGTTGCAAGTGGCAAACTCATCTCAAAATAGCTTAATCAAAAAGGGAGACTTTATCAGCTCCCATAAACAACCTCTAAAAGTCAGGAATGTAGACAGAATCTGGGACTCAAATAGCTATATGACTCTTTCCATCCCTCCATCTCTTATTTCTGTGTTGATCCTGTGTTTGACAATGGCTCCTTCACATGATGAGGAATGTGGCTAGTTGAAGTTCATGAGTTAGAGCCTTACATTTGCAATTCAAAGGAAAAAGAGCCATTCCTCCGTCTCCAATTTAAAAGCTCTGGATGTAGACTCTTAGCATAGTTGAGGTTAAATATGCATCGTTTAGGTTGTTAAGAGTGAGTAGGATGGAGATAGGGCCTTACTCTGATTGGTTCTACACAAAGGAGAATTTATTCTTCACAAAAGGTGAAGGTAGAGGGGTAAAATGGGAAGGAACTATTAAAAGAAGGAGAGAAGGAATACTGAGCAGCCAAAATAACAGACATCTACTGTATTCTGTCTTTGGCTGCCCAACACATGTTTATGTTTTTCCCATACATACCATTCTAATATTGCCCTGGCTTATAATTATAACTATCTCCTAGAATTTCTTTCTCTTATCAGAAGATGTTAGAAGCTCTGCCTATGTCCCTAGGCCTCAAAAAAAAAAAAAATACATGAAAACTAAAAATATTTCATTTCAGTAAATATGCTGATCATCTACTACCTGCACTGTCAGAACATTAAAGTCTTAAGATGAATTAGAATAACACTTAGATTGTTATTTTATAGTTAAAAGAATAAAATCCATAGTTAATGGTAATAATTATAATACCTGTCTTTATTTAATGCTTATTGTGGGCTGAGCCCTTTCTATACATTTTCTTATGTAATTTCCATTTTAATGATGAAGAAACAGACCAAGAAAAGTTAAATACATTGTTGAATGCTACAAACCAAGTAGATTATGGAGCTGGGGTTTAGAACCTACTGACTTACATACCTCTACTGCATAATACATAGTTTTTTTAATGGCTGAATGTTTGATTGGTGGTAAATTAATAGGTGCTAGATCCCATCAAAAGAATACTTTATCATATAAGAACATGACCAGAATTAACAGAGTTATATCATTTTGATCACTACAGATTGAAAATCCTGGAGATGGACTATTTGCTCCTTTGCCAACTTACTCATACTGTAAGCAGATTAGTGCTCAGGAGTTTGATGAGCAAAAAGTTTCTACCTCTCAAGCTGCAATTGCAGAACTTTTAGAAAATATTATTAAAAACAGGAGTTTACCTCTAAAGGAGAAAAGAAAAAAACTAAAACAGGTAAGAGAATGAGCAAGTTCTCAATCATGTAAACATTTTCTAATGTGCTGTTCCTGGTTGTTAATAACATTTAGAATCTACTTTCTTATTTTAATATTTTAGATTTTAAGTTTGAGTTATATAGACTATATATTATGATGTCTTGTATATGTGCGTTAACCTAAAACATGTGAGTACCTACCTGATTTTGCTCTTTATCCTGAATTTTAAAATAATACCAACAGTAATAATATATACTCTCCTTTTTCACTGGTATTTTGTATAATTATAGCTTGGATTAGCCTGGGAAAGCAATTTATAAGGTATGGATATGTATCTTTGAGTGACTTATCACTGTTTTAGAATTTTTAGCTCTGAAAGCCCAGTAGCCACATGATTTTGGCATGTCTAATTCTAAGTCTGAGACACTGAAAGAAATATGAATACTAGATGCCTATGCCCTTCATAGGTTTTATCAGTGGGAAAGAAGATCTGGAATTTAGGGGGAGAATTAACATCGGAAGAGAAAGAATCCTAAAATGTTAATGTTAATGAGATCTAAGAGATCTTATAGTATTCACATGAGAAGAGAGAGGGAAAGGCAAGGATAAAATGAAAGGATACTAATCTCTATACTACGTCTTTGAGAAAAACACTGAATTCTTATAAAATGTTGAGCACTGCTTCAGCTTGGGAAATAATGTTAAATACCTTCTAATTTCTCACCTCATTTTTAAGTTTCAGAAGGAATATCCTTTGATATATCAGAAAAGATTTCCAACCACGGAGAGTGAAGCAGCACTTTTTGGTGACAAACCTACAATCAAGCAACCAATGCTGATTTTAAGAAAACCAAAGTTCCGTAGTCTAAGATAACTAACTGAATTAAAAATTATGTAATACTTGTGGAACTTTGATAAATGAAGCCATATCTGAGAATGTAGCTACTCAAAAGGAAGTCTGTCATTAATAAGGTATTTCTAAATAAACACATTATGTAAGGAAGTGCCAAAATAGTTATCAATGTGAGACTCTTAGGAAACTAACTAGATCTCAATTGAGAGCACATAACAATAGATGATACCAAATACTTTTTGTTTTTAACACAGCTATCCAGTAAGGCTATCATGATGTGTGCTAAAATTTTATTTACTTGAATTTTGAAAACTGAGCTGTGTTAGGGATTAAACTATAATTCTGTTCTTAAAAGAAAATTTATCTGCAAATGTGCAAGTTCTGAGATATTAGCTAATGAATTAGTTGTTTGGGGTTACTTCTTTGTTTCTAAGTATAAGAATGTGAAGAATATTTGAAAACTCAATGAAATAATTCTCAGCTGCCAAATGTTGCACTCTTTTATATATTCTTTTTCCACTTTTGATCTATTTATATATATGTATGTGTTTTTAAAATATGTGTATATTTTATCAGATTTGGTTTTGCCTTAAATATTATCCCCAATTGCTTCAGTCATTCATTTGTTCAGTATATATATTTTGAATTCTAGTTTTCATAATCTATTAGAAGATGGGGATATAAAAGAAGTATAAGGCAATCATATATTCATTCAAAAGATATTTATTTAGCAACTGCTATGTGCCTTTCGTTGTTCCAGATATGCAGAGACAATGATAAATAAAACATATAATCTCTTCCATAAGGTATTTATTTTTTAATCAAG
The DNA here is from genome assembly GCF_000001405.40 of Homo sapiens. Taxonomy (NCBI): domain Eukaryota; kingdom Metazoa; phylum Chordata; class Mammalia; order Primates; family Hominidae; genus Homo; species Homo sapiens. Next base: position 68,476,126 of record NC_000001.11, on the reverse strand, counting down.
GGAGATACACCTATCAGATGTTTAAAATAACAACACTACCCACTGAAATCAGGGCATATAGAATCATTCAGCTAAAGAGTGACTTCTATGATGATGGAACAGGTCTCTAAGCTAGTGGTTTTCAAACTGGTACACATTAGACTCACCCGAGGAATTTTAAAACAGCCTATATGCCCAGGGCCTAACTTACACTAATTAAATCTGAATTTTGGGGATGTTGTATAGGGATTAGTATTTTTTTTAATCTAGGTGATTCCAATATTCAGCCAACTGTGAGAATCAATGGCCTAAATGCTTTTTATAAACATTTTTATAAGTGTCAAGATAATGGCACATTGACTTTATTTTTTCATTGGAAGAAAATGCCTGCCAAGTATAAATGACTCTCATCTTAAAACAAGGTTCTTCAGGTTTCTGCTTGATTGACTTGGTACAAACTTGAAGCAAGTTGCCTTCTAATTTTTACTCCAAGATTGTTTCATATCTATTCCTTAAGTGTAAAGAAATATATAATGCATGGTTTGTAATAAAATCTTAATGTTTAATGACTGTTCTCATTTCTCAATGTAATTTCATACTGTTTCTCTATAAAATGATAGTATTCCATTTAACATTACTGATTTTTATTAAAAACCTGGACAGAAAATTATAAATTATAAATATGACTTTATCCTGGCTATAAAATTATTGAACCAAAATGAATTCTTTCTAAGGCATTTGAATACTAAAACGTTTATTGTTTATAGATATGTAAAATGTGGATTATGTTGCAAATTGAGATTAAAATTATTTGGGGTTTTGTAACAATATAATTTTGCTTTTGTATTATAGACAAATATATAAATAATAAAGGCAGGCAACTTTCATTTGCACTAATGTACATGCAATTGAGATTACAAAATACATGGTACAATGCTTTAATAACAAACTCTGCCAGTCAGGTTTGAATCCTACTGTGCTATTAACTAGCTAGTAAACTCAGACAAGTTACTTAACTTCTCTAAGCCCCAGTTTTGTTATCTATAAAATGAATATTATAATAGTACCTCTTTTTAGGATTGCGAGGATTAAGCAGGATAATGCATGTAAAGTGTTAGCACAGTGTCTCACATAGAATAAGCACTCTATAAATATTTTACTAGAATCACCTAGGATTATAGCACTAGAAGAGATCTTAGCAAAAATGTGGTCCTTTCTGTTGCTTTGGACAGACATGAACCAAAACAAAATTACGGACAATTGATGAGCCTTATTAACTATCTTTTCATTATGAGACAAAGGTTCTGATTATGCCTACTGGTTGAAATTTTTTAATCTAGTCAAGAAGGAAAATTTGATGAGGAAGGAAGGAATGGATATCTTCAGAAGGGCTTCGCCTAAGCTGGAACATGGATAGATTCCATTCTAACATAAAGATCTTTAAGTTCAAATATAGATGAGTTGACTGGTAGATTTGGTGGTAGTTGCTTTCTCGGGATATAAGAAGCAAAATCAACTGCTACAAGTAAAGAGGGGATGGGGAAGGTGTTGCACATTTAAAGAGAGAAAGTGTGAAAAAGCCTAATTGTGGGAATGCACAGGTTTCACCAGATCAGATGATGTCTGGTTATTCTGTAAATTATAGTTCTTATCCCAGAAATTACTGCCTCCACCATCCCTAATATCTTCTAATTGGTATCATATAATGACCCACTCTTCTTATGTTATCCAAACAGTTATGTGGCATTTAGTAATGGAATGTACATGGAATTTCCCACTGACTTACCTTTCTGTCCTTGGGAAGCTTAAACTCTGAATCTTCTCATCTGTAAAATGTGAATTAAAGTATCTACCTAACTGAGTTGTGATTGTAGTGAAAGAAAGGCAATATATTTAAATCTTGAATTTAGCAAGCCCACGCTTGATTTTTATGTCCTTTCCTCTTGCCTTGTATTGAGTTTAAGATCTCTACTGATTAAAACTCTTTTGCTATCAAGTTTCTTTTCTTGTGTCTCACAATATATTTTCTACCCTATCAGTGGTAATATTTTCTTTACCTCGTTTTTGGTGAAATGAAAGATGGTTATGGAATTTTATATCCTGGTAATCTGTACGACCAAGAGATATACCACCCTTTTATTTTGAAAGTGGAGAGAGAGAGAGAGAGAATGTGTGTGCATGCATGCGTGTGTGTGTGGGGGGGAGGGTGGTATTGTTGAAGAATTTCTGGGAAAGAAATGAAGGATAGCTAGTTTTAATATTGAATTAAATTGAAAGAAAATCGTTTCACCAAAATTAATTTAACAGTTCTAAATACAGTAAGTACAGCAACTCAGACTTATGTATTTACTCAGAATTAACTTCTATTAAGAATTTTTTGTTTTCTCAGAACTGGGAGAAACATATATGTTAGTTGTTTTTATGTCTTCTGAAAACCTCTCAGAATGTGTAGTGAGGAAACAGAATTTATTAGACAAGTAAAAGTATTGTTCGACTTCTGCTCATTATAAAAACTCACAATTTTTCTACCAAAGCATAGCTTCATGTATATTAATGGACTTCCAAATTGTCCCTTCTATCATAAGCAACTAGGAAATGAGCTAAAATATATGAAACAACCCTTTTCAAACATTGGACTACAGGTAATGCAGGGCTATGATCCCCAAGAGAGGGAAAACAGGTGATGAGCCTTGTGATTTCCCCAACTTATTGCCTGAAGGCAGTTGCCAGCAGAGGAACCAAAATAAAGCCCAGTGGTCTCACTGCAATTAAGAAACCAAAGATGACTGAGTTCAGAATCACTCAGGCAGCTGCAAAGAAAAAGAGCTCCAGAGATCTGCAGAGTAGTCCTCCCTAGAGGTTTTTGTTGAGTATTAATTAGCATGGGGTAAAGGAAATGACTTGAGTAGTATGTAACAAAGCCAAGGAAGGAATGATTGGAAAGCAGTGAACAGTTCCTGGGTCTCACAGGGCTAAGAATAGTTAACATTCCCATCAGCCAAAATGGAGAAAGCTTGTAATACAGGGGACATTGGGTGACATCCTCAACATGGTTGTGCTTTAGTAGCAGGGCCAAATTAGTTTTAGAATAAAAGCTGCTATGGATTTACTCTAACATTTAAAAGCAAGCCTTAAAATGTTCAAATTGGTCTTCAAGTAGCACTGTGTGCCAGAACAAAGTTTCCCACTCAAGAAACAGCAAAATCCAGCATTCAGCAATGTAAAAATCACAATGTTGATCATCCAATCAAAAATTACTAGACATGCAAAGAAACAAAAAATATGACACAGAGTCAGGAGAAAAAATGAATCAATCAAAACATACCCAGAAATGGTAGAGGTAATGGAATTAACAGGCAAACTTCCAAGGAGTTATTATAAATATAATATTCTAGGATAAAAAAGAAATCAGAAATAAAGTAATAGAAATGGAAGACATAAAAAGGATTCAAATAAAATTCAAAAAAAGAAAAATGCAGTATCCAAATTGAAAAAAATACATGGAATGGGATTAACAGAAAATTAGATACAGCAGAAGAGAGGTTGGTGAATTCAAAAATATCAGTAGAAACTAAAACAATATATAAAGAGAAAACAAAACAAAAAAAAATGAAAGGCGCCTCAGTGAGCTGTGTAAAAACATGAAACATTAACATGTGCAATTGGAGGCTGAGAAGGAAGGGGAAGAACACAAAATTATTGGCCAAAGATAATGACTAATTTTTTTCTAGATGTGATGAAAAACATAAACTCACAGAAGCTAAAGTAACCTCAAGCAAAAAATAAAAAAAAAACAAAACAAAACAAAACATAAAACCACACCAAGGCACATATAATCAAGTTGCTGGAAACCAGTAATAAAAAGAAAAATCTTAACAGTAGCCAGAGACAAAACATATACAGAGTAACAAAAAGTAAGAATGAAGGTAGATTGCTTGTCAAAAACTACGCAATCCAGAAAACAATTGAGTGATATGTGATTGTAGGTTTGCTAAGTTGGCTGGGAGCTGATGTCAGCTTCTTAGGACTACTCCTAGTTTTGTCTTAGATCATGTTCCCCACAATACTGAGACAAATATTTGTGTTTATGAGGTTTACTTGAGAATGACATTTGTAAGAAAGTGATGGAGGTGGGATGGGGCAAAAGAAAAAATTTAACCACAATGCAATTGCAATAAAGGCCTCAGTTGATCCCATGGGGGGTCCTGGAGCTGTGATGACTTTTCAGAATTGTCCCAAATTAAGAAATGGGGCTGGGTCTTTTACCTTCATATAAACCAGTCAATGGATATGGGCTGATCCTGGGGAAGAGATGTAAGCTTGGTAACGTAGTTCCCTTTAGCCAAGCACAGTTCCTAAAGAGGAATGTAGCCAATATTCCTGACAGCTGGAGGAATAAATGACTCAACTCTGAAAGAATCTGTGCAGAACACCCCACATTCACTACTAGGGACCCCTAGCATTAAAACTAAAAAAAAAAAAAAAAAAAAAAAAGGTTTTGTGTTAATATGTAAGAGACAGAAGGAATGAGAACAGTGGTTTTGGTTATCTTAAAATTTAATATTTATTGATTATTTCATATTTAAAAATATATATAGATGATTTGGAAATGAAAGTTTAAATCACTTATAATCTTATCATCCAGATATGATCCTATGAAAATCTTGGAGTAGTCTATCTCCAGAACTTTATATCTCTTAACTACTCAAGAAAAAGTACCTTTTTGTCTTCTAAAGCTTATATGATTAGCTAGGGTTAAAGATTTGCAATAACTTTCCTTAAAAATTCATGAGGCCAGGCGTGGTGGCTCATGCTGTAATCCCAGCACTTTGGGAGGCCGAGGCGGGCGGATCACCTGAGATAGGGAGTTCGAGACCAGCCTGACCAACATGGAGAAACCCTGTCTCAACTAAAAAATCAAAATTAGCCGGGTGTGGTGGCACATGCCTATAATCCCAGCTACTTGGGAGGCTGAGGCAGGAGAATTGCTTGAACCCGGGAGGCAGAGGTTGCGGTGAGCCAACATCACACGATTGCACTCCAGCCTGGGCAACAAGAGCAAAACTCCATCTCAAAAAAAAAAAAAAAAAAATTTCATGGTAACACTAAAAATACAGTGATAAAAGACCTGCCATTTTTGTTTATTACATACAATGTCTCAGACTTTTGTATTCATGTGTTTTCATTAGGTTTCTGATTTATAACTCGGAAATTCCTGCATTCATCTTTAGATCTTAGCAGTCTCCATCTGTCTTCTGATTGCTCAGTAATCTGATCTGTCAGGCAGCACCTTATGCCCAAGCAAAGAATCGGAATCTCTTTCTTTTCTCCAACTTAATGGATCTTCATGTGTCCCATCCACACAGGCTTATAGTCTACCTTTTACTGGATAGAAATGCTACTAAGCATTACTCTACTCATTCATTAAAGTGAAAATTAAATTTCAACATCAACCATAAACTGGAAGGAATTACACAAATTATAAATTACTCAAATATTGGTTGAAATTTAACTTTTGGAATCAGCATTGGATAATTTCTAAAGTAATTCTTTATGCATTTTTTTAAGTGACTCTCAGGCAGCAGTGCCATCTGCAGGCCTCCTCTGATGCAGCTCTTTTTAGTTTATGGAAATTTCTTCTTAAAATGGATTTGGCTCTACTAAATATAGCTTTATAATGTCAAATACAAAGTGATGTTATTCACAAATTTTAAAAAGGTGAATTTACAGGTACAGATCTCTGATAGAAATCTTTTAACCACTAAGCTAATATCGACTGTCTATATTAATAATCAAAATATCAAACATAATGCACAGCATCTGGAATATATATGGAATGAGCACGGATTTTGGGGATCACACAGAACTGCGTTCTTGGGACTCATTACTTACCAGCTGTGTGAAACCTTTAAAATGTTACTTAAACTTTCTGAGATGCAGGCTTTTTATTTAAAATATGGGGATAATATTTTCTTCATTAAATGTTTGAGAGTTCTCAAATGACATGTATAAAGTGCCTAGTACAGAATGTGCATACAGTATGCCTTCAATTGATAATAGTGCCCTTTTCCTTGAAATTAAAACAGAAATATCTCTAGACCATTTATTGCTTTTGTGCCCAGAAAATTTAAAAGTTGTGAACATATCATTGCCCTTTTAGAGAAAATAGAGTATGAAGGAACTGTCTTCCTAGAAAACTTATCCATCTCTTTTCATTCTGACATCCTTTAAAATTTAGCTATAGATGTATATGTTAATACCTGCATAGAATATTACTGTTAGATAGTTATAAGAAATTGATAAATAGTGGTTGCTGAATTTTGGAGCTATAAAAGGGTCTTATTTCTTAATGTGTATATCCTTGGTATTATTTTAATTGCAATCATGTACAATATTACTTTTTGAAAATAAAAACACACAAAAACCACCTAGAAAAGAAAAATATATGAGACTGCCCTTACATTAAAAATGGACGATAAGGCCAAGCATGGTGGCTAATGCCTGTAGTCCCAGCACTTTGGGAGACCGAGACAAGCAGATTGCTTGAACCCAGGAGTTCAAGACCAGCCTGTGCAACATGGTGAAACCCCATCTCTACAAAACATACAAAAAGTAGCCCAGTGGTGTAGGCCTGAAATCCCACCTACTTGGGAGGCTGAAATGGGAGGATCACTGAGCCCAGGGAGCTTGAGGTTGCAGTGAGCCATGATTGCACCACTGCACTCCAGCCTGGGCAACAGAGTGAGACACTGTCTTAAAAAACAAAAACAAAAAAAAAACAAACAGAAAAGATAATTATCTCTCCCCATCTAATCTTTGCTTCTAAGTATAACAAGATATAAAAAAAAGAAAGTTTAAAAGAGCAATTCAGATTTTGTATAAACTTCCTTTGGAATCATAAAATATACTCTTAAGGGAACCTGTATACAATTTTCCTCAAAATTGATTAGAATAAACTACCTATAATTCTCTGAGGAAGCAGAGGCTGAGCTAGATATATTCAACTGCTAGCTCTTTGTCATGTAGTAGACAATGGTTTCTATTTGCAGACTTTTAAACAAAGCACTCTGCCTTGAAGTGAGCCTACCATCTACGTGGAAAACTAACATAAGTACGGTTACCTTGGTACATGCTACAAGGAGACAAGATTCTTTACCTATCTAACAAAATACTTAAGGCATGTTACATGTATTCCTCATACTATGATGATGCAGACATTGCAGGTTAGGCTAGAAGAGATACAATAAAATCTGTGATATCTGGAAGATATAGGTTAGAAGAATTGGTAATTAATTATCTTACCTGTAGTTTCCAAAGACTTCTGAATCAAATTTATTAGACTTTAACATCTACTATGTTATTGCATAGTATCCACAGTAATAGTCACCAATCTCTGCCACCCTTCACCTGACTAAATCAGACTAATTTCTTAGTACTCAGCTGAGGCACCACCTACCCTACTAAGTGGATCTCCTCCTGTGTGTGCTCCCAAAAGACCCTGTATCTGTGTCCATTACTGAACTTACCACATTTTGTTAAAATATTTTGTTTATATGCCTGGCTTCTTCCATCAAACCATGAGTTTCTGGAGAGTAAGAACTTTCTTGTTCATTTTTATTAACTCCAATACCTATCACAGTACCTAGTGAAGTAAATCAAACTATTTCACTCCAAAATATATTTCCTTGACATATTTTGAGATAGCTGTTTAGAAATCCTGTAAACAGAAGTAGCTCTACCAAGCTGTCTTTTGTGGAGGAGATTTACATCTGTAGAGAATCTGCATTGATGCAGGCAGGCCTTCTCTTGTCCAGATCTAGGAAAGATTAACTGAGAGTCAGAACCCTTTAAAGGTCTGAAAGAAACATTTACCATCTATTCTCTTTGAGGGTTACTACCTGTGAGGTTTCATTTATCTAACAAGACCATCTTTGCTAGCCAGGCCTCCTCTTCTCTTCTCTCTCCCATAACATGTCTTGCCAATATAACCTGATTTAACCACCATCATCTGTTTTGGGCCATGCTCTGAGCCCCTATTTTTTCTGTATCCTCCAGACAGTATATGAGCTTCTGAATTTCATCACTCTGTGACTCTCCCCGTGTGCATGCTAATAGATTTATATGCTTTCTCCAAGCTGGCTTTTGTCATGTGATTTTTCAGTGAACCTTCACAAGGTAGATATTTTCCCTTGGCTCCTACATTAACATATACTTAGAAGTTACTCAAAAGATGTTAAATGAAATAAATGGAAGACTGGGTTTGTGTCAGGCCTGTGGCGCCAAAGTCTGTACATAAGAAAGCTTTGACAATGTTTCTGAAAAGTCCTCTTCCATAGTTTCTTGATTTTGATAAAATCAATCAGATTTTTGACTCCTCAGAAGGAAACAGTCAATCCTCATTATTCATAATTCTATATTTGCAAATTCACCTACTTGCTAAAATGGATTTGTAACCCCCAAATCAGTACTTGCAGCACTTTCATGGCTATTCAAAGACATACCCAGAGTGGTGTAATATTTGAGTCACCCAACATACACATTTCTTATCAAAGTCAAACAAGGTGATATTCTACCATCTTGTTTCAGCTCTTCTACTGTAAACAAGTGTCCTTTTTGAGGTGTGTTTAGTGCCACATTTTTCTGCTTTTTGTTGCCCATATCACTGTCTGAAATGGCCACAAAGTCTGGTTCTGAGATACTGTCTAGAGTCCCTGAGGACAAGGCCAATGTGCCTTACTAACAGAGAAAACGTATATGTTAGATAAACTTCATTCAGGTCTGAGTTATAGTGCTGTTGGCTGTGCATTCGATGTTAATGAATCAGCAATATACATAAAATAATGTGTCTTTATAATAGAAATAAATATAAAATAAGGTAATGTATTGATTCATTGATAAAAATGTTGGGCTTACAGTAGCCTAATCTTGTGTATCGGCTAGGAGCAAAAGTTCAGTATTCACTAATTCAGTATTTGCAGTGACTTTATAGAACATAACTTCTACAAATAATGAGAATCAATTGTAGTACCATATGTTTACAAAACAGTGGAGGTATCATGGTTGATTTGTTTTTCCTAAATATTTCTATATTTTCCAAATTTATAATCATGAATATGTACTAATTTTATGACAAGGAATAAAGCTTTTAAAAACAGAGACACTGTTTGTGATACTGTAGTATGAGTAAAAAGTAATTATGTAGCAGTCAGATCTAGGTTTGAGTCACCATTCTGCCACTTACTACCTATGTAACTTTGGAAAAGTTGTTTAACTTTTCATAACCTATTTCCCCATTTGTAAAACCAGGATAACACTATGGGACTTTATTCTGAGGATTAGAAACAATATAGCTAAGTTATCCAGCTCAATATTTAGCATACAATGGACATGCAATAAAAATGCAGGTATGAATATTATTAACTTTCTCCTATGATTAAACTACAGAAAATCTAGCCTCAATGGCTCACACATCTTTGGGAAATCATGACTTTTATCCTAGTTATTATCCCCATTCATAAGCACAAATTTTACAAACTCAATGCCTCAGCTTCTCATCCCTTATGTTCATTCTATCATTTTTTTTTAAGAGAGACAGGGTCTCACACTGTTGCCTAGGCTGCAGTGCAGTGGTACAATTATAGCTCATTACAGCCTCCAACTCCTAGGCTTAAGTGACCCTCCTGCCTCAGCCTCTGTAGTCACTGGGACCACAGGTACACACCACCACGCCTGATTAATTGTTGTTTTATTTTTCATAGAGATGGAGTCTTGCTATATTGTCCACTCCTGGCCTCAAGTGATCCTGCTGTTTCAGCCTCTCAAAGCGATGGGATTACAAACATGAGCCATCACACCCAGCTTATCAACTGTTTTTGAGTGTTCATGATGGGCAGGAACTATACTAACGTTGATTAAAATAGACAAGGGTCTTGCCTTGGTTCTTGCCATGGGTTAAAACATGTAATTTAGACTTTTGTAGGAGAACTATAGTGATTTTCACTTCCACTTACATACCCCTTTGAATACTGGGATATAGGGTTAAGACAATTAACCATAAAATATAGCATATTCTAAAAAATGCTTCTTTTTCAAATAAAGTCCCATCAAGTATTTGCTCAGGGACCACCCCAGTTGTTTGTTCTTTAAACTGCTTAATATGTGTGGCATTGGAGTGTTTGATTTTCTTTCAAACAATAATTCTCCAAAGCATGTTCCACATGTTCCCTTTCTTTGAGAGTTCATGACATTCTCCTCTTTCTTTCTGACAACCTGGGCAGATTAACATAGCAATACACTTACACTAGGTTAGTCTGCGATGGTCAACAGGACCTGACTAGTGTACACATTTAACATTTCTAAAATGAAAACTATTTCTAAAAGGAGTTTTTGAGAATAACTGAATTCATACCCCAGTTACATTTAATAAGGTTGATTTAACTTGAACAGAATTAGTGACAGAATTTATGCTTCTAAAACTAAACTACACAATGGGAAGTTCCCCTTGACCTCCCATACAGGGAGGGGTAGCAGTGTGTTTCTGTGTTTCTCCTTACTTCTGTGTTTCTCTGCCAGTCATGATCTGCCCACCTGTGTTGCCCTGTTCCTTGGTGTAGGGGCATTTGAAGTGTCACTTCCTGTGTTCTCATATTTTGTCCAAGAGGCAGAAAAATTCTCTCCACCTATGGCCCAGTGTCCTGTTGCTCCCATGAACAGAACAGTTTGCTCCCCTCTCCCGTGGGATGCAGCCCTTCTGCATTTGTCTATTTGATCTTATCTCAGCTTTTAAGTTGCGTTCTGTGTCTCTCTACCTTACATTATCATGTCCTCTCTCTGCATATTCTCTTCTGCTTCAGTGCTCCACCATGTTGGAAAGACTATTTACCTTTGGGAAATGATTTTATTTTGCCACCAGGAAACCACTCCTTTCCCCTAGTGTTTCTTCTCTCACACGCCACGGATCCCGAGAACAGGACACAATAAGTAGATTTTCTTCATTCCAGAGCATCCTGGGCCATAGCTACACAGCAGGGATCAAAGCAGGCACACATCAAAAGCAACCCTGCTGAGAAATGCGGCCCTGAGGCTTCAGCGCCTCAGGCTCATTATCCTCACTGCCTGAAAGTCATGTATATCTCATCTCGTCTTCCCCTTGTCTGCTGTTCCTTCTCCACACCCAGCAGAGATCCACTCTTTACTAAACTTTCTTAACAACTCAAGATAAAAACTCTTTCCCCTTCTCTTCCCCTGCTTCTTCCTCTCCTAATTAACTGATAAACAATTTCAGTGATACTCACATGTTCACTTAACATTTCTTAAACCCTTACTTTGTGCCAGGTACTATGTTAAGTGATGGGGCTAGAAAAATGAACGACACCTTCCCTGCTCTCAAATAGCTTTTTAACTAATGGAGCAAGACAGGCAACACCTAAACAGATCTATATAGTGTGATGAAGTTGGTGGTAGAGGCAGGCACAGATCTTTTGAGAGTAAATGGGAGAGGCCCCATTTCTTATACAAGGTGATGCCCTTGCTGAATATTTTGCCAGACAAAGGGTGTAGAGATGTAGGGAAGGGGAATGGGGGTGTATGTCCTGGCAGACAGCTGGAAATCAAAAGGGTGAGAATAGCAGAGGTGCTCTGAGGTGGGGAGGGTAATAGAAGAAGGTCAGGATTGCTGAACTATGTATTTGTAGCAGGGAATTACTAGAGATAGGGCTAGCAAGAAAGAACATCACAGAAATTCATTTGAGTCATATTCAAGAACTTCAACTTTATCCTGTACAGATGAGCTTTATGGCCAGGTGCAGTGGCTTACACCTGTATTCCCAGCACTTCGGGAGGCCAAGGCAGGTGGATCACCTGAGGTCCGGTGTTCAAGACAAGACTGGCCAACATGACAAAACCTCTTCTCTACTAAAAATACAAAAATTAGCCCAGTGCAGTGGCGTGTGCCTGTAGTCTCAGCTACTGGGGAGGCTGAGGCAGGAGAAACACTTGAATCTGGGAGGGCGAGGTTGCAGTGAGCCATGAACACGCCACTGTACTTCAGCCTGGGTGACAGAGAGAGACTCCAACTCAAAAAAAAAAAAAAAAAGAAAGAAAGAAAAGAAAAATAAGCTTTACTAAAATATAACCTCCTTTGGTAGGTAGAATAATGGGGCCCCAAATCAGTCCACATCCTAATGTCCAAAACCTGCGATTATGTTACCTTACGTGATAAAATAAAACTTTGCATAAGTGATTAAAGTGAGAATTCTGAGGTGAGGAAATTATCCTGGATTATCTGGATGTACTCAATATAATCACAAGAGTCCTTATAAGAGGAAAGCAGGAGGATCAGTCAAAGAGAGAAGGTGTAGAGATGGAAGCAGAAATCAGAGAGGAGAGAAGATGCTGTGCTGCTGATTTAACAGAGGGAGGAGGGTGCCACAAGCCAAGGACTATAAGCAGCCTCTAGAAACTGGAACCAGCAAGGGAACATCTTATCCCCCAGGGGCTTCAGAAAGAGTTTGTTGTGACAGATGCTGGGAATTTGCCAGATGGACAAGGGAAGGAAAGGAGGTCCAAGCAAAGGGCTAGATGGGGTGAAGAAAGGGAAGCCTGAAACTATTTTAGACTTCTGAACTCCAGAACTATAAGATAATAAATTTGTGTTGTTTTGAGCCACTTAAATGTGTGGTAATTTGTTACAGCAGCAATTGGAAACTAATACATTCTTTGAGAGCAGGAATTTTTGTTTCACTTGCTGCTGTATCTCTAGTGCCTGAACACTGTCCAGTACATAGAAGACACTCAGTAAACATTTGTAAAGTGAGTGAGGGAGGGAGGACTCACAATGAGGAACCCACAGAGAAGACCTGAGGCCTAACTACTGAGTCCTCAGTGCATAGCATGTGACTGTTTTGCCCCACCATCTTGACCTAATGTGCTTTTCCATTAGTATTCAAGGTCATATGCCAGGGAATAATTGAACACACAGGACAGATAGGACCCATCTTTCTGCAGAATCAATTTGTCATAACATTTTGGAGAAGAAAAAGGATGTACTCATGTAAACATAGTATTTTATGTGGTAGGCTATATGAATTTTTAAGAAACTTCAAAGAAATGTGGTCCCTCCAGCCGGTGGCCTCTGGCTAGGTCTTAAACATGGAGCATCTTTTGGTGAAGAGAGTTGAGAAGCGCATGAATACTGTTAATGATGGGAAAATCCCCACTCAGGCAGAGCTGCTCTCTTAAGCTCTCCACGTGTTATTCTCTTCTGTCTTATGAGAAGAGTTTCTGAGCATTTTTCTTTACTATGTTTCCAAAATTGATATTCATTTGCTATGGTTTGCCTTTCTTATTACTCTGCTACCACCTTGTAAATCAAGGTTTACAATGATCTATATGATCTTTTACAAATCGCTTAACCTCTTTGGGTCTTAGTTTCTTCACCTGTAAACTGAGTATTTTCCACCAAGAGATCTTTAAGGTCTACCTCAAATTTTAAATTATGTGATAATATGTTCTATAGGATTAGTTAACTGCTAATAATAGGTGGCTCAGAGCAAAGCAAATATTTATTTCTTAATGCCTGTTCCTTATTTTTAATTATAGTTTGTATCAGGTAACTATTTTTGCATTAAACAGCCACCCCAAAATTTAGAGACTTAAAAGTAATGAACACTTATTTAGCTCACAATTCTGTAGGTGATCAATTTCACCTGGAATCTGAAGGGCACGTTTTCTGGTCTTGGCTGCTATAGAATGGCCTCAGCTGAAATGTCTCATTTCTGCTTCATGTGGTCTCTTATTCTCTAGCAGGTTACCCTGGGCTTTTTCTCAAGACAGAGGCAAAATCTCAAAAGACAGAGTGGAATTGTTCAAGGCCTGCAGAAGATTAGGCTTGGAACTGGTGCACTGTCCCTTCCACTGCATTTTACTGGCCTAAGGAAGTCACATGGCCAGCCCAGATTTAAGAATTGGAAAAATAGACTCATCTCTTGATAAGAGGAGTTGCCCAGACACATTGCAGAGAGCATGGAAATAGGGAAAATATAAATTTGGGCCACCATTTCTGTCAATCTTCCCCATTGTCCAATGATTTTTTTCTTTCTTCCCTATAGTATCTTAGCTACTCTCATTCTTAACTGACAATAATAATAATAATAATAGCTAACAATTTACTGAGAACTTGTTGCCAGACACTATTTTTAGCACTTTACATTAATAATTTATTTTTTACAAGAATTCTTTGAGGTAGGTACAATTATTCTTGGTATATTACAATGAAGAAACTGAGGAACAGGAAGGTGAAACAATTTACCTTTGCACCAGGAAACAAAAGGCCTCAGAGGATAAATTCTGTGATGATGATGATAATTTAATAGCAATCTCTGGATCATCTGAGAACATGAACACCTTTACAGAGCTCCTGTCACACCAAAAGGCATTTCTTTTCCACAAGATTCAGAGGCTAAACCACTTGAGGAAGTGAAGTTGTCCTATCATTGTTAAAGAGATATTTGTACATTTACCATCTAAGCCAGAAAACAAAAACAAAGTAACGACAACAACAACAACAACAAAACCCTTTTCAATCATTTGTAATGGGAAGAATTCCTCTGCATAAGATTTCCTCACCATCTTTATGGAATCCGTTTTAATTTCAGCATTATGTATCAAGTGACAATGGTGCTGGGCACTGGGCATATTAAGATCCACAGGGACTTTGCGTTTGACATATTAAACTCAACTGATTAGACAATTCTAGAGGAAGCACCAAATAAGAAAGTCTACAGCAGTGAGCCTGTCCTCAGAGCCACTAACGTCACTCAACAACCTCAACTTTGAAGTCTTCTCTGTCCAGTAAGTCCAAGATCCTCTGCCTTTATGTCTGATCTGCTTCTGTTTAGAGCTTGCCTTTTAAACTTTTCCTTCTTTGAAACAGCTATCAATACACTCTACTGTGTCTGCCTTGTTTCAGTTAGCTCACATTTCCTACTCTAGTGTTTCTCAACCTTGCGTAATATATTAAAACACACCTAAAGAGTCACAATCTTCAGGAGAGAACCGTATCTCTAACAAGTGCCACTGGTGAGTCTTATAATCACGTAGATTTGGTAAATCCTGCCATACCTATTAACTAGATTGACTTTAAATACAGTCTAATTCTGATGGGCTTAATTGGATCCTAAAAGCTGGGTTCATGAAAATTGGTTTCCGTGGTGAGAAGTAAACTTTGCCTGGGAACTCAGCCTGGGCATTCTGTTTCAACGTGTTGGGTATAGCCCAACCAGGAGGCAAAACCTAGGGTTCTCATTCCTAATAATTAAATGTGATGTGGAAAATTGCTAACTGGTATCCATATAGGCTACACATGGGCTGTTGGAAATAAACATTCTCTGGTGGCAGAAAAGAATAAGACTGATAAATATAAAAACAAATATGCTCTAATATGCCTAAAATCTAGTTGCTATATGCTATAACAATGCCATTTCAATTTTGACTGAATTGAAAGTAAAAGTAATGAGACCCCTCAGGTTTTTACTATAGGTTAGATTACTAATCTTTTTGAAATTTAATATCCCAATATGTAAAATGGGAGATTTGGATGAGATTATCTCTAAACTCCTTTAAAGACAAGAATCTTGGATTCCAAGAGTCAGTTTAGTGAAACAAAATATAACAAGTCATGGACATGACTGAAAAGTTTATTGAATTGATTGCAGTTTTACTATACTGATTAATTAATATGATAAAGACCAATAAATCCATCTGTTTCTACAAGCCCAGCTAATATTTTTCATTTAATCCAAGTTTTGATATGAAAGAGGAAAGAAGAAGGAATTCCTTGTCATTCCTTTACTTCTCGTTCCAGACCTGAAAGGGTCCCGTGCTCGAACGATTGTTGAAATAGTGCTCACCTATTTCAAAGTGCAGGAATTCCTTTAATGTCCTTCAGAAAATCGGCTGGGCATATTGGCTCATGACTGTAATCCCAGGACTTTGGGACGCTGAAGTGGGGGGATCATTTGAAGCCAGGAGTTCCAGATCCACCTGGGCAACATAGAGAGATCCCCATCTCTACAAAAATAAAAATAAACAAATTAGCTAGGCATGATGGCATGTGCCTTTAATCCTAGTTACTGGGGAGGGTGAGTCAGAGGGATTGCTTTGTTCTAATAGTTTGAAGTTGCCATGAGTTATGATCACCACTGTACTCTAGCATGGGCAAAAGGGCAAAATTCTGTCAGAAGAAAGGAAGAGAGGAAGAGAGGAAGGGAGGAAGGGAAGAAGGGAGGAAGGAAAAGAAAGAAAGGGAGGGAGGGAGGGAAGGAAGGAAGGAGCCACCCTGCTTCTTCTACCCCATTTCAAATTTTAACTTTACTGATTATTTCAAATCTGTTATCATGTGCTAATTATGAATTTTGCAGCCGTAATAATCTAAGGTAGATCTTTTGAATGTAACAGTTGAAATGTAATTTCAGTGCAATTGGAACCTTTCTAAATCCAGTTGTTAAAAGAATTCCTAGTTAAACAAAACATCTCTAATTAATGAATGCAAAAAATAATAATTTTGGTATTGAAAAACTTGTCCTCACAAAAAGAAATGAAATAGGAACTTAATAGTAGATTATTCAGACAAAAAAATAAAGTGTTCATTTAGAAGTATGAACATCAGCGATCAAAGTGTTTTTTAAGGCCAAGATTCTTTGGGTAATTGCCTTAACTGCACACAGCTTGTGCAGAAATGATTAACTTAGCTAAAGAAAGATTATGAGGGATTTACAGTGGAAAAAAAATTGCTAGCAGACCTGATTGAGTGTGAATTTCTGCATTTACAGATTGATGTCAGAGAATGACGTTGTAGCAGTTTCATGAAATATTTCACAGCTTTAATGCACATTTTTGTGCTGTTATCAGCAGCTGCAAACTAATCATCACAGCCTGCATGGTAAACTATTAGAATCTACTAATCTGCCCACCACCCAGCTTTTTTAAATCCTCATATGCAAGATAAGCAGATTCTGGAAATAACTAATTTAACAAGTCTGATTTAGGCATCCTTAATGGATTATAGTCTGCTATTTTACCTTTTCATAATTACATTTGATGTCTTATCAAATGTTTCACCAAATGCTTAATTATAAAATAAGATTAAAGCCTAATAACTTACACATAACCTTACCACATTTTCTCTTATATGTGGCTTTTCTCCTTCTCTTCTCCTGTGTGTTCTTGTCCTATTTTATCGTTTGCATACAAGGACCTTCAAAATACAACTAATTCTGGCAGAGGTTTTCAAATCGAACTCTCTTTTATAGACTTGATTGGAATTTAAGGTATTGAACATGACTTGAATAGCTTGGCCTGAGCTAAAACATTTTATTCCACAGATATTTTTTAAAAATAACCTGCTTGCCCATTCTCTATAATAGCCCAAGTCCATCCATTTGGTTATAAAATACCCACTTTGCTGAACAGGCAGTTTTAGAGGACACCTCTTGGGAAATGGGAATTCTCTTTATAAACCATAATAATAACATCCTCATCAGATATAGATATTTCTATGGAGAATGGCTTACCTTTTCTTTTCCAGCTTGCCTTTCAGACTAATTTTACTGATGGTGAATTAGCCTTGAGAAGGATACATGAGGTACTGTTCATTCATCTATTTATTCATTCATTTCTCAACATTATTCGAGATCCTAGGGACAGATACAAGGATCTTGCTGCCATGGACATGGTACACAATTAGTTGCTGTCCTTTTTTGCCTCAGCATTTTTTGCCACATAGCTGTATTGACCATATTGTGAAGTAAGTACTGAATAATACACAAGTAGACACATAATTAGCTTCTGTCTTCTTTGAATTTAGTGGATTCAAATAAGTGAATAACTGTTCACTTGTTTAAATGTGAAGCCAAAAGAACTGGAAAAATAAAGTCATCACTAGAAGATTATTATTAGAACTTTAGAAAACATATATGGAACTTAACATATTATAACACACCACCCTCAGTGGGGGGTTGAGAATGAATGCACTGGCCATTCAATTGAGAGATGTCAGGGCAATTAGCTAAAAGTAACCAAAAGACTCATTTATCCAAAATAACTTCCTTGACCATCAATTTTGATACAAAAAATTCATACTGTCCGTTTACCTATTCATTCACTGATACCTACTATATGCTCTGTAGTTTGCTAGACAATGGGAATAAAAGACTAAATAAGATACCCTGGTCCTGACTCTAGAGAAGTTTACAAACTGGTTGGAGAAAGAGATGAATACATTGCCAGTTACAAAATAATGAAACAAGTGCTATAACAGGGACAGCATAAGGCTATAATGTAACACAAGTCGTATGTTGTGTATTTTTTGGTTATATTGCCTGTTGCCTCACTAGGATGAAGTTTGATTTAAAAAAAGGAATTTGTCTTCTATTTCACTGCCATATACATAGGATATGACAGGAAACATTTATAGTTTATAAATCTAACAGTAGTCTTTCTTAGGTTTCTTACCTCCTATATTATTTAACTTCCACTACCACCATATCATACCTAATGATTTTAGTCATGAAACTTTATCATCTCATTTTCTCATATCTAAAGATTCACAGCATAAATTCTTCCCACCCTGACACACTGTTCTATATGAAGGTCAGACAGTTCTCTGAAATTATTTCAAAACAAGTCTTCATCAATTTATGAACTTCAGCTTCCAACTAAGATTGAGCACTAGGGACCATAGTTGGTCTGTGCCTAAAATAATTTAAAAATAAAACAACAGTGTTTAAGATACAAGACATCAGAAAATAAAGAACAATAATCACTAAACAAGGTGAAAGCCATCCGATTGCAACATCTTAGTGTTATAAAAAGTTTCCAGGCTGTGATATGCAAGAAGTGAGCATAGATAAAGCCAGCCAACACACTTTCGAAGTTGAGGAGATGAAGCTGAGAATCTAGAAAGAATGAGGTGACTAGGATTTACTTATTAAGTAATGAGTTCTACAATACAGTGACAAATTAACAGGGGCACTACTCTCAAGAAACTCTCTAGGTAGGGAATCAAACATAAAAACAGATAATAAATACACACTGGTAAAAAGAAAAATAAATATAAGTGTGGACATTCAGTCCATTTATTAATAACTCTCTCTTATTAGGAAGCCTATTCTTTATTGTCTGAAAAGGCCCCCTCAAGCAATCTATTAATTCCAAAAAATTCCATAAACTGGCTCAGCACAGCCAGAATTCCTAATGCTATTAGAATAGCTCTTTGTCTGATACCTACAGTAAGAGGTTAAGTGGTTTTAATCTACACTTGAGGTTCTTTGATCAAATAAACCAGTTCTCTGGTCCAAAGAGTCCAAAGAGTCAGGGAGAAGGGTCTCTTTTCCTAGAAGATTTCAGCCTCCCATTCTTCTTAGCATTTGCACTGACTGTCATGACCTGAGAACTTCCAAGTGTACCATAGGCCTTCAATAGCTGAGCCACCATTAATCCAATACGGCTGACCCAGAATCCTCTTTTGTGCTTTTTTTTGGTGGATGTGAATCAAGAGCTGATTAACTAAAATCAGAGTACAATCAAGATTTTAAGTAAAATACTTCAAATTCTTTTTAAAAAAATCATTAAGCACTCATTTATAAACAAAACTTTTACTCTTGCCTGCTCAGTTCATTCAGGCAGCTCTTCTAGTGGGCCTCTACTAACTTAGTCAACCATCAACAAATTTTAAGCTCTTGTACTGATGCCCTAAGCATAATGAAGCAGAAGTGTTGCAGGAAGCCTGCTGCCAGGCGCTACCTTTTCAAAACATTAAATGTCAAAACATATCACACTCAAGCCAGAGACCACAAGTAATTTTGATGTTTATTACTCACACAGGCAGTGGAAGGCAAGAAGGATTCTCTAAATGAGAGATGAAACCCACCAGCAAGAGGGCACTCTGACATCCACTAGAGGGGGGAAAATAGAAAGATACATGGCCAGGGCTATCCCTAGGTCCCTCTTCCCCATGACATTTTTGAATGATGCCTGGGCAGACTAAGTTCTGGCAGTGGTGGAGAGACAAGAGGAGCAGGGAAGGTTGCCTTGCATGTGATTTATGGGTGTGAAGCAGAAGTGAGTGCAAAGCTTTGCTAGTCTGTCCATTTTCCCCTGAGGGAACAGGTGGCTGTCTCCAGTTTCCACCCTGACAGGTATTGAACAGTTTAGCCAAATATCAATGTGCTAAGCATGACAATTCTATTTCTCTACAATAAGCAAGAAGAGCAAGACAGACATGCTAACGAGTGAAATAATATAATGTGGTCTAGACATATATGAGTTTCAGAAAAAGAACAAAGGATACCATCCTGTCTGAGGCATTCCAGGAAGGTTGTACTCTATCAGGGTTATGACAGACACTGGGAATTTGACAGACGGGCAAGAGAAGGAAGGGAGGCCCAAGCAAAGGGCTCAACAAAGTGAAGGGAGGCCTGAAACAATATGCAATCCATGAGAGACAGTGGCCAGCTTGGTACTGCCAGAGCACAAAGGAAAGGGGAAAATGGCAGATGATGGCACTAAGAAGCCAGCAGGGGACAAGATGGGAAGGATCTTATAGCTGTGCTAAAGTGATTGGACTTTATTGAGTAAGTTCTGTAGACCTCTTAAAAACCTCAAGGAAGGAAGATGGTCAGATTTTCCTTTAAAAGAATGCCTCTGGCAGTATGGTTGGGAATGAGTTGAAGAGAGATTTCAACCCTTCCCAGCTAACTTTCCAGCAAGTCAGCTGGGAAGCCTCCAGGATCATCTGTCTATAAGGAGTACTAAAGTATCATTGAGCATGTAATGAAAATGAGAAAATTATATTTGCTAGAACTTCTATATGTGGATGGAAGAAATACTTATAAAATGTAGGCTCAGACTACTTTGGGTCAAATCCTACCTCTACTGAGAAAATTCCTTCAGGGTAGGTAGCATGAGGGCTGCTATTGGGGAAGGAGCAAGAGGGACAAGTAAGTGTCTTGGAGAAGATGAATGTCTTACAGGCTTCTCACATCTCACGTTTAACTGAGAATTCGTAATATACCCATTTCCACTCAGCAATTTCTCCCCTAGTCCTGGAGACTAGTTTGACAGTCATTCAATTGCTCTTTCTAAAACCTAGAAATCGAATTTGGGTCTCCCATGTGCTGAAAAAATGCTTTCAATTCTACATCCTTCCCTGTTTTCATGACCTCTGCAGTGTGACACTGTAGTCCTTCTCACTGAAGACTACCAAGGTCAAAGCTATTTTCACCCCACTCAAAGTCTAAGCTGGCCACATGACTTGTTTTGGCTAGTAGAAAGTGGTGAAAGTGACAGTAGATCAGTTCTGAGCCTAGGCCTTAAGCGGCTTCTCCTGTTATCACTTGCTCTTTCATTTGTCATTGCCAGGGGAATAAGCCCTGGCTGGCCTGCTGGAGAGGAGAGGTATAGCAGAGCCAAATAACCTCACTTATTTCAGCCAGTATCTAGACAGCAAGGTAAACTCCAGTTATGAAAGCAAATTAAGACATATTGCAGATACACCTAGCCAACCACCCGAGAAACTTACTCTTGTGTGACACTGAGGTTTGCTGTTTGGCTTTTATGCTACAATGTTAGCAATAGATAGGTGATGATCTTTAACTCATTTTCTTATATCCCATATATATCAACCTATCATGTGTCCTATAATTTCTACCTACAAAACATATCTCAAATCTTTCAATCTTTTTTCCATATGCATTGCTCTACTGTAATCTAAGCACCATCATCACCTCACCTGAAATGAACTGCCAGTTTCCCTACTTCCTTTCTAGACACTTATAATCCATTCTTCAAATACCAGTGGGAGTGATTTTTTTCCAAAACATAAATCAGATCCCTCAGTCATTCCCCTGTTTAAAGCCCTGAATATCTTCCCATTGCTCTCAGAACTCAATCCAAACTCCTCACCATGACCTGCAGGCCCCAGCTGATCTGCCTAATATCAGGATGAAAAAGCAGCTTTTATAATACCCTCTAAACCAGTTTCTTCAAAGAAATGTGGAATCAGTTTCTATTTAGAAATCTCTGTAGAAAGGTGTTTTGCTATTTTAATTCATGGAATATTATTTTGGTAAATACACCAAAGTATGTCAAAATAACAGTTTCTTAGGCAGACACAGAAATTGGACATAAAGATCTGATTTTACCAAAAGACAAAAAATTAAGGTGGGGAAGGAATAAAAGGAGATGATGAAAAGAGAAGTAACAATACATTGGGGATCCGGTGTATCACACTGAAACCACAGAAAGATAAAGTTAGACCTAGAAAAGAGGTCTACATTTGAGGATATAGGAGCAAAGAGGTCAAAATCATGCTTTGAAAGGATGTGGACATCTGATCTTTAACTTCACACCAATGGCAGAATAAGAAAAAAATGGGTTACTTCTGAGGTAGGAAGTAGTAGCTAGAAGATTAGACACTCTCAAACTTCCTGAGAATTGACATTAATAAGCATTACTTAATATTCATATGGAATACTTCTGGCTAAAGAATGCTTTTGCATATTTTCCCTGTCTTATACCTGAGGAGCTCAGGGTTCAATGAAATTTAATACACAGAAATTAGTTTTCATCCTGAATTTCTCCAAGCGTACTAATTTGATGATTCATATGGCCTACGGGTTTGTGAGCATTCCTAGAATGAATTGCCATGATTTGTACTTTTAAAAGAAATATCCTTCAAGAAGCTGACTTCTAGGATCTATACGTTGAAGCATAAAGGATACCACAGACGCAAAACAATGCAAAAAGTGCTAAAACCAGTTGCTGTTCTTAAACAATGTGGTTATAGCCCCAGAACACCAAAGGCAGCACAGGGATATCTAAGAAAGGCACTTGGTGCAGACACGGGCACCAGCAAGACCGGATTCTCATCTCCCAGGAGGTGAACTTAAATGCAGTTTGTTAATGCTCTCTCTCTCAACTAGTATACGCTTTCTTTCCGACAAAGACTTCTCTTTCAGCCTCTTGTAATGGGAGGGGAGAGGTGAAAATTTTAAAAAGCTGCTGGGTCTTGATATTAGTGGAATTTCTCTCCAATGAACTGACAGTGTACAGGTATGACAACATGGCCTGTAGCTCTTCTCGAAGAGAAGAGACTGCTGAGAAAATAAAATCCAACAAAAATGCTGCAGGAGAAAGTCTTTCTAACATGCTCATTCCTCTGCCTTCTCTCACTCTGCATCTTTCCCTAAGAATGCCACCTCCATCTTTTTTCTATGTCAACACTGAGCTTATCCTTCAGATGCTAACTCATTCAGCCTCCCTATTAGGCTCTCAAATGATTACAGGCCCCGGGGATCTTCTCCTTTAATAAATAAGTTCAAATCACAATCAGAATTCATTTTCTCTGTATCCCTGAAACATCACACACACACACACACACACACACACACACACGGTGTGCATTATCTGAATGAATTGTACCAGAAACCAGAAACCCACCGGTAATCCTTTTTTATGCCTTTTATTTCCCCAACACATTTACCAGTCCCAGAGTTAGATTAGGCCTCCTCTGAAGTATCTCTTGAATTTCACTATTCGTATCCATCCCTCAGTGTACCTGCTTACAACAGCTATCTCCACTTGTTTGATCTGTGCCTCCCTTTAATTTGTCTTGCCCAAATCTCCTATTCCAGTATATTATCCACAATGCATTCTAAGTCGTCCTACTAAAATGCAAATCAGATCATGTCACTCCTCTGGATAAAATATTTCAGTGATTCCCCTTTTCTCATGACAAGGGTCTGGATTTCTGTAAATGGTTTATGATGTTCTTTTTTTTTTTTTTTTTTTTTTGAGATGGAGTCTCGCTCTGTCACCCAGGCTAAAGTGCAGTGGCACGATCTCAGCTCACTGCAAGTTCCGCCTCCTGGGTTCACGCCATTCTCCTGCCTCAGCCTCCCGAGTAGCTAGGGCTACGGGTGCCCACCACCACACCCGGATAATTTTTTGTATTTTTAGTAGAGACGGGGTTTCACCGTGTTAGCCAGGATGGTTTCGATCTCCTGACCTCGTGATCTGCCCACCTCGGCCTCCCAAAGGGCCGGGATTACAGGCGTGAGCCACTGTGCCTGGCCTAGTTTATGATGTTCTACACAATCTGGCCTATGATTATCTCTAGTCCAGTTTCATCTCTAGCTATTTTCCCACCTTATGTTAGCCTCTAGACTTTTATAAATAACACAAGCTGTGCCTGAACACTCTTCTACCTGCCCTTTGACTGGCTAACTTTTATATATTTATCCCATCTCAGCTTAGATACTTCCTTTTTCTCCTGGAGGTTCCTAATGCCAGTATCAATGTTCTTCCTGGGTGGTACCACAGCATCCTACGGTGACGAGGAGGAGGTGGCCTAGATCCTTCCTTTTCTTGGTAAAGGGTGGAAGCAGTGTGGATACTTTACTTGGTGTGTTCTGATATCCATGTGTCACTAGGCACTTGTTCTTTGTGTCTTCACATCTCCTCCTGTTGCATTTTAAAGCACTTTCATAGTATATGGTTTTGCCTAATAAAGCATTCTCATAGCAAAAAAAAAAGTATGGTATTGTGCAAATAAGTGCTCACTCCAAATTAGTGGTATATTTATTGAAGTTTAATATTGTGTTTGTGATACAGAAGTATTTGCTTTAATTCTAAATAAAAATTTTATGCTTTTATTGCTGGTTTAAGAAGATTTGGATTATCCTTGTACTTTGAGGAGAAGTTTCTTATTTGAAATATTTTGGAAACAGGTCTTTTAATGTGGAAAGATAGATATTAATCTCCTCTTCTATTACTCTCCAAGATCCAACAAAAGTGATTATACCCCCCAAAATATGATGGTAGTATCTTATACTACCATCATTTTATAGGCATAGGGCTCTTAGCTGCAAATAATGGAACTAACTCTAATAAAGCAGAACGCAAATATTGTAAATATTAGAGAGCTAACAATCTCTGGGATGGCTAAAGGATGGAGCTTGGAGGCTACCCAGCCAGTAACAATATTCCGGGCTCCACTGTTGAATGGAGACACTACAACTGCCTTGGATGGGCAGAGATATTATGGATGCTAAGCCCCAGGTGCTACCATTAGGACTTCTACCACTGTCCCTAACGGGTGGAGCCCATCACATGCCTATGCCCTCACTGTAAGGAAATGAAGCTACTGTTGTATATCTTGGGAAGCACTTGGATTAATTGTTATACAGTTTTGTTGAAGAAGACCCCTAGGGTAAGTAGCCATAACTGCACACTAAATTTAAAATTGTTAATGAGTTTCTCAAAAAAAATGTTAAGGTTGTTAGCTGGTATAGTATATATCTTGCCTGTTTTCCAAGGACTTCTTTGGGCAGTACCTTGTCTGTGCTGGCAAGCAACTGAGACTTAATGAAAGAGTATTGGAGATATGAATGAATTGATGCTGTATACTCTCAGAGTGCCAAACATATACCAATGGACAAGAAGGTGAGGCAGAGAGCAGACAGGCATTAGTGACAAGCAAAGATATGCAGAATTTCATTCTCAGCAAATCAAAAGTCCTCAACCTGGTTGGAAGAATATTGGCACTGAATGGTATCAATAAGGTTGCTAGAGAGGGTTAGAGGTGCACAATGTGCTTCCATAACATTTTATACTTCTCCAATCTTAGCACTAATCAAACATGGTTGAATACTTTGTTTACTATAACTCTTACAGAGTTATAAGATCTGTGAAGACAGGGACAGGGACAATACCCATCTCTGTCTGGTTCATAGGTGGTATGTAATAGATATTTTTAAAAATAAGTGAGTTAATGAATGAGGGTGAGAATGAAGGCACAGAGGTATTAGGGGGAGGTGGGCCCCAGAGAATGGTGCCAAGGTCCAGTGGGGTGACTGGGATCAGCTCAGGCCTGACGCTGGCCACTCCCACCTAGCTCCTTTCTTTCTAATCTGTTCTCATTCTCCTTGGGAAGGATTGAGGTCTCTGGAAAACAGCCAAACAACTGTTATGGGAACAGCAAGCCCAAATAAAGCCAAGCATCAGGGGGATCTGAGAGCTGAAAGCAACTTCTGTTCCCCCTCCCTCAGCTGAAGGGGTGGGGAAGGGCTCCCAAAGCCATAACTCCTTTTAAGGGATTTAGAAGGCATAAAAAGGCCCCTGGCTGAGAACTTCCTTCTTCATTCTGCAGTTGGTGCCAGAACTCTGGATCCTGAACTGGAAGAAAATGTCTATCCAGTAAGTATCTCTGGGAGACTTTTTTAAAACACCTTCATGGATTCATGATAAATGTGCTATTTCAAGGGCTCCTGAAGAGAAGGCATTGATTAATGACCTGTTTAGGAAAGACCCTTGAATTTTGGTGGGGAAATTTTTTCCTGCTTATGTATTAAAGCAACTAGCTAGAATTCAGGTCCAAATTATGGGGGGTTTGTGTGACTTAGCCCGGGGTTTGGAAGCAGTCTTGAGTATGGGGATTTCAGACAGACTTGGGCTCCACTCCTTGCCCAGTCATTTCCTAGTGTGTGACTTTGGACAAATTACCTAACTTTTTAAGTCTAGCTTTTCCTGTATATAGAAAGATGTCACAATAGCTTTTACTCCATTATGTTACTGTGAGATTTAAAAGAGATAATACCATGCAAAGTTCTTTTTATGGTATGTAGGACATAGTAATTGTTTAGTAAAAGGTAATTATTATAATTGAGTCTGGTCAGAGATTCCACTCTTTGAAGTTACAACATGAAACTGAACAGAGGATGTAGAAAGTAAACAAAAATATAGAACCTGAATCTCCTGGTCTGACTATGATGAAAAAGTACTGTAGGTCTTGGGGATTGGTAGAGAAATGAGATGATGGGGAAAAAATTATGGTATAATATGAGTGAATAATGAAAGATGAGGTACCTGACCCAAAAAGCTGTCATCTCTCAACCCCTAGGAAGGAGATAAATGGGTCTCTCCTTGAGGCAAGAAAATCAATGATGCTGTGAGCTGAGCATGTTGATAGGGTGGGAGAATACTGTGGGAAGGACCCTGTTTAGGAACAAATTTCAGGAAGTGAACTGATGGCAGTAGGATTGATTGATTTGTCTTCCGAAGTAAGGAAAAACTGCAGAGGACAGGATTAAGTTCACTGTAACCATTGACATTAAAAGAGAGGTCATGTCTCTTGACATCAGAGCAGTGATCTGGGACCCCCTTCCATACCTGAGTAGTCTTCCCCACCCCCAGCCTCACGTGCTCCTCCCGCCCTCACCTTCGCTTCTCCCCCCACCCCCACCCCCACCCAGCTGAGACTAGACCGGCAGGAGTGAACAGGCTTTGAGCCAGCCCTAGAGTGCCTTCTCTCCTGCAGCTCTGCCTCTATCTCTGCGGACTTTGAGCATCAACATGGGCTTCTTCCTTATTCTTCCACCATTTCAGGGTTGAGCATCCTGCTGGTGGTTACAAGAAACTGTTTGAAACTGTGGAGGAACTGTCCTCGCCGCTCACAGCTCATGTAACAGGTTGGTCTCGCCCATCTTGAAGCCATCCTCTTTTATGTCAGTCTCTCTTCTCTGGCTTCCTATTCCTTGGCGTCTCTCAGTGCAGACTCCCCCTGTGGGTCACAGGGAGAGGGATCAGGTGGTTTGGGCTTTTTATAGCAAGAACCCATTTTCTTTCATTCGCCTTTACTTTATTTCTCTAATGCAGAAAAACGCTACCTAATTGGAATTCCCTAAGGATCAGGATTACACCTTTGTCATCTTCAAACTGTCAGTGCCTAGCTCAGTGCCTGGCACATAGTAAATGTCCTATAAATGTCTGTTCCATTGGTGTCTGAATAAATGAAGGCCCAGTGACAAGCACCTGGGAGTATTAAAGGGTGGTGGGTTTCATGCCCATTTTATTAGAGGAATGTTGGTTCTGCTGGGAGGCAGATGTAGATGCTAACCTAGCTCTATCATTTCACTGTCTGTGAATCCTCTAAGTTACTTAAACGTTCTGAGCCTCAATTCCCTTACCTACAAAAACCCAAAATTTACGTCATGAGGATGTTGTGAAAATTAAGTGGAGTAATGTAAATAGAATGATTCACCCACTATCCAACACAAAGTGATCAATAGACAGTAATTATTACTATCAGTATCATTATTAGTTATAGGAAATAATCCATTTGCTTGAAAAACTTCACTGGTAGGAATCAAGGAAGCACTGTCAATCACTGCCCTTCTCAAAGGATAAACCTACCTGGGGTTTTTTTTGTTTGTTTTTTTGTTTGTTTGTTTGTTTTGTTTTTTGAGACAGAGTCTCGCTCAGTCGCCCAGGCTGGAGTGCAGTGGGATGATCTCAGCTCACTGCAAGCTCCGCCTCATGGGTTTATGCCATTCTCCTGCCTCAGCCTTTCCAAGTAGCTGGGACTACAGGCGCCCGCCATCACGCCCGGCTAATTTTTCGTATTTTTAGTAGAGACGGGGTTTCGCCGTGGTCTCGATCTCCTGACCTCGTGATCCGCCCGCCTAGGCCTCCCAAAGTGCTGGGATTACAAGCGCGAGCCACCGCGCCCGGCCCTACCTGGGTTTTTAGGGACAAACCTAACTGTGAAAGCTGAGAGGCCTTAAGGACTATCTTGGGTACCCCACATTTTGCAGATGAGAACACTGAGGTCCAGAGATGACATGTGAGCTGATCCTAAACCAGAAGTCATGTCCCTGACATCCAACCCTGTGGACTTTCTGCTACAGCAGATTGACTTTCATCCAAGCAGTAGCTCACACTCACAGAGGGATATAGCTCTAGATTTTAAAGAGCCAGGATTCCTGTTTTTTCATTTAAATAGTCTTTTTTCTATAGACACATCTTTTTAAAATACATTTATTCTCACTCTTAATCCATACTTCTACTCCTCACTCCACTAAAATATATCAAGAAATTTGAAAATCTTCTTAAAAATGAGATGGCAAAAGGCAAATGGATTGGTGTTTGGGGAAATCTATTAGGTGGAGAGTCCCAATCCTCTCAAGATGCTTCTCCCTCACTCCTTCCAACCCTTTATCCACACTCTGGGGCATCTCCACATTTCCCAAGGTGTGATCTCCTAGTGAAGGTGAGTCAAGTCAGCAGACATTTTCTAAGTGCTGTCCAGCGCGAGGGCTGGAAATGAAAATCACTGCCAGCTCTATGAGGAAGAAGCTGCCCAATCAGGCTGCTGATATACTCTGCCTTACCAAGGACAAGCCTAGCCCAAGGCAGGGATAAGAAGCAATGTTCTGTCTCCCCTTCATCACAGGCAGGATCCCCCTCTGGCTCACCGGCAGTCTCCTTCGATGTGGGCCAGGACTCTTTGAAGTTGGATCTGAGCCATTTTACCACCTGTTTGATGGGCAAGCCCTCCTGCACAAGTTTGACTTTAAAGAAGGACATGTCACATACCACAGAAGGTAAAGCAGCACTCCATGCCACTCCTCCTCCTCAAAGTAGGGCCTAGCTTGGCTCCTCCTCCCATGTGAGTTTTCACCTCTGAACTCAGGAGGCAACCTATATACCCACTTTCTTCTCACAATGTACCTGGGCCAGTGTGTCTGCATGGATACGAGGGAACATTATCATGGAATAAAGGAGAAGCTAAAGCCTAGGGCTTTGGGGTCCAACATGAGTGGCTTTAAACCCTGTATTCAACAGACATGACTTGCCTAGGAGGGTAACCTTGGCAAGATGTTGACCTCCAATTCTTGGTTTTATAATTAGTAAAATGGGAGAAATAATAGAATCTACCTTATATATTCATTACAAGCATTAAATGAGAGCGCAGTGTCTAGCACACACAAAGCACTTCATAATAATAGCTATTGTGATGCTTGTTATTATTATTAAACCATTGGCCATCTTGATTCCTTTTTCTTTTTATAAAATTGGAAAGGCCACTGGGAAAGGGGTCGGGGGCTGCCACAAAGTAGTGAAGGATGAAACATGTCATAGTGCTACCAGAAAGAGAAGTTTTCTGAAAACAAGAGATTATTGCTAAAAAGCCTTGAAGCCCTAAATCATCATTCCAGGAAACCCCCATTAATGAAGTATTAACAAATACTTTGTCTTCTGCTTTCGTGTTCAAGCCTATTAGTGGCTTTGTTGATCACCACAGATTTCAGGCATTTTGAAAAGACCTGTAAAGAAAAAGTGAAAGGGGACTTGAAGCAGGACAACTTGCATGATAATAGAAGAGAAACGGATGATGTCAAGCAGAAATGTAGCCATAAGAGCTTACTGTGGAGTTCAGATAAAGCTTCCTATACCTTCGACAGAGCAGGGTACTCTTTCTTCTTCATAAAAGTGCGACCGGGTGTGGGTGGCTCACATCTGTAATCCCAGCACTTTGGGAGGCCAAGGCGGCCAGATCACTTGAGGTCAGGAGTTTGAGACCAGCCTGGCTAGCATGGTGAAACCCCGTCTCTACTAAAAATACAGAAAAATTAGCCGGGCGTGGTGGTACACGCCTGTAGTCCCAGCTACCTGGGAGGCTGAGGCAAGAGTATAGCTTGAACCCAGGAGGCGGAGGTTGCAGTGAGCCAAGATTGCGCCACTGCACTCCAGCCTGGGCAACAGAGCAAGACTCCATCTCAAATTAATTAATTAATTAATTAATTAAAAGTACAAAATCAGATTTTAACTGGCTCTCCATATCAGAAATCCTGGGCAAAGTATGCTGTCTACTCTAAGATATGGTTTAGCAGACCTGTCTAGGCAAGAGATGGAATTCAAGAATACTTAATTTTTAAAACAAAATAAATGTTAAAATTGAAGAAAAACATAAAAGTAACAGAGGGAGATTGAGAAGAATATAATTCAGCACACCATGTCCGGAATTTTCCCAGTAAGTTTAGGTTGATAGGTTATAGGTGATGGGGGTGGGGGTCCTATGTGAACTTCCCCCAGGGCTGCATGGTGTGATATAGAAAGTTCATGTTGTCCTGCTCTGGCCAACTAGGATTCTAACCCAGCTTGGCCACATATGCCAATCACTTAACTCCTCTGAACCTCAATTTCCTCATCTGTGAGGTTTAAAAGATAAAAACGTAAACTCAAGGGACATTGTGTCTGCCCTGCTTGGTCACCCCAAGAAAGTGAGCTAATAAAACCCTTTATTCTTCATGTTGTGCATTTATGATTGTGACTTGATGAGGACACATAGAATGGCCATTCTAAGCTCCACATGGGCTGTACGGATTGCTCCTGTCTATACTCTTCCCTATGTTTCAATGTCCTTCAGGTTCATCCGCACTGATGCTTACGTACGGGCAATGACTGAGAAAAGGATCGTCATAACAGAATTTGGCACCTGTGCTTTCCCAGATCCCTGCAAGAATATATTTTCCAGGTTACTGAACCCAAACTGAATGTTACTCAAGACATTTTATATTAGCCCTTTTTCTCTCATGGCTTGAAAATTACTGGACTGAAAAATTCATTTGTTTCTACAGGTTTTTTTCTTACTTTCGAGGAGTAGAGGTTACTGACAATGCCCTTGTTAATGTCTACCCAGTGGGGGAAGATTACTACGCTTGCACAGAGACCAACTTTATTACAAAGATTAATCCAGAGACCTTGGAGACAATTAAGCAGGTGGGACACAGTGCTAGGTGATGTTCAGGAATTTAGAATTTGGAACTTAAAATTAATTCAACATAAATTATTCATGCTGCGAATGTATGATTCTAACTTGATGAGGACACACAGAATGACCATTCCAAGCTCCAAATGGACTGCACTGATTGCCTCTGTCTATGATGCTTTCCTGCAATTGGTGTAATTTGGTGAAAAGAACATGAGAGCCACATTAAGTTTCAAATCCTAGCATTGTCAACAATGACTAGCTATTTGACATAGGACAAACATTGTTTCTTCATCTCTAAAATTTTAAACACTTACATGGATTGGAGAGAACCCATATAAAATGCCTAACATATTCATTCATTCATTCATGACACAAATACTTATCAAGTGCTTTCCATATTCAGAATTTATGCTAGATGCAAGGGATAGATCAATGAGTAGGGTAACATGGTCCCTGCCTTTCATAGCTTTTATAAGCTAGCATGAACCTGGTAAATACTGGGTGCTCAAAAAATTATAGCTACTGATACTGAAAATCATGCTATTTATGGTTCTAGGCAAGTATGTTGCACTAATTTGCCCCTTCTTATAGATACTTCTTATTAGAAATAAAGCTATATCTTGAATGAAATAGCATAGAACAAAATTTCAGCAATATTTGGAAGTGACAAATTTTATGGAGAACTTAGGGAATCTCAATGCAGCAGTCCTTAGATACACATTTTGAACCAATATTTACTAAGATACACCTATTTACAAGGCATTGTTCTTGTCTTCAGGTGACTTAATGTCTAGGTGGAGAAATCAAATATGTAACTGTAATAGGACAAAGAATATGACGAGTCTTTTAAGAAGGAAAATCTTTTAAGAAAGCATAAATACGAAAGGAATTACTTCTGGAAGTAGTTGGCAATGCAAGGTGGGACAGGTGAAAGAAGGCTTAAAGGGAAAGGCTTTGGGCTGGAAGTTAAAAGAGAGGGATGATTTCAGTGAATTTAGAGAAAGGATATGCTAGATGGAGGGGGTAAAGCGATCAAAAGCATGGAGGTAGAAGGTGTTCATGAAAACTGGAGAATAATCTCCTTGGACTAGACTTGCAGCATTTCTCAGTGGAGGTATTAGTATGACATTAGGCAGGGGGTGACTCATCATCATGGAGACGTCCCACACATGGGAGAGGTTTGGCATCCCTGGCCTCATCCACTAAACACCAGTCATGTTTTCAATCATTATACAAACCCAAAACGCTCCTGACATTTCCGTATCTTCCCCTAGGGGGCAATAACACTCCCAGTTGAGAACTAGTTGCCTAGAGTAGTTAATGTCAAGGGGAATATTGAGACACAGGGTAGGATGAAATTAAAAGCTTGAATAATTGGCTATACATTTGGAATATGTTGTTTAGCTAATGGGAAGCTACTGAAAGTTTTTGCTCAAAGAAGTAGTATGAGTAGGGCTATATTTTCAGATGTTTATTTGGGGAGCCATGTGTGGGCTGTACGGGAAGGCAAAAGAGATACAGTATAGCTGGGAGACCAAGAGGTGAAACTAAAAGCCAGAACCACAAATGCAGTACTGGTAAAAATAAGAAGAAAAAAAATAGTCTCAACATTGAGTCTCAATAGCACAAGCTGATCTATAATTCTCAACAGACTATTTACTATGTCTTAACATACACTCCCCATAGCTCTTTCTTGTTTATGTTGTGTGTGTGTAACCATATACAAGTGTGTGTGTAGCTCCTTTAGAGAAGAACAAAAGCTGAGTTTCTAAATCATTCATTTGACTTTGATAGGGAATCTGTATTACAATTACATGATATTTTAATTAGAAATATAGAAGCTATGGTATGGCTGCAGAATAGACTTTATTAGGAGTCAGGTTCCACTGTTACTAGCACTGTAAAATGTAATTTTAAAAATGTGAAATTTTTGATTGTTTACTGTTATTAACCAGTGCCTTTGCCTCCAGCCTGATTCCCTTAAATACAATTTATTTAAGGCAGCAGTAGCAATTTTTTAAAATATAAATATGAAAGTATTACTCCACCTAGGGAATCCATAACTTCCCAAATAAAGTCCAAGCGAAGGTCTTTGTGGCTGGCCCACTCTTATTTCGCCTCCTCTACGCATGCCCTTCATGGCAGCCAGGTTAAATGACTAGTAATGGCCAAACAGCACACATTATTTCACAAGTCTATGCATTTACATTAGGATTCCCACTCCCTGGAATACACTGTCATCCTGCTCCACTTGGCTAACTCCACGCACCTTTCAAACATTAGTTGGAGTCATGTTTCTCAGGAAAACTGCCTCATCCCTCAGTCTGGGCTAGATGGCGCTTCTCTACGATGCCATTGCACACTCACAGTGCTTTACACCGGCTTATTGGTCTAATGCAGGGCTGTCCAATAGAACTTTCTGCAATAATGGAAATGCTCTATAACTGTGCTATCCTGGTGTTATTAAGCACTTGAAATGTGGCTAATGTGACTGAGGAGCTGAATTTGAAGTTCTATCTAAAAATTAGTGGTCCTGTATTAATAGAACAGCACGGGTCTAGAATGAAGTTCTTGAAAGCAAAGATCTTCTCTCTCCTGAGCCCTGATACAGTGCCTGGCACATAGTGAAAGCTCAGAGTATTTGATAAATGATTGACTGAATAAATGAATATCTTGCCTATTATTTAAATAAGGTTGCTAAAATGTCCTATGCTTTAAAAAAATCTCCCTAATTAATTGGAAATAATTTTGGTTAGATAAATATATATTCCAGTAATTATTCATTCAATAACTCTTTACCAAGTAGGTCCCAGGTGGAAATCTAGTGCTGATTTATCTAGCTCTTTATCCTTAAACAAGACACTTGATCTCTCTGGAACCCCAATTTATCCTTCTGCAAACAGAGATTTGTGTTACATTTGTAGTTCTAAACTTCTTATGAGACATAAAATTGAATTAAATGCTGTATGCTTTTGCCAGAAATGTTTATATTTAATTAAAAGAGATCCATGGTTCTCCTAAAGTCTATTTAAATTAAGACTTTCTATACTAGATGAAGCTTGAAGTCCCTTTCAGTTCCAAACTCATACAGTACCATGTGCAAGACATATAGTTGGTATTTACATAGTACCATACGAAATTGACATTTTTGGAAATCAGCAATTATTAAATGTTAGCAATCTTATACAATTAAATCTAATACAATAATAAGAGTATAAAGAAGTCTGAGGACTCAAACTTATGGTTTCAGGTCAATCTGCATATGCTAAAAGAAAAGTAACTAACCAGAGCACTGTATGGTATACATCAAATAAAGAGATGTCACAGGTAACTCCAGATTCAGACACATGAGGGGGCATTATGTTCTGCATGAAGGTGGGAACTCAAGGTGAAAGAGGGTAGAATCCAGAGAGATGGGAAGAAAGAGAAGTGCACTTAGGATGAGAGTTCAAGGGGTAGTGATGACCTCAGACCTAGGGACAAAGGTATAATGTATCTTCCTTCTCTCAACTGGAGGACATTCACTTTACTTCCGTAGGTTGATCTTTGCAACTATGTCTCTGTCAATGGGGCCACTGCTCACCCCCACATTGAAAATGATGGAACCGTTTACAATATTGGTAATTGCTTTGGAAAAAATTTTTCAATTGCCTACAACATTGTAAAGATCCCACCACTGCAAGCAGGTGAGTTTACCAATCTGTCCTCTTCTGAAAATAAGTGTCTATATTGTGAGAAAGTTACTGTATTGTGAGAAAGATAAGAATGTCAGAATAGCATTTTGTGCATAGTTAAATTACTCTCAGACTTCAGAAGTACTGCCCTCATCCCTACCCTATAAGGGGCCTAATGCCCAAGGGCATCATATCAAAGGATGACGACTTGAAAATATAGAAAGCAAGTGTCCAAGTTCTCTTCTAGAATATTAAAAATGTAGTACATATATATATATGGATTTGATCATATACAATTAGGATTCAAACTTAGCAAACATTTATTGAGCACTTATTCATGTGCTAGGCAAAATTAAATTAAATAAGCATGTATGTGTGCATAATAGCATACATACATATATGAGAGTGTACTAAATATGTTGCGCTTAATTCCCAAAACTACAAACAAATCTGTTATCTCATAGAAGTACTATAGAAAAAGAACTACAGCAAAAAGAGTGTACCCTAGAATTCTCCATTCATTCTTCATTTATTGCCAGGTTCATTGTTCACCACCTTGATGATGGAATTATTTGAATGTATACAGATTTTTGTTTAGTATTATTTAGTACAGTTCTCAAAGTGTAGTCCTTGGACCAAGACCATCACCTAGGAAACTGTTAGAAATACAAATCTTGAGCCTTGTCCTGGGCAGACTGAATGAGAAATTTTGGGAGTGGAGCCTGCAATCAGTATTTTAAGAAACTCTTTATGTGATTCTGATGCACACTAAAGTTTGAGGACCATTCACTTACTAGTGAGTAAATTTTAATGTGCATAAGAATTACTGTACAGGGCTATTGACACAAACCCATCTAAACTATATCCTTTGGGCATCTTAAGATGTTGCAAAAGGCATTTTGACCATTCTGAGGTTTCTTCCCTACTCCCCTGACTTAAAACCCACCTCCAGCTATTGCAAGATGTGACTCCACTACACTCCACTTGCCACAACCCTATTTGAGTGCACGTTTCCAAATCTGCTGCTATTTGGATTTTCCTGGGTGATTTTGCAGCTTCACATGAAATTTCACTAAGAAGTGCAAATGATGGAGAAAATGAAAATAACCCCTCTAAAACAATCAAAATGTGTTTCTTTGCCTGTATAAGCTGTTCTAAATGCTTTGTATTAAAAAAAAAATAAGAGGCTCTTCCAAAGCCTTTTAAAACCACTTTATTTCAGACAAGGAAGATCCAATAAGCAAGTCAGAGATCGTTGTACAATTCCCCTGCAGTGACCGATTCAAGCCATCTTACGTTCATAGGTAACTTGAAGGCCTGCTATGAATCTTCAGGAAAACTCAAGTTTAAAGATTTGCTTTGCCTACCTTTGATACCAATCCTGATCACAATATTTTTTTGCAGAAAACTAAATTTAAACATAATTAATTTCATGTAGGCACTGTTGATTCTTGTAACTGAGCATACCACATATATACAAATTTGTCTGTGGCTTGAGAATCAGCCCTTTCATTCACAAGCCCATTTGTGTTTCTGAACAGTTTTGGTCTGACTCCCAACTATATCGTTTTTGTGGAGACACCAGTCAAAATTAACCTGTTCAAGTTCCTTTCTTCATGGAGTCTTTGGGGAGCCAACTACATGGATTGTTTTGAGTCCAATGAAACCATGGGGGTAAGTCTTAGATATATTTGTCAAGTTTGTGATTCTGAAGAAGATGTGTTTAATAATGTACACTTTTTTCCTTTTTAAATGCATCAAAATATTTTCCTCATTTTTCAAGGTTTGGCTTCATATTGCTGACAAAAAAAGGAAAAAGTACCTCAATAATAAATACAGAACTTCTCCTTTCAACCTCTTCCATCACATCAACACCTATGAAGACAATGGGTTTCTGATTGTGGATCTCTGCTGCTGGAAAGGGTAAGAAAGGACACTGGACAAATGGGACACCTCCCATTGTTCCTGGAAATTACGGGGTTTTTACAGAGCTGCTGCACTCAATCTGAATCACATCTAAAACAGCAAGAGTTATGTGAGAGTCAAAAATGTAATTGGAAAAGCAGTAGGAAGTTTAGGTAATCTGAACATCAAAACTATGATTAATGATTGAAAACTAATCGGGTCCATGAACCCCACCTGAAAACAAAAGATTCTGTGACCTGAGAGGTGAACTTAAAGTTGACAAAATCCCTGGGGAAACTTGAGCCCCATCTTCTCTGCGAAGGGAGAAAAAGACATGCGTTTTTCAGACTAGCCAAATCACTAAGAAGACAACAGCACCTAAGGACACAAACAGAATGGTGACAGGAAGACAGAACAGAAAGTATCTCAAGGCTGCTGTTACTTAAACAAATCCATTAAGCAGGTTGCTTTATTTTCATCCTGTGTGGGCGGGAGGAAATGGCTCTGATACACCTGGCTCAATAGCAGTTTCTGGGTTGT
Source organism: Homo sapiens (assembly GCF_000001405.40). Taxonomy (NCBI): domain Eukaryota; kingdom Metazoa; phylum Chordata; class Mammalia; order Primates; family Hominidae; genus Homo; species Homo sapiens. Next base: position 68,438,419 of record NC_000001.11, on the reverse strand, counting down.
GGAATAAAGAACAGGCAGGCACTTGTGCTTAAAAAGGCAAGAATCATCTCTCTAAAATTATTTGTCATTGCCTGTGCTCATGTTTGACTTTTTATTTTTGCAGATTTGAGTTTGTTTATAATTACTTATATTTAGCCAATTTACGTGAGAACTGGGAAGAGGTGAAAAAAAATGCCAGAAAGGCTCCCCAACCTGAAGTTAGGAGATATGTACTTCCTTTGAATATTGACAAGGTAACCTGCTTCTCTGTAGATTTCAGATTTAACCAGAATGTTTCATCTCTCTCAGGAATTGTCCTCCTGCCTCATGTTTATACATAAAGTCTTGAAATTTGAGAGCTAGAAGGAGCTTTAAAAATAGGCTAATTAAACTTCCTTCATTTTACAAATGAAACTAAAGCTCAGAAGAGTACTGTGACTTAGCAAAAGCAACTGCAGCAGAGCCAGGATAAGAACCAGGTTTTTAAATTCTAAATCTGCCGTTCTTGTATTTACAAAATTGTCTTTAAAATATACTTCCTCGGTGAATAGTGCAGATCCACTGATTCCTATGATACTTTATCAATAATATAAATAGTTTAAATAATTTGAAGTTCTGGAGAGATGAAGCATCAAAAAGTACTCTTGTAGGGAAACCAGTTCATTATTTTGGTTTTCTATAAATCTTCTGAAAAATATCACTAGAGGTTAAAAATCATTACTAACAATAGACAGTCATCTCTTTATTTCTACTTTTTCTTCCCTGTATTTAGAGACTGTCTTTTTAGAATAACCAGAGTAACATCTAGAATTTGTAGTGTGATGGAAATACCAGTCAAAATCAATAAAATATAATTCTCACATATAGGTATGTGAATATATGCTTTCTTTTATATCTATTTGCTCCCTGGTTGCACAAAAGGGGTTATTAAAACAGCTACATGGAATGTAAAACTTTGTACCAAAGGCTTAGATATGGTGTAGTAGAAAATAAACTCAATTTAGAACCAAACACCACTGCTCTTAAGCAAGTTTGTAAGCTCTATGAAGAATGAGAAAGAGGGAGAAGGTTGAGGTTGAGTGTTACAGACAGGCAAAGGGGCGTCTATAAAGGCAAGGAGGAGTTAAAAATGCAAGATTTCATCTATAAATATGAAGTAGTTGCTGAGTTTGGTTTATTTAGGGGTGTAGGGGAGATGGGTTTTGGGCAGAGAGACTGGAAAGATAGGTTGGAGCAATATTGTAATGGGCTATATAAGCCTTTGAGTGTTATATAAATATAGGGAGCCATTTAAGTATTTTAAATGTGTATTTTAAGTGTATTTTAGGACATGATTAGATCTGTGATTCAGAAAGTTACTCTGGCAGCATCATGGAAGACAGACTGGAAAGTGGAGAGTCTAGAGCAGAGGCTAGAAGCCCTATTACAGGATTAATGCAATGAGGCAAATAAAAGGGAATAAGTAGTTGAGTTAAGAAAATGGTGACTGAGAGATGAAGATGCAAAGCTGAGAAATATTTAGGCAGCAAAATCAACAGCAGTTGGTATCTAATTACATGTGAGGGGTAAGGGAGAGGAAGGAGTTCAGGATGACTTCAAGATTTCCATCCTGAGCAGTTGAGTGAATGATGGTATAATTCACTGAACTGAAAACATAGAAGTAAGAGGAGCTGGGCCAGGCGCAGTGGCTCACACCTGTAATCCCAGCAGTTTGGGAGGCCGAGGCGGGTGCATCACCCGAGGTTGGGAGTTCAAGACCAGCCTTACCAACATGGAGAAACCTCATCTTTACTAAAAACACAAAATTAGCTGGGCATGGTGGTGCATGCCTGTAATCCCAGCTACTCAGGAGGCTGAAGCAAGAGAATCGCTTGAACCCAGGAGGCAGAGGTTGCAGTGAGCCGAGATCATGCCATTGCACTCCAGCCTGGGCAACAAGAGTGAAATTCCATCATAAATAAATAAATAAATAAATAAATAAATAAATAAATAAATAGAAGTAACAGGAGCTAGCTTGTAGAAAAAAGAATAAATTTTACTTTATAGATGTAATTTGAAAGTACCCACTAGCAATCTTAGCAAAGCATTCCATAGGCAGCTGCTGTACATGGATCTGGAGCTCCAAAGAAAGATCATGGAGAGAGATCAATCTGGGTACCTTAAGGATTTTTGCTTTCCCCTTAAGAAGCATATCACTGACATGTAGTTGAGCATTCCCAAAATACTCACCAAATGGATGAGTCAGTTAATTTCAGTAAACTCTTACTTCGCTAATAATGGTAAAAATCACAATCATCTTTAAGGAAATAAAAGAGGATCACTTAACTTAAATATTCACATTGCAAAATAAAGAAAAAAGAAGGATTTTTCTAACTGTATGGTTATCACGGCCTGAAGAAATATTACCCAATTATAGAATAGGGAACTGTAATAATCATAAAAAATGTCTAACATCATCAAATCCGTCTCCTCTTTCTTCTAATAGTTATTGAGTAGCCACTAAAACAGGCATCATACTATTTGTTGCAGTGGGTACATAAAATACACTTCTAGTTCTCATGGAGCCCGTTACCTAGTGTATCAGAGAGAAAGAAGCCGAATCAGGAATAGCCATGCATGTCAGCACAGGAGTAGTACTCTCAGGAGGGATAAATTGATTTGTTAATAGCTAGTCAGATGATAATGTAGGGGAGATTAATGGAACATAGTTATTTGCAATGGGCAGTAATATGGCAGGTGGAGATGGGATTGAGGCAGAACAACTGAAGACAGAAAGAACAGTTTGAGGAAAGACAGATAGGTGGAGAGGGAGATACGCAGAGAGAATTGGCTATTATAATTGGTTGAAACATAGGCAAAAGTAGTAAAGTAAATGGGATAAAAAGTTATAAAAGTACGTTGTACTCTTAGAAGGCTTTAAGGCCAGGCTAAGAAATTTGCACTTTATTGAACTGGTAATGGAAAGACAGTGAAGGTTTTTACACAAAAGAAAAGCCCATAATTAATGGTATTGAAATGATAATGAAATATGTAAGAATAGAGAGATAAGACTGCAGGCAGGGGGGGAAATCATATTTTAGATTAGGTTTTCCAAAAGAAACATTTAAAATTTGCTTATTTAAAAAATAAAGAATTTGAGAGCCAGAGAATACAGAGAGAGAAGACAGCCAAGCACAGTAGCTCCAGAAAATAAACATGTGTAGAAAATGGTAGAAACAAGAGAAGCCAGAAAAAGAAACAAGAGAAGCCAGAAAAAGAAACAAGAGCCACCAGAAAGCCCTAGTTCCTACTAAGAGAGAGTAACGTCACAAAGATGAGTGCAGGTGAGGGTTATACGGTGCCCATTGCCATAGACAAGTTGAAAAGGGTGAAGACTAAGAATAAAGCACTAGGTTTGGTGATCTCTAAGGGAATAGAGTGAGAGAGACAGAAGTCAGGCTTCAGGGCTCTTAAGGTAAGCAGTTGAGTATCTGGAAAGCAGTTACTGCGTGCACACTCTTAAAAGTTTGGCAATGAAGAGAAAAATAGAAAGGGCTTAGGTCCCAGTTACTTGGAAGACTGAGGCAGGAGGATTGCTTGAGTCCAGGAGTTCAAAGTTACAGTGAGCTACATGCCATTGCAGTCCAGCCTGAGGAAAAGAACAAGACCCCATCTCAACAAACAAACAAACAAAACAGAACAAGACTCCATCTCAAGAAACAAACAAACAAACAAACAAACAGGAAATCTAATTTAACAATGAAAATAAGCAAAATAGAACAAAGTAAAAAATTCAACTTGAAACCACATAAATAATATATTAAACATAGACATAGACATTTGTACTTATTGTATGCATGTACATAAATATGCATACATGTGCACACCCCTCGCTTCTTCCCAGCATCACCACTAAGTACCTCGAGTCCCTTATTTCACAAAATCTTGCAGAATCTTCTCCTCTATTGGCTCCCACCTCCCATCCTTTCCCTATTCTGAAAATCTTCCACTATTTACTTTTAATTCTTAGTCCACCACCAGAAAAAATCTCCTGTCTTCTCTTCTTAGAATGTTGCCTTCAACCTCCTTTTTTAACCAAAATCTGGCTCTCTCCCCTAAGGACACTGGTCTCCCCAACAGTAATTTCCAGGGGAATCAGTTTCTCCTCTGTACAGGGTACAGCCCTTTTACCACTTGGCCTGGAGTTGGGGTAGAGGTCCTTCTTCTTTGCTGCTTTCAGATCATTGTTCCCTCTATTCACCCTTAAAATTCCCTAAGTTTTCATCTCATTTTATCTAATCATATAGCCAAGTGATGTATATGTGTGTGTGTGTGTGTGTGTGTGTATATATATATATATATATATATATCCCTCATGCCCTCGACTTTGCCACTACTTAAGACTATACTCCTTCCATAATCTGTTTCATGCATGACCCACTCTGACCTTTTATCTTTCAACATCACTTGCCCTACTGCAATTTCCACCAGGAACTTCCAATCCATTGAACACAGTACTTTCTCACTCTCTCTCACTACGTTGAGGATTTACCTTCTCTCCTCACTCAATTTAAGCTTTACAGTCAATAATTACAAACACTTTCTCATGTAGACCTTCCTTTCCCTTGCCTCTTTCTTACCTTATCAAAGTCATTTGTCAAAATCACAACCCTAGTTAAATTCAGCTCTCCACCCCCTCCATGCTTATACCTCTGAGGCTGAACTAAGTGCAGACAACACACAATCATGTTAATTGGTTCCATTTTAGATGCATGACCACAAATCTTTCTGCTACATTTCCCGGCTTCACTTACTCTCTCACTTTGCTAGTTAAATATTCCACACCCTCCTCTCTTTAAACTTTTACCACCTCCCACTTCCCGCCTCCACACTCAGATGCAGCTGATGGCTATGTTTTCTTTTTCTCTGAAACAAATGAAAGAAATCAGAAAGGAACCATAGACTTGCCAGCACATCTACCCACCCACCAGCATCTGTACTCATATACTGAATTATCCATCTTCCTATCCAGAGCTGATCTCTTTCATCCTCCTTCACATTCTCAGGGAAATCACTCTCCCAATTCTCCCCATCTTTCCTAGATCACCACTCTCCTACCCTTTTCGATGGATCATTTTTGTCAGGCTCTTACAAAATCCTTCTCTTGACATTTTTGCCCCAACCAGCTACCTTCTCATTCCTCGTCTTGTTGGAGGGCCTTGGTTCCCCTATCTTCCATTTATACACTCACTCGTTGTTAAATATTCATGCCTTATTCATTTACATTTTTAGCTTTCTCTTAAACTCAAGGTTCTTACCTGCTAGCGCCAGCTCCACATCTGCATTTGGATGCCCAATAGACATCTCAAGTCTAATAAGACAAGACTTGAACTTCTCATCTTCCCCCACCAAAAATTTACTCCACCTGTAGTTCCTATCTTTGTTGTGACATCAACATTGTACAGGTCAAACACCTTGGTGTTATGCTTGATGCCTCTCTTACTTTCATGCCTCTTCCTCGTCCCATATCCTATTTAACAGGAAATCTTCTTGACTCTGTCCTCCACTTCTTCCACTTCTCACTGACTGCAATGCTACTGGCCTAGTGTGAACCATTGTTTTCTTTCAACTAGACTACTACAAGACAAACTGGTTTCCCTGATTCCACTCTTGGATCCTCCCTACTAACAAGGCTACCCTAAAAATAAATCATAGCATCTCACTCCTGTGCTGAAAACCCTCCAATGGCTTCCCATCACTCACTCACAGAGAAAGATCAAGTCCTCATAATGACCTACGAGGCTTTGTACAGCCTGGCTCGTGACCTCCCCACCTTCCTTTCTTATTCTCTCCCCTAGCTCAGTTGATAGAATCCACACTGGACTCTTTGATGCTCCTCAAACACACTCAGCATCCTCCTCCCTCAGGCCTTTGCACAATTTGTTCTCTTAGCGTGAACACTCTTCCCCAGATATCTGCATTGCTAATTCTCTCATCTTCTAAGAGTTTTGTCTCCTCTGCCACCTGTTCAAAGAGACCTACCCGAACCATCTATTCAAATTTTAACCGCTTACCCTTCACGTTTCTGATCTTTTTTCCTCTATTCTATTTTTCCCCCACATTTGTGGTATATTATAAAATTTATTAATTATATTTATTGTATATCTCCTTGAACTAGAATGTAGGCTTCATGAGGACAGGGACTTCACTCTCCAAAACATCCTGAATGCCAAGAATAGAGTCTAGAATAAAATATGTAATCAAGTATTTGATGAAATTATTAATAAGTAGATATGTTAGAAAAATCTCATGGTATTTCATAAAATAATCAGAAAAATCATGTGTGTGTGACAAGAGATCTTAGGAAACATATGGTCCAGCGTTTTTTTTTTTTCTTTTTGTCAACATAACTGTAAGGATTTTTTTTTTCAAGCAAAATCAAAACATATTCTACGTGTGAACGAAATATACATTCTTTCATCCCTCAGGCAGTCGAAGTCTTTGTTGTTCTGCAGAAAAACATTAATTATTATTATTATTGGTTTTGAGATTTTTGTTTGGTTTTTGTTTTTTTGTTTTTCAGAGGCCTTTCTTTGGAGCCCTAAATTTTCTTCAAGGATGGTCTCATTTTACTGAAGAGAAAATTGATGGCCTAAGAGGTTATGTGACTTTCCCAGTGATACATAGCCAGTGACTGACACAGGCACAGATAGCTTGCCCAGTCGCGTCCCAGGGTCCCTCATCTATAGCTTCCTGCAGTTCCTCCCTGCATGTTGACCTAAAAAAGAACTTAGGAGCCAAGACTTAAGAACTCTGCATTTCTGGCTGTTTGAATTCTTTCCTGCTCACTGAGGTTTCTGTTATCTTCTCTCCTAGGCTGACACAGGCAAGAATTTAGTCACGCTCCCCAATACAACTGCCACTGCAATTCTGTGCAGTGACGAGACTATCTGGCTGGAGCCTGAAGTTCTCTTTTCAGGGCCTCGTCAAGGTGAGATGATCTAGAGAAAACTTCACACGGGAGTGAACAAATGTTTCTTTCAAAGAGATTAAGAGTTTTCCTAAGCATGTGCTCTATTTCGTAGCATTTGAGTTTCCTCAAATCAATTACCAGAAGTATTGTGGGAAACCTTACACATATGCGTATGGACTTGGCTTGAATCACTTTGTTCCAGATAGGGTAATTAATCCTTCTTACTAATATTTGAACAGTGCTTTGAGTATATGCTAGTCAAGTAAAGCATATTGACTGATTGCTTGATTGATTTTTCTTTCTCACAAACAGCTCTGTAAGCTGAATGTCAAAACTAAAGAAACTTGGGTTTGGCAAGAGCCTGATTCATACCCATCAGAACCCATCTTTGTTTCTCACCCAGATGCCTTGGAAGAAGATGATGGTAATGAAAGCAATTGTTGTGTCTGAATACTCTTCTTACTGCAGTTCTGTATGTTAGTTCGTTAGGAAAGGAGTAAGGTTGATTATTCCGTAATACTCAAAAACGATCCTTAATACTATAAATAGAGCAGTACTGAAGAATTAAAACTATTTGAAAAGAATTTTCATCTTTTGATCAGGTCTTGTTGATTACCAGTAGAAAAAAATGTCAAAGCACCATTTGGTGTCACGATGGAGCATCAATGTCTGCTCTAGATGAGGGAGAGAAGGAAGAAAAAATGGCAACATGAATTCCAGGTTTTTGCCTTCCCTGACGAAGACATATTTCTAAAAAAATAGCAATTCTAAGAAGGGAAGCTAAGTATTATAGCAGATACAAGAGAATGAGAAGGCAGGTCTGTGAATAGTTTTCATTTGTTCTTTCGGTAAGCTAGGGCTTGAAAAAAGACCCAGAGCCACACCAGCAACTCAGATACAGCAACTCAAATTACAAATCAGCAGTGTTAGTTAACTGCTTCTCAGCTGGGACAGGGAGATAGATTACACTCTATGGGATTAAAATATGGAAAACTAAGAGAAATGAGATAAAGAATTGTGGAGCCATTTCACACTAAATGATTTTATATATCCAGTCGAAGCTGTAAAAGATTTGTTCTCATTTTGTTCGAAGGAAGTCAGCTTCCAGATCGATCTTAGAAACCATACATATGATATATCTTACTGCTTTCAAAGTCTTTTAATACACACTTTTCATGTGATCATCACAGTTTTTACAGTATGTACAGCAGGTGCTATATTTGTATGTTACAGATAAGAACAGATCCATTTATTCAGTGAGTATTTAATGAGTACCTACTACGCTGTAGTCATTGTCATAGAATATTGAGATATAGCAGTGAGCAAGACAGACAAGACTCTCCCTTCTTAGAGCTTACAGTGTAGGTAGGGTACATAAAGAGTTTAAAAGACCTCTTTAGGTGGTCTCATGCCAGGTGGTACAAGAGTCAGAAAAAGAAGTCAGGTCATATGGTTTTCTATATTTGTCAATGTAATACCTCCTATATTATTTCAATGACATTCAATCTATAGCTTGGGCTTTTAAAAACTCAATATTGCCTAATTTACTTCTGATAAACAGGTGTAGTTCTGAGTGTGGTGGTGAGCCCAGGAGCAGGACAAAAGCCTGCTTATCTCCTGATTCTGAATGCCAAGGACTTAAGTGAAGTTGCCCGGGCTGAAGTGGAGATTAACATCCCTGTCACCTTTCATGGACTGTTCAAAAAATCTTGAGCATACTCCAGCAAGATATGTTTTTGGTAGCAAAACTGAGAAAATCAGCTTCAGGTCTGCAATCAAATTCTGTTCAATTTTAGCCTGCTATATGTCATGGTTTTAACTTGCAGATGCGCACAATTTTGCAATGTTTTACAGAAAGCACTGAGTTGAGCAAGCAATTCCTTTATTTAAAAAAAAAAGTACGTATTTAGATAATCATACTTCCTCTGTGAGACAGGCCATAACTGAAAAACTCTTAAATATTTAGCAATCAAATAGGAAATGAATGTGGACTTACTAAATGGCTTTTAATTCCTATTATAAGAGCATATTTTAGGTACCTATCTGCTCCAATTATATTTTTAACATTTAAAAACCAAAGTCCTCTACACTTGATTTATATTATATGTGGCTTTGCTGAGTCAAGGAAGTATCATGCAATAAGGCTTAATTACTAAATGTCAAACCAAACTTTTTCTCAAACCAGGGACTATCATCTAAGATTAATTACAGTAATTATTTTGCGTATACGTAACTGCTCAAAGATTATGAATCTTATGAATGTTAACCTTTCCGTTTATTACAAGCAAGTACTATTATTTCTGATTTTATAATAAGAAAATCTGTGTTTAATCAACTGAGGCCTCTCAACCAAATAACATCTCAGAGATTAAGTTATATATTAAAAGCTTATGTAACATAAAAGCAAGTACATATAGTAGTGACTATATTTAAAAAAACAGCATAAAATGCTTAAAAATGTAATATTTACTAAAATCAGATTATGGGATAATGTTGCAGGATTATACTTTATTGCATCTTTTTTGTTTAATTGTATTTAAGCATTGTGCAATCACTTGGGAAAAATATTAAATTATTAACATTGAGGTATTAATACATTTTAAGCCTTTTGTTTTTAAATTTCTTTTCTTCCAGAGATTGTTTAAAAATAAATATTGACAAAAATAATGTTTTATATCTTAATTCTAGTATCTGTTTTATGCTTGAAAGCATTACAGATCATGATACCTAAGATGATCAGCATGGTGTTTGACTAGGTAAAAATAGGTTGAAGGAACAGACTGACCAGGGTACCTGATGTATCCATTTGATCTTTATTTAGATAAGATGGAAACTCATTTTTTAAATTACAAATACTCAGTAAAGCATACTTTTCAAAGAATAACTAAAAATACAAAAAAGTAGAAATTGTAAAGTAAAATCATACAGAGCTCATCTAAGTTCAACTGCTCTTAAGATTTGGGTACTGGTCTTTTTCTTCTTTTCTATTCCTGTAGATTTTTTTTATGTAATCATTATTTTTCCATCAGTAATTACTAGATAGAACTAAAAATCTCAAAACAGAAAGAGAATGCCAGGGAACTGCATGGAATATGTCACTGTAGATAAATATCAATCCATTGGTTCCTGTCTCTAGACATGATATATGAACAGAATTCCACAAAGAAAACTATTTTTCTATTTTTTAAAAAATGTAGAAAATTAATTACTGAAAAATTACTAAGTTTTAGACTTAATGTCTTCAAATTAAAAAAAAAAATTCCTACAATTCCACTTCCTACCCTTGCCAATCAATGATTCCCTGGCTTCTTCCCATTCATTTTTTATGAAGCAAGTCTCACAATTCAAGGTGACCATATCTCCTCCTGCTGTACGATCCCCTTTAGAGATCACCAATGTGTGAAGAAAGGAAAGAGGCAAATCTACGATAACATTTGGCTAATACCATTTCACCATCATTGGCATTCTCAATTACAATTATCACTACAATTAGAGCAAGGAGACTTAGGAGCTACTTTTCAAGTGCAAGATAGAATATAAGCTTTAAAAACTTAAATTAGAATAAGAGATATTTAAGTTATGTGGGAGAGATTAACTCGTAAATTCGGACTTTCTAGGAAACACCTACTCCTCTGAGCGATCTAGAGAATTATGTCCCATCTATACAAAAGAAAATCTGTTTTCAGAAAAATAACTCAATTGAATTAATATAAATTAACCTGTTAATAAGTAGTTATTTTTAAATAACAAGCTGTTTGAAGCCTATTTTTTCTTCCATTTTTGGTGCCTTATATTTGCCACAGCCAAGACGAAAAGATAATAAAATCTTTGACATAATATCATCAAGGGGTAATCAGTAACTGATAACTGCCTCATGGCAGATAATCTAGACAGTCCCTGTCCTATATTCTAAAGCAGAAAAGACCAACAGACATCAAAGGGAGTCTGTCTTCCAAGGATTCTATGGCAGTATTACTCCATCATCCCACAGTCTGGCTGAGGAGCTAAATGCAGTATTTTCTTCTGTTCAGCCTAATAGGAAGAGTATCAATGATTAGAGATTATAAACATATCCCCTAAGGAATACCAAATCTGGTACAATGCAATCTCAATGAGAAAACAATCTCTGAAAGACAAGAGAAAAAAAAAACCTTATTTATCGAGTGCCTACTATTTACTAAGCATTTTTATTCCTCATACTACACCCATCATGGTACTATTTTCACCATTTTAAAGATGAGGAAAGGGAGGCCAAGTTACGTTCCTAATGAGCAATAAAACCTACAGTTTTGTAGAATTCTGTGAATTTCATATTAGGAACAGATAATAATTGTTAATATATATGCACCTAATAGATCCCTAAAATACATGAAGCAAAAACCGAGAGAATGCAAGGGAGAAAGAGATAATTCAACAATCATAGTTGGAGACCACTTAATGCCTCATTTTCAATATTGGACAGAAGAACTAGGCTGAATATCAAAAAGGAAACAGAAACTTTAACAACACTATGAACCAAGCAGGTCTAACAGACATCTATAGAAGAATCTGCCTAACGATAGCAGAGTAGTCATTCTTCTCAAGCACACATGGAAACATTCTCCAGGCTAGACCATATGTTAGGCCATAAAACAAGTCTAAATAAATTTAAAATTATTTAGATCATACTTAAAATGTTATCTGTCCACAGTTGGGATAAATTAGAAGTCAGTAATGCAAGAAATTTTGGCAAATTCACAAATATGTGGAAATTAAATCGCACACTCTTGAATATCCAAAGGATCAAAGAAGAAATCACAAGAGAAATTACAAAATCCTTTATATAAATGAAAACAAACACAACATACCAAAACTTATGGAATGCAGCTAATGCAGGGCTTACAGTAAAATTTATAGCTGCAAGATACATATATTAAAAACATATACCTTTATTAAAAACAAAAAGCATCTCAAATCAATAATTTAAATATCCACCTTAAGTACTAAAAAAGAACAAACCTCAAATAAGCAGAAAGAAACAATAAAGATTTGAGTGCAAACAAATGAAACAGAAAACAGAAAATAAGAGAGAAGATTAATAAAGCCAAAACAAATTTTTTTTTTTTTTTTAAATATCAGGGTGGGCACGGTGGCTCATGCCTATAATCCCAGCACTTTGAGAGGCCGAGGCAGGTGGATCACTTGAGGTCAGGAGTTCAAGACCCGCCTGGCCAACACGGTGAAACCCTGTCTCTACTAAAAATACAAAAATTAGCCGGGCATGGTGGTGGGTGCCTATAATAATCCCAGCAACTTGGAAGGCTGAGGCAGAAGAATCGCTTGAACCCAGGAGGTGGAGGTTGCAGTGACCCGAGATCATGCCACTGCACTCCAGCCTTGGCAACAGAGTGAGACTCTGTCTTAAAAATGAAAAAGAAAAGAAAAGAAAATATCAACAAAATTGACAAAATGTTTAGCTAGAGTGATCAAGGAAAAAGATAAAAAACTTAAATTACTAAAATCAGAAATAAAAGAAGGGATATCACTAATAACCTTAAAGATAGATATATATATATGGGAATACTATGAACAACAGTATGCCAATAAATTAGATAACCGACGTGGAATAGGCAAATTCCTGGGAAGATATGACCAGCAAAAAGTGACTCAAAAATAAATAGAAAATCTGAATAGACCAATTAGAGTAAAGAGATTGAATTAGTCACGTCAAAACTTCTCAAAATAAAAGCTCAGGCCCAGTGGCTTCACTGGTAAATGGTACCAAACATTTAAAGAATTAATACCAATCCTTCACAAACTTTTCCAAGAAGTAGACATGAATAAAATACTTTCCAACTGATTCTATGAGGCATTTTACCCTAATAACAAAAACAGACAATGGCATAATAAGAAAAGAAAAGAAAGAAAACTACAGAAAAACATCACTTATGAGATCATAAACAAAAGAAAAGGATTCTCAAATTCAAAAATATATAAATATATAAAAAGGCTTCTACACCAAGACAAAATGGGATTTCTCCTAGGAATTTAAGGTTGGTCTAACATCCAAAAATCAATATTAATACAATAATATAATATAATATAATAATCAACATTAATAGAATAAAGGACAAAGCCCATACAATTATCTCAGTAGGTTAAAATATAACATTTGAAAAACATTCAATAATCATTCACGATAAAAGATAAACATTAGAAATAAAAGGGAATTTCCTAATTCTGATAAAGAGTATCTATTTAAAAATCCACAGGTAACATTTTACTTTACAATGGAAGGCTGAAGTTTTCACCCAAATCAGGAACAATACAAGGATGTTTGCTCTCACCACAACTCTTTAACATTGGACAAGAGGTTCTAGTCATAACTATTAAGCCAAAAAGAAAAGATATAATATGTATATGATTGGGAAGAAAGAGTAAGACTATATCTATTCCCAGATTATATAATTTGCATATAGAAACTTCTAAGGAATTCACTTTTAAATGTATATGTGTGTGTGTATATATATATATGAACCAATAAACAAGTTCAGCCAAGTTGCTGATACAAGATCAGTATACAAAAATCAGTTGTATTTATCTGCACCAGAAATGAACAACCTAAAAAATAAAATTGAGAAAGCAATTATGTTTATAATTCAATTTAAAAGAATGAAATAAGTAGAAATAACCTTAAAAGAAGTTCAAGACCTGCATACAAAAACTACAAAACACAGTTGGAAAAAAATAAAGAATTCCTAAATAAAGGAAAAAACATTCCATGCTCATGAATTGGAAGATTTAAAATTATTAAGATGGCAATACAACTCAAATTTACCTACAGATTCAGCTGAATCTTGACCAAAACACTAGCTTCTTTCAAGCAGAAATTGACAAGCCAACTCTAAAATCCATATGAAAATACAAGACACCAAGAGTAGCCAGAACAATTTTGAAAAGGAAGAGCAAAGTTGAAGAACTCACATGTTTTCATTTCAAAGTCGACTACAAGGCAACAGTAATCAAGAAAATGTGGTACTGGCAGAAGGATAAACATATACATTTAGTGAATAAAACTAAGACTCCAGAAATTAACCTTCACATTTTTAATCAGTTGATTTTCAACAGAAGTGCTAAGAAAATTCAATGGGAATTTTTAATGTTAGCCTTAGATAACAGGTATATTCAAAATATGTAAACCACAATATCAAAAACAGCCCAGTAATAAAGAATAACGAAGATACTAAAATTTATAGTCTTAAAAATTGAATGGAAGAATCATAATCTCACAAACTATAAATGTACTTAGTGTCATGTAAGTAAGATGTGTCAAATGAGCACACTTCATTTTTTCCTGACTTCAAGGGAGTTCATTTGTAACTAGCAGACTTTGCATTTAAGAAAAATATTCATAAATTAAAATTATGGTGTGAATACCTAGAGTTTTAGATGAAGTTATGTAAGTCTTAAGGTAAACGCTGAACATAGAGGTTACTACAAGACATGTAATAAAGGAATTTGGCAAGACTCTGTTGCCATCCATATGGGTATGGACAAGTCTCTTCACCTCTGTTCTTCAGTATCCTCAACATTAGAGTAATTGAATGATGCATTAGTCCATTTTCACACTCTTACAAAGATACCACCTGAGAAGGGGGATTTTTGAAGAAAAGAGGTTTAATTGACTCACAGTTCCGCATAGGTGAGGAGGCCTCAGAAAACTTAACAATCATGGCAGAAGGTGAAGGGAAAGCAAGGCATGTCTTCTCATGGCAGCAGGAGAGAGAGAGCAAAGGAGAAAGTGCCACTTTTAAAACCATCAGACCTCCTGAGAACTCAATAACTATCATGAGAACAGCATGAGGGAAACTGTCCCTATGATCCAATCACCTCCCACCAGCCACCCTCCCTCAACATGTGGGGATTACAATTCAAGATGAGATTTGGGTAGGGACACAGAGTCAAACCATATTAGATGACATAATCTTTATGGTTCTTTCTAGCTTTGAAAATTATGTATAAGACAGTAAGGCATAAGGATTATGAGTTCTACATGCACTTAGAATTAGATAATATCCTCAGTATTGACTGATTATCTACTGTGTGCCAGGCTCTATTCCAAGCACCGTGGTGAAAGAAACACACAAATATCCCTGTCCTCATGAAGCTTACCTTCTAGTGGGTGAAGCAGGTAATAAACAATATAAGTAAGTAAAAATAAGTATGTTAGATACTGGTTAGTGTTAAGGGAAGAAAATAAAGTAGGGAAGGGGGACATGAAATGTTGGGAGAAGGTTGAAATTTTAGATAGGATGGCCAGGGAAGGTCTTTCTGACAAGGTGAAAGTTAATCATGTACGAGGGAAGAATCCACAGTAGTAAAGAAGGAGTATGGAGACTGAGGGCAGAGAGTAGTAAAGAAGGAGTATGGAGACTGAGGGCAGAGAGGTAGAGAGCTCTTAGGAACTGGGAGGATATGTGATGACATGCTGACTTGAAAACTGCAAAACATAAAAGAGTTGTGAGCAGAGATGTAAGATGATCCGGTTTACATTTTAATAACATATTTTGGGTACCATTCTCAGACTATATTGCAGAAGTAGGGGAAGCTGTTAGGAAACAATTGCAGTAATCCAGGTGAAAGAGGATGAAGATTTGGACTACAAAAATGGAATGAAAAGTGATAAGAAATAGAATTCTGAATATATTTTGAGGAGAGAGCCAACATAATTTTCTAACAGACTAGGGTGGGAGGAGAATGTAAGGAGTCAAAGATAACTCCAAAATCTTTCTACCCAGCATCTCGAAGGATGTAATTACCATTTATGGGAAAGTTGGCATGAGGATAGTTTAATAATTGTTTATAGATGAATATTAGGAATTGTTTTGAACATGTTAAGTTTGAGATGTCTCTAACTATCCACATGACATATCAAGTAAGTTGCTGGATACAGGTTTCTGGAGGTGAGGAGGGGTCAGAGCTGCAGATATAAATTTGGGAGTCATCACCACATAGTATGGCTTTAGTAGTTAAAGCCATAAAACTAAATGAGATCACCTAAGGAAGAGGTAGAGACAGAGGAAGAAGGGGGTTCAAAGACTGAACTCTAAGTCACGCTAACATTTACCAGTCAGACAGATAAGAATGAATTAGCAAAGAAAGAGCAAAAAATATATAGGAGAAAAAGAAAACAGACAGGGTGGGTGTTATGGAAGCAGTGTTTCAAAAACAAGTGAATGATCAAACATGCTAAATGCTGCAATCAATCAATTTAGAAGAGGATTGGAATTGACCTCTTACTTAGCAATGTGGAAGTCATTGGTTTAACTTTAAGAGAAGTTTCTGTGGAATGGTGGTAAAAAAATACTTGATTGGCATGGATTCAAGAAAAAATTAGAGGAGGAAATTGGAAGTACAGAATAAAGCACAAAAAATGCCTTAAACAAGTTTTTCTGTAAAAGAAGGGAGAATAATGAGAAGATAACTTGAGACAGACTGGGATTCAAAAAGGTGGGTTTTTTTAATTGAATAAATTGCAGAATATTTGCATGCTGATAAGAATGATCTTGTAAAGAAAAAATGACGATTTAATAGGGAAATTCTAGGATAATATCGATAGACAAAGGATGGAATCTAGAGCACATATACATTGGATAGCTTAATAAAGTTTAGAATCTATGCAACAAAGTTATAATGACAGTCATGGAATTTAAGCAGAGTAAGATTGTAAAATAGAACATTATAGTGGTTACAGTGAGTGGATTATTGGTCGTGTCAGACCAAATTATTTTTGAAATCAGGGAAACAAGAGGTGGTGGTTGCAAAGTAGAATGTCTGCAATTGAGAGTTTGCAGTAAGGAGTATGATAAGATCAAGGATAGAACATGGGATTGAGTGGCTAAAGAGGAGTTAGAGGAGGTCAAGCAATTTATCACAACAAATCACTAAAAATTACCCAAATGAACGTCGAAATTCTCCAGAATTATGATGAGAATGAAGTTGGATGGAATGAGTGACCCAAGAGGTAAAATGTTCAGGGAATGAAAGTTAGCAATCTGGGAGGTATTAAACTAATTACGTTAGGTGAGATGATGGATAAAGAGTACAGTCTGAGAACATGAGATTCAAGCTGGGCGTTTTCCATGGAGGAGAAAGGGAGAAGGGCCTAGAAATCCCAGGATAGGAGGGGTCTGGGAAATAAAACACTCAACATTAGAAAAGGCAGTAGAAATATAGTATTATATAGAGCCAGGTTTTGGTTACAACAAAAAGAAGAAGAGAAAGTTGACAAATGAAATTTAAGATAAGGTTTTATTGCTGATTCACAGAGAATTCTAGGGCTTCAGCAAATGGGGGAGGAGGAGATTGGGACAGAAAAGACAGTGTCTAGTGTCTTAAAGAATTCAAGTCCAGAGTATGGGACAGACCAAGAAATATATGAACAGTGATGCAGGGCATTGTGATATTATTTCTGGTGTACCAGAAGCATAAAATGGCAGAGAGGCTATGAATGTTTGAGGGAGAAAGATGTGGAGGTGTCTTGCCAGAGCAGGAACTGTTCAGAGCCTCATACCTGGTTCCCACAGATGGAGATGAGATACCTGCAGAAGGGAAGGCTTATTCTGAGGACGCAGGCACTATCTTGAGCCTTGCTGATGGTGGGTGCAAAGCATGGTCTTACTCGATGGCTAGCCACTCCCTTGCCCTCTACCAAATGGCAGCCTGAAGAGGGGGTCATCGTAGTTACTTACTCATTCACTCACTCACTTTCTATGTACTCAGCACTCTTCCAAGCATTTTCCGTTCATTAACTCATTTAATCCTCATAATAACTTTCTGAAGTTGATACTACTTATCTCTGTTTACAAATAAGGAAACTGAGACACAAAGAGGTTAATTAACTTGCTCAATAGCCGGTAAATAGGAAAACAATTTGCATCAGCCTGGTTCGACAGTCTGTGATTCTAACTATACTATAGTTGACATTTCTGTTGATTAAACAGATGTAGAAAAATGTAATGAGTTCCCTCAAGTTCATCTATTTACTTACAGAGCAGAACTAGGTCACAATACAAGACTCCCAAAATTTCTTATTTTCTTTGACATCACTATGTCTTTCATCACCATGATTATAACATTATAACAAACTGTATCTACTTTTACCTTTGACTATCAAAAGTATTTCTAAGTACAGGACCATAGTTGGCATTAATATTCCTGTCACCTTCTTGGACTGTTCCTGGAATTAAGACACCATTTGGAATTGCTTCTGTACTCTTTAGTCCTTACAGGAAAATGTGAAAAATCATCTTATGCAACCTACTATTCAAAATACCTCACATGTATTACCACAGCATAGCTTTTGATGCGAAAGCAACCACCAATTACCTTGTGATCTTTGGTGCAGCTGTGGCCATCTTGGAAGCCTGGGTTCTCAGTCTTCTGGCAAGATCTTCTGCCTGCAAGGAGGACATATTGAAAAGGAATTATCCAGCCGGGCTCAGTGACTCATGCCTGTAATCCTAGCACTTTGGGAGGCCGAGGCAGGAGGATCACTCAAGGTCAGGAGTTTGAGACCAGCCTGGCCAACAGGGCAAAACCCTGTCTCTACAAAAATACAAAAAAAAAAAAAAATTAGACAGCCACGGTGGCACACACCTGTAGTCCCAGCTACTCAGAAGGCTGAGGCAGGACAATCACTTGAACCGGGAGGGAGAGGCTGCAGTAAGCTGAGATCATGCCACTGCACTCCAGCCTGTGTGACAGAGTGAACTCCGTCTCAAAAAAAAAAAAAGAAAAGAAAAGAAAAAGAATTATGCTACAAGGTCTACTCATCTAGGAAGTCATCCTAAGTATCACCGATTGGCCAAAGGCTAACTAAATAGAGAAAATCAAGAGCACAAAATTAAATTTAAAAAATCTTCATTAACAGCAACAAGAACAAAACTGAAGAATGCAATAAACAAGGGTATGGGTTAGAGATAATGATTTCAAAAAGTCTCTATAAAAATAGAGGACTGTAGAAGGGAGGCCACTTAGGGGCCATTCCTGGAGTATACAATATATGATTAACTTAAGGTACAGTGTCATAAATAACTACGACAATTATAAAATCTGAAATAGACACTATTTACTGACCTCTTCCTATGTGCCATGCTAGGAGTTTTACATGGTTTTGCATGCTGAATTTTCCTACCAAGCTAGAAAGGTTGGTTTTATTATTTTTTTTATTTTACAGCCAAGAGAATCAAAGCTCAAGAGAGGCCAGATAACTTCCCAGTGATGAGATCAGGATTTGAAACTGTGTCTGTCTAGTTCTAAATCCTGGTTCCGGATCCTGTGGGGACTTCATTTTTCAGAGGGGAAAAAAACTAAAGCTTTAATATAACAGTGCTATCAGGATTTTTTAAAACTATTAGATAGGAACATATTTAATTCTTCCAGAGACTAAGTAACAAAGTGACTTCACCATTTTATTGCTGGAGTTAATAAAAAGAAACATGAAATAAAAGTATTAGCTCTGCTTTTGAAAACAAACCTATCAGGGACTTTTTCTGTAAGAACCTGTCAAACAAAATTAAACTGTGATTTCAAAGGGAATAGAAATGTCTGTTTTGCTTATTGTTTAACTCCCACTTCAGACACGAGCTGAGCACATTAAACCCACTCAAGAAATATAATATTCGTTGAAGGAGTGATTGCTAAAAGATTTCATTGATGCCAGGTCAAAAAGTATCAGAAGCACTTATTCTGCTGAACTTTTCAACAAAAAAATTACAGAAAGCCCATTTATTCACAAGACTCAAGCCTTTTTTGACAGCATTTAAAAATCTCCTTCCAAAGTGACATATCTGTGAGAGGTTTGTTCTGTGCTGACACTGTAGGGTGGTGTTCAGGAGAAACAGGATTGGGATGTTTCTGTAACTACACAAATTGACAAAGTGGCTCTCTTTAAGTGGCCTGGTATGTTAACTCACCATTATTTCCCACTATTCCAATCAGATATCTGCTAAAAGAAAAATACAAAGTCACCACGTAGTCTTATGCATTCTCTAATTCTGTTCTAACCATTACAGAGGTTTTTTTGCTTTGGGTCTTTTTTTTGGGACGGAGTCTCTCTCCGTTGCCCAGGCTGGAGTGAAGTGGCGCGACCTCGGCTCACTGCAAGCTCTGCCTCCCGGGTTCACACCATTCTCCTGCCTCAGCCTCCCGAGTAGCTGGCACTACAGGCGCCCACCACCACGCCCGGCTAATTTTTTGTATTTTCAGTAGAGGCGGGGTTTCACAGTGTTAGCCAGGATGGTCTCGATCTCCTGACCTCATGATCCGCCCGCCTCGGCCTCCCAAAGTGCTGGGATTACAGGCGTAAGCCACCACGCCTGGCCTAACCATTGCAAAGTTTTTTAAAGTTCTTCATGAGTCTTCACTCAAGAACATGACTGTGGAAATCTGCATCTTGCTTTTCTGTAAATGACAGAAAAGCAACAAAGAGAACAACAATAACAAAAACCCTGCATACTCCATTTGCAATAACATATATAATCTAAACACTTCAAAATAAGCATAGGGCTACGAAAGTAACTGAGAAAGGACAGAAGGAATAAGGGAAGAGGTTTAAAAAAACAAAAAGCAAACAGAGTAGAGAGAGATCCTGAGGTTAAAAATAATGAACTTTCATTACCATGGTTTACATGGCAAGTACAAAGCTTACAAAAATGGGTGCAAGAGGCAAGAAGAGCTGGTGGACTAAGTCTTCCTGGATTTATTTGGTAAAGACAACCTGAAACGATAGGGCTGCACAGAGATCCACACAGCTGAACCATATTTGCAGGAAGCAATTTGTGCCTAAAGGAGCAGCACAGAAGAGAGTCGTTAGGGTGTGAAGCTGGAATACAGCCCTGGTTCCCCATTAACCCTCCCCAAACACACAAAAATAAATCCCTGAAAATTGCTGATCCAGAAAAATCCAACTCAATAATTGATAGATAAATAAGTTTCCTACCACTGCCATAACGAATACCTTAAGTATTCGTGTGGCTTAAAATAACAAAAATTAATTGTCTCACAGTTCTGGAGCCTGGAAGTCTCAGATCAAGATGTTGGCAGGGCTGTGTTCCCTCTGAAACCTATGAAGGAATCCTTTCTTACCTTTCTTACTTTCTGGTGGCCCCAGCATGCTTTGGTTTATGGCAGCATACTTCCAATTCTCAATCTTTAGATGGCATTTCCCCTGCGAATCATCCCATCATCTTCCCTATGCATTTTTGTCTCTGTGCCCAAATTTCTCCATTTTTTAACTTTTATTTTAGGTTCGGGGTACATGTGACATGTGCAGGCTTTGTTATATAGGTAAACTAATGGCACAGGTCTTGTTTTACTGACTATTTCATCACCCAGGTACTCATCCTAGTACCCAATAGCTACTTTTTCTGCTCCTCTCCCTCCTCCCACCCTTCACTGTCAAGTAGGCCCTAGTGTCTCTTGTTCCCTTCTTTCTGTACATGAGTTCTCACCATTTAGCTCCCACTTACAAGTGGAAACAAGTGATATTGGTTTTCTGTTTCTGCATTAGTTTGCTAAGGATAATGGCTTCCAGCTCCATCCATGTTCCTGCAAAATACATGATCTCATTGTCTTTCTGGTTGCATAATATTTCATGGTGTATATGTACCACATTTTCTGTATCCATTCTGTCACTGATGGGTTTTTAGGTTGATTTCATGTCTTTGCTATTGTGAATAGTGCTGCAGTGAACACTCACATTCTTGTGTCTTTATGGTAGAATGACTTATATTCCTCTGGATATTTACTTAGTAATGGGATAAATTCCCCCTTTTAGTAAAGACATCAGTCATATTGGATCAGCATCCATCCTAATAACCTCAATTTAACTTGATTACTTTATAAATAACCTGTTTTCAAAGAACATAGCTTGCTGAACTACTGCGGGTTAGGGCTTCACTGTTTTTTTAAGAACTACCCATAACGATGAATAGTAAGAGGAAACTAGCACGACATTGATAAAAGACAAAAAAAGTGGAAAGTGCCGCAAAACTTTGCCGAGAAATAAAAAACTCACCACAAAAGGTGCACAGGAATAAATGACAATTAACAAGAAATGTGTGAGATATTTATGAAGTTGACTTTAAAACACTACTGAAACATAAGAAGAAATCAAAGGAAAGCTGGAGGACAGACTAATGGACAGAATCACGTTAATAAATCTGTGTATCAGAGACTTCATGTTAGAGGTGTATGATAATGACAACAATTATCAGCTTCCACTGCATCTTGGTGTAACTTCTGAACACTAAGATGTAAGTACAATTATGAAATTGGGACTTCTCCTTAACAATAGGGGCTGATTTCTTCCACTACTTCTTTTCCCCTTCATGCTAGCTGGAGTGAGGATGTGCTAGGGAGTCACTTTGGGCCCTGTAGATGAAGGCAAAAGACCAGTCCTGGAGGACCACTCAGATGGAAAAAGAGTGAGAATAATGCTGAAACCCAGAAATTGTAGACAAAAAACTACAGTCCAACCTGACTAGCATATTGCTATGAAATTTTTAAATAAAATACTAACAAATGAAACCCAGCAACACATTAAAAGAATGATGTATCTTGACCCATGTGGGGTTTATTCAGGGTTGCAAAGATGGCTCAATATTAGAAAATTTATTATATTAAATAATTATACTAGTATATCTAATAAAAATTGTATAATCATCTCCAAAAATGCTAAAAAGCATTTGGAAAAATTCAACAATCATTCTTAGTGGAAATACTCAATGAACTATGCATATGTGGATATTTCCACAACATAATTAAACATATCTACTTTAGTCCAAATGCCAACATCATGCTTAATAGAGAAAAACATCTCTAATGTGAAAAACATCAGGATACCCAATATTTCCAATGTTAATATTTTTTGTAAATATGCCAACCACATCAATTAGATGAGACAAAGCCTTTAAAGTGTTGGAAAAGAAAAGGTAAAACTAACACTATTTATGGATGATATGACGAAATACTCAAAACAATCAATTTTTAAAAACACTAGAAACAATTTGAGAATCAAAAAATATGGTGGATACGAGCTTAAAACATAAAAAGTATTAATACACTTGTTACCACTAATAACCAGTTAGAATGTAGTAGAGAAAAAAGTCCTTTATAATAAGAACAAAGATGAAATGCTTAGGAGCAAACTTAAGAAACGTGTGAAATTTATATGAAAACTACTTTAAAACATGACTGCTATTATCTTAACTGTAGTGATGTAGTAATGGATACACAAACCTACACATACGATAAAACCATATGTAATTACACACACACGAGTGCAAGTAAATTTGGATAAATCTGAATAAAATAAGCAGATTATATCAATGTGAATATCCTGGTTGTGCAGGTATACTATAGAAATGTTACAGATTTACAAAATGTTAGCATTGGGGGAAACTACACAACATTTACATCTATCTCTCTGTATTTTTGCCGTTGTTGTTATTTAAGATGGTGTCTCCTCACTCTGCTGCCCAGGCTAGAATGCAATGGATCTCGGCTCACTGCAACCTCCACCGCCCGGGTTCAAGTGATTCTCCCTGCCTCAGCCTCCTGAGTAGCTGGGATTACAGGCGCTGGCCACCAGCCTGGCTAATTTTATATATATATATACACACACACACATATATATATACACACACATATATATACACACACACATATATACATATATACATATACACACACATATATATACACGTGTGTATATATATACATATGTGTATGTGTGTATATATATATATACACACATATGTGTATGTGTGTGTGTGTGTGTGTGTGTATATATATATATATATATATATTTTTTTTTTAGTAGAGATGGGGTTTCACCATATTGGTCAGGCTGGTCTCAAACTCCTGACTTCAGGTGATCCGCCGTCTTGGCCTCCCAAAGTGCTGGGATTACAGGCGTGAGCCACCTTGCCTGGCTTCTCTGTATTATTTCTTACACTGAATGTGAATCTTCAATTATATCATTAAAATGTAAATTAATAAAACACTACTGAAGGACAAGTAGATTTAGACAAATATTACACAAATACATACCATTAAAGAAAAAAATATACATACCAAGCTCTGTGGCAGGAAGACCCATCAATATGTTTATTATCCCTAAATCACTTTAAATGTTTAACACCCTTCAAATTAATATGCTGAACATTTTTTTAATCAGACAAATTGATTCCAAAGTTCAAATGAAAAAATAAACAAATGAGTATGCCAGGAAAACTTTGAAAAAGCAGAGCAATTAGGGAGGACTTGCTGTTCCAGATATTAAAACAAGTATAGGCTTCAATAATTAAACAGTGTGCTACTGGCACATGACTCAGTAGATAATCCAATGCAGCAGAATAAAACTGCAGAATTAGCATAAATATATACAGCACTCTTAAAAAATCTTAATTCAGTAGAGAAAATTTGAACTTCAAAAACAATATCATAGCAAATAGATATCATTTCTCAGAAAAAAAAGCTGGTTTTATATCACGTCATGTCCACCAGGATAAATTTCGGATGTATCAATTATTTATTGTGTAAAAAAAACCCATTAAAGTAGTTAAAGAAAAAATAGGAAGTCCTTTATGACTTGCAGTGGGGAAGGCATTTCTAACTGTAACTCATAAAAGAAAAAAATACAAAAGTTTGGCTCTTAAAAAGTGCTCTGCATGTCTAAAAAAATCACCATTAAGAAAATCACAGGAAAATATTTGTAACTCATATCAGAGATCTTAAAGAGATAAAATATAAATGCTCCTGGGACTTAATTAGCAAATGACCAACAATTCAACAGAATAACAGGCAAGGAATATGAATAGACAATTTACAGTTAATAATATATAAATGGTCCTCAGATATTTTTAAATGCTCAACCTCATCCATACTAAGTGAAATGAAAATTAAAAGCATTTAAAAACACCATTTCTCACATATAAGATTGGTAGGAAAATCCAAGTTTGATATACACATCCTATTGTCAATACTGCGGGGAAGCAGAAACTCCCAGACAGTACAAATGAGAATACAAATCAACAGAAGCCCCATGGAGAGCAATTTAGCAATAACTATTGCACCTTATCTTTTTAAAAAGGACTTTGTCAGACACTTTTCACTGTTTACCATGTGAAATCAAGATGCATCTTACAATCAATAACATTGTGCAGTTATAATTGACAGTTTGTTTATTAATGGAACATAAAATAATTATGCTTCTGGAAATAAATGTCAGCTTAGATTTAATGAAATACAGTATCAAAATTGTAAATGCGTTTACCTATTGACTGGTCATCTCCACTTCCAGAAATTTATCCTACAGATATATCTGCATATATGTAAAATGACACATACACAGATAGACATTGCAATACTATTTGTAATAACAAAATATTGAAAATAGCATAAATATTCATCAACGTGGAACTGGTTGAATAAATTGTGGTGCATCTACACATTGGAATACTATGTAGCTATAAAAAATATGCAATATTAAATGAAAAAATAAGTTGCAGAAGAACATATATATGTAGAGAGAGGAAGAAAGGGAGGGAGAGAGAGACGTTTTGAGTTAAAAAAAAAACAATGAGGAATGTATTTATATGTGTGTGTTTATGGTTAAAGAAACTGGAAGGATAGACTAGAAACTACCATTATTAAGTGGGGGTAAGGCAGATAGAAATTGAATAGAAAGGATATTTTTCACTGTGTAACTATGTATTTTTTAGTTTTGTCTTTCAAATAAAGTGAATACTATTCATTTAAAATTAAAAATGAAATATTTCACATCAATTACAAAAGCTAAATAATGATTTCACATATAAAATTCAAAGAAACATATGACCAAAGCCAAAAGAAATATAGAAGAAATAGCTGCATTATCTTTAAATTATTCCTCTGTGTGATAGACAAACTAGTGGCTCCCCAAAGGTGTTCACATCCTAACTGCTTAAACCCTTGTAAATATGGTACATTATACAGCAAAAGGGATTTTGCAGATGTTATTCAAGTAAGAATTTTTAAATGGGGAGATTATTGTGGATTATCTGGATGCACCCAATGTAATCCCAGAGTCTTTATAAGGGAGGCAAAAGGGTCAGAATCAGAGGGAAATAGACAAATGAGATTATTATTATTAAAAAGGAAAGAATCAAAAGAGTGAAGAGACAACATGCAGAATGGGAGAAAATTTTTGCAAACTATGCATTTGACAAGTAGTTAATATCCGAAATATATAAGGAACTCAAACAACTCAATAGCAAAAAATAAATAAATAATCCAATTTAAAATGGGCAAAAGATCTGAACAGACATTCCTCAAAAGAAGACACACGAATCGCCAATAGGCATATGAAAAAAATACTCAACATCACTAATCATTAGAGAAATGTAAATCAAAACCACAATAAGATATTAGTACAGCCACTATGGAAAACAGTATTGAGGCTCTTCAAAAAATTAAAAATACAGCTGCCATATGATCCAGCAATCCCACCACTGGGCATATGTATCCAAAGGAAAGAAAATCAGGATGTCAAAGAGGTATCTGTACTCCCAAGTTTTTTGCAGCACTATTCACAATAGTCTAGATATCGACTCAACCTAAGCGTCCATCAGTGGATGAATGGATAAGGAAAATGTGATATATATATATATATGTGTATATATGTATACATATATATACAATGGATTATGATTCAGCCATAAAAAGAATGAAATTCTATCATTTGCAACAACATAATGAACCTGGAGGACATTATGTTAAGTGAAATAAGCCACGCACAGAAAGAAAAATACTGCATGATCTCACTCATTTGCAGAATTTTAAAAAGCTGATCTTCTGGAAGTACAGAGTACGGTAGTGATTACTAGAAGCTGGGGTGGGTAGTGGAGAGGGAGAGTTGGGGAGAGACTGGTCAAAAGGTACAAAATTGCAGATAGGAGGAGTAAGTTCTGATGTTCCATTGTTCCATTGCTTAGGAGGATGACTATGGTTAAAAATATTGTAATATGTATTCCAAAATAACTAGAAAAAAAGAATTTTGCCAGTTTTCCTGCAATTCAGGGGACAATTTACACAAAGAATAACCCTGTATTCTTCAAGGCTTCAAATATCCTGCCAGACACAGGTAGATGAAAAAATCTGTTCACAATTTTTAAAGCCTAGAGTATAACTCAATTTTATAAAATAAAAAAAGTATTTTAAGATTATTCTTCATTGGTTTGAAATTTTGGTTTATTACCATTTCATATGATCGTGCTACTGATGGCAAAACAACTGAGCTGCCAATACAGCAGAACTAGATTAATCTATATTTTCAGCTGTTATAGTCACGGTGATTTCCCATGAAGGTGCAGGTATCTGAGTATTCATTCCGTATTCTGTTTTTGCTTTTTTTATTATTATTTTTATTTTTTGAGATGAAGTTTCATTCTTGTTGCCCAGGCTGTAGTGCAATGGCATAATCTCAGCTAACTGCAACCTCTGCCTCCCGGGTTCAAGCGATTCTCCTTCCTCTGACTCCCAAGTAGCTGAGATTATAGGCACCTGCCACCACACCAAGCTAATTTTTGTATTTTTAGTAGACACAGGGTTACACCATGTTGATCAGGCTGGTCGCCAACTCCTGATCTCAGGTGATCCACCCTCCTCAGCCTCCCAAAGTGCTGGGATTACAGGCATGAGCCACTGTGCCTGGCCTTCATTCTGTATTCTAATGAAGTTGTGCCCCTGTATTTACTATTAAAATTCATATTATTTCAGTAAAATTTGGTTTTCATTTTTTTCTCCCTCACACTGTAATAGAATATTATCTTGTCTTTTAAAATTATATGCACAGTTAGATTATATCATCTACATATTTTACTTCATGTTAAAAAGGCGAAGCCATTGTCCATGTTATGAAAAGCAAGCTTTGAGACTGCTAAGGTAAGAAATTATTCTCTAAGGCACAACTGTCCTATAGAACGTCTTGCAATGATGTAAGTGTTCTATATTTGCACTGTCCTATATGATACACACCAGCCAGTGTAGCTACTGATCACTTGAAATGTGGCTAGTGTAACTGAGGAACTGAATATTTATTTTAATTTTTAACTTATAGAAATTTAAATTACTATGCACATATGGCTAGTGACTTCCATATGGATCACATAGCTTTAGAATCTCTGCACGCATCTGGTCCTATGGTTGAAACAGGTAATTTGAACTAACGCTAGATTCAGAGCCATTCAGATGTTAACTGAGCAGACACAGTCCATGTCATAATGTCATACACTCCACAAACAAGTCTGCAAAATACTACCTTCATTTTAAAATCAATTCACCATAACATTAGCACTTTACATTGCATTTAACTATATTTTCTTATTTAAGCCTTGATAAACACCACAAGATCAGTGGGATCATTCCTATTTTGCAGACAAATATGTCTGCAAATATGTCTGCTAGTAAGTAGCAGAATGGGGATTCAAACCCATGTCTATCTAGTGCCAAAATAATTGTACTTGAATGTAAATGGCACAGTTGTCCAGAGAAAGAAGAAGTCAGTAGGGTCTGAAGCTCTTGGACAAGGCATTATAGAGTAGCATCATTTTGAACAGCTTTTGAAGAACAGGGAATACAGAGTTTTTGAGGAATAAGGACAAGCACACCAAACAAAGGAATACAGACAAATTCAACTTGGGCATGGTATGAGCCTCTTAATACTGAGAAGGATAAATGGGGTTCGTGACAGAGAAAAGTATGACTATGTTTGGACTAATTCAGAGACGCCTGGGTGAGGGTTTTTGGTTTGGTCTGCTAGGATATGAGAAACCATTGTTGATCTTTAAACACATGAGTCAAATTATTTGTATAGTATCTGGCCAAGTTCAGCCTATTCTCTCTTTCATTATGGTTGGAATGATTACCAAATAGTTTATTTTTAACAGAAAAAAATGCAGATAACATTTCTTAGTAGAATCTGTCCTGTGCTATAAATCATTGAAAATTCTCATTTCTATAAATAAAGAACATATATACATAATTGAAGCATGGTTTGGAAATAAGCATTGCTTCATTTGCTGGTGATATGGATTTTTATCATGTATAAAAATACTGGCTTTGTTTTGAATGCTTTCATCAGCTGCATCATTTAAATCTCCTGGGTAGTTGCTACAAATAGCTTTTATCGGTTATCTAAAGTAATAAGACTCAAATGTAAATGAGAAAAGTCATTATTCACACAAAGTCTTAGTGAACTAGAATGTGAGGGAGCTGTTTCTCCACATACAGACAGTGGTGGGAAGACCAGGGCAGTTTTTCTGCCTGCAAGTGGTAGACAGCATTTGGAGATGGACTTGAGTTTGAATCCTGGCTCTTCCATTCCTGAGCTAATTCTAGTGCCCCACTGGAAGAAAGGGATTGATGAGAGTACCTACTTCTCAACGTTACTGTGAGGATGAAAGGAAAGAAAGCTCATAAAATGTTAAGCACAGTATCTAGCACTAAGTGAAGCTGAATAAAGTGTTGATTGTGGTGATGGTATTTCATGGTGGTGGTTGTTGTTTCGGGATCTTATCAAATTTTCTCTCAAGCAGGAGAAAGGACCTTAGAGTCAAATGGGGACCTGGATGAGAATCCACGTTCCTCCACTTACTATTTTTGTGAACTTTAGAATAGTTCATTTAATATGGTAATAGCATTTTATAAAATGGGAATAATAATGGCAAATACCTTATTTCCTTCTCTAGAAAAAACTTATCTTTCTTTATATAATTCTTGACAACTTATCCTTCTTTATATAATTCTTGACATGCTGCCAGATTCTTGGGTTCTCAATAAGGTGTATTTTATCACTAATTGATAGACTGTACTCAAAACATCGAAGAACAGGGGTACAGGGGCTGTGTTCGAAGGAGCCTTGCATAACCCATTTTCAGGCACATGGTAGATGTTTAATAAATACTTATTAATTTTAGTGGAATTTTACTCACTCTAAATGTTCACTCTGTAAGATCTTTCCAGAGCATGTGATTGCCTAAATACTCCCTGAAATATGTCATTCACTGTTTAGCTCTAAGAGGGTAAAACAATTACTGTTTTATAGTTAGCTAGATTTCAAAATATAATTGATTGTCACAATATACATTGGTAAGGTAGGTAGTATTCCTGATTTGCTTGTTTGCTTTTTAGCTCTTTTTTTTAAAGAGTAAACTAAAGTTCAGAAAATGTAAGTAACTTGCTCAAATATCCTCAAGTTGTCAGTAGTGGACAAGAGACAAAACACTATGTAAATTCAAATTCCATCCTTTTTTTTTTTTTTTTTTTGAGACCGAGTTTCACTCTTGTTGCCCAGGCTAGAGTGCAATGGCGCGATCTTGGCTCACCGCAACCTCCGCCTCCTGGTTTCAAGCTATTCTCCTGTCTCAGCCTTCGTGAGTAGCTGGGATTACAGGCATGTGCCACCACGCCCGACTAATTTTGTATTTTTAGTAGAGATGGGGTTTCTCCATGTTGCTCAGGCTAGTCTCAAACTCCCGACCTCAGATGATCTGCCCGCCTCAGCCTCCCAAAGTGCTGGGATTACAGGCGTGAGACACTGCGTCCGGCCCATCCTTTTTTACCGTTGTTCACTGCCTCTAAATCAAGCAAAAATTTTAAAAGGCAAAACCACAGCCCAGTTGGAGGTGTAGAAAAAGCTGAAGAAGGCTCATATTAATGTCTACATCTGTTACTACCTATCAATGATTGCATCCCCCTTCAAAGTAAATTTGATAGATCTCAGCAGAGTGAAAAGGAATAATACAAATCCTGGGTTCTAGCCCTATTTTGCACTTCACAAGCTATGCAGTCTGATGTGAGCCACCTACACAAATGCTCTGATTGGAAGCTTGTACACATAGTCGGGATAATTATCTCTGCCCTATCAGCCTTCCAAGATTGTTGTAAAAGATGTAAGATGACATATATAAACATCTTTGGTAAATTGAGAGGAAGGATTCAAATGCAAGACACTAATTCAAATAATGTAACAGTTATGACGATAATAAATGAACCAATTATCAGTAATGTTTAAAAATCAAAAACTAAAGAAACAAATTAGAGGCCAATGCCAAAGAAAAGGTAAGGTCACTTTCACTTCTATTATTGAAAGCAGCGTTTTGTCATCTACACAGGTTGCTCGGGAAACCATTGCCAGTGGATTACAAATCCCTTGACTACCAGCTCTGTTCTCCAACACACACACACACACACACACACACACACACACACACACACACAATTCACATTGTTCTCTTAATACAGACTCACTTCACAAAATGCCTTAGGAGGAGTCCCAGTGGGGTTTGGGAATGGAGAATCAAAAAATCAGAGCGGGCTTCTTGGGAAAAGGAGGAGAAACAAACGGGGTCATAAGTTATGTTAAGTTCCCCCTGTTTCCTGCAATCAAAAGGGAAGGTCTGTGTATCTGCAAGAACAGAAGCCACGAGGAAACACCATCCTCAGCATATGACCAGCATTAAAAATTCACTGTGCATCCATAGAACACAAGGTCCCCCATGTAACTCTTTGGAAGCCATAAGGGAAATAAAAGCTCTTCAACATGTTCAGGCCATTCACCATTTGAAAAGAGCTTTTGATTCTCAAAAAAAATGCTATGAAGTATGCAAGGCAAGTATTCTTTGTTCTTTCAAGTATTTCACTCAGCTAGTATTTATTGAACAACCACTGTGTACCAAGTACTGTCTAGACCAGTAGAACTTTCGGTGATGATGGAAACGTTCTATTTTGTGCTGTCTAGTGCCATAAATGAGAGCCACATGGTTACTGTGCACTTTAAATGTGGCTAGTGTGACTGAGGAACTGAAGTTTTTTGTTTGATTGATTGTTTGTTTGTTTGTTTGTTTGTTTGAAACAAAATCTTGCCCCTGTCACTCAGGCTGGAGTGCAGTGGTACAATCATAGCTCACTGCAGTCTCAACCTCCTGGCTGAAGCAATCCTCCGCCTCAGCCTCCTGAGGAGCTGGGACCACAGATGAGCGCTAACATGTCCGACTAATTTGTTTTTTCCATTTTTTGTAGAGATGGGGTCTCCCTGTGTTACCCAGGCTGGTCTCAAACTCCTGGGCTCAAGTGATCCTCCCACCCAGCCTCCCACAGTGCTGGGATTATAAGCATGAGCCCCAGAGCCCAGCTAGAAGTTTTAATTTGTATTTTCATAAACAAGGAAAGCCAGTCTCAACAAGCGTATTACTGCTGTCACCAAGATGTTCCTTCCCCACCCACACTCTTCCTTCTCAAGGATAAAGGCCCAGCGCTAAAGCTGCTCTCTTTGCTTGGGCCTTGCCCCTGACTCTCGTAAGTGCCCATGTGGATGGCCAGCCTGCTCTATCTGAGAAGACACCCCCCACAGACCTCCAGGATGGGCTTGGCCACAGCCCCAGGTGCATGCCTTAGTTTCCTTATTCTGGTCACCTGGATTGTCTCATCACCTACTGAGCTCAATATTTCTAAGGTGTTGCTGCCTCTGCTCTGGAGAAGTTTATAATATGTATAAACAGGTAAGATATATCTCCAGGAGCCAGCAAAAAAGATTTTCCTGAAAAATGCATCCTAGGATGCAGAGAAAAAGAAAGACACTAAGCTAAGCAAGGATTATGTGATGGGGATGTTAAAGATGAGTGAAGTAAAAAGAAAAGGATTTCTCATTCATGTCTGTGCTATTCATTTTAAGGGTACAGAACAGATAGCAATAATATCAATATTGACAGCTAACATATATTGAACACTTACTATCTGCCAGGGTTCAGTTTAAGTATTCACATGTGTTATAGCATTTCATCCTTCCCAATCCCTATTTTACTGATAAGAAAGCTGAGGTACAAAGAGGTTATGTGACTTGCCCAAAATCTCACTTCTTATTAGGATTATAGTTAGGATTTGGACCAAGGCTATCTGGTTCCAGAGTTTCCACTGTTCACCACCAGCTCTGCTGCTCCTCAGTATTAAGCTGCTGCTATCACTCTACTACTAATCCTACTTCTAATCTCTTCCGAATTATTCTCCTTCTCTTCCTGCTTCTCCTTTCCTCTCCTCTTCCTCTCTCCTTCCTTTTACTCATTCCCGTATTGCTGCTGCTGCTGCTGCCGCTGCTACTACTACTACTATCACTACTACTATTACTAGTACATCATACTGGTTAAGAGCACAGTTTCTGAAACCAGATTGTTGAGGTTTAAAATTTAGCTTCACCATTCACAGTTAATGACTTGGCAAGTTTCTTAACTATTCTGTGACTTAGTCTCACCCATAAAACAAGGGTGATTACAGTACCTATTTCATAGAATTATTCTGATGATCAAATAAAGTAATATATGTCAAGCAATTAGAATAGGTCCTGGCACATAGTGAAAGCTCAAAATAGGGTATTTTATTACCATTTCAGCTTAGTTGGAACAATTCACATAGTTATTGGAAGGTTTGTTTGTAGTTTACTATAATTACATCTGTTTAAATTATTTCCTAGAACACCTGGTCAAGGAACACCATTCATTCTTGGTCCAACAGGCTTTTGGTGTCATTCTAAAATAATGAAAATAATGAAACATATAGACAATAATACTGAATTTATTAAGCCAGTTGTTCTCACATCTCTCCAGAAATTAAAAATTCATGACTGTGCCCAGCACATTTAAACACAACCAGTGGATATTCATTAACTATCTGTGATGATGATACATGATACAGGATAATTTGCCTCTTAATTATCTTGAAAGATTTTAACTCAAGCACTAAAACATGAGCTTTCCCTGGAGAAAATGAATTTGCCTGACATAAGCAAAGTGAAAGTATGTTAAAACAACTGGAATAGCATTCATTTTTACTTTGAGCTGTGGAAGGTTTCAGTGCTGAAACAAGTTTCCCACTGCAGAACCCTCTCTGTCCCTGGGAATGGAACAAATACTCACATCATATCATTCTCTCTGATGGAATTTAACTTGAAGTTTTACTTCACCCATAAAGGTGCTTAGTTCTCTCATGTTATTGTCAGAAGTGAAGGCTAGAGAGCAGATCTAAGTTATAAGTGAAAAGATTCGCCTTGGTAGAGAGGCTCTTGTAGCTTAGCTTTACAAGAAAGATGTGTTCATGCAAAATAAACCCCTCCAGATGAGCCAAACCCTTTACAAGCATTGTTTCACATTCTGCTTTGAACTCTTGGACTCAACTTCCCATCTGTCAACTGGCTCAAAATCTACAAAAGGCATGCGACATATGCATGCCGACTCAACTGATTAAAATGTCCTCATGATGCACTTTGCAGAAACTTATCAGTTAGAGTTTTAAATTTGCATTTGAGTTTATTTAATTAATATCTGTCTCTTCCACTTCCATGTAAGTTCATCTGGCACATAGGAGGTACTCAATGATTATTTGCTGAATAAATGAGTGACCGAATGAACAAACGGTTTAAAAACTGATTATATCCAGACATTAATTTATTTGTTTACTCAACAAATATGTATGTGTCAGTCATTCCAAGGAATACAAATCCTGGTAAAGCATTAAAATAATGGCCAGACCCTTTTCTTTTTGGTGTTGTCAAATAATAGCAATTTCTGCTACAAGTTTTGGCACCTGCGTAACAGCCGATAATAATAGCTATCATTTTTTAACATGAGCCAGACAATTTACATGAATATCTGGCTAAATTTGTATAATAATATTATGAAAAAAGATGTTATGAATGTACTCATTTTAGATAAAGAAACCGAGACATACACAGTAAATAACTTACTCAAAATCACATTTTTAGAAGTGATCAAAAGGGAACTCAAAATCAGGATCATCAAATTCCAAAGGCTATTTTGTGACTACCACTGTTACTCTGTTTTATAAGAGCTCACTCTTGACACTTTTTTGAAAACTTCCTTCATTGAAATATACTTTTCCTAATTCCATAGGATCCTGGGATTGGGCACTCACACATTCTCAGACATTTCTAGCATTTTCCTTTGCTCGGGTATTTAAAACATACTAACAGAGTTTGAAGGGAAAAAAATCAGATTTCA
This sequence comes from Homo sapiens, assembly GCF_000001405.40. Lineage (NCBI taxonomy): Eukaryota > Metazoa > Chordata > Mammalia > Primates > Hominidae > Homo > Homo sapiens. The sequence continues at coordinate 68,403,397 of NC_000001.11, read as the reverse complement.
ACAGGAGTCATCAAGCCCCATTAAATTGGCATCAGCCTGAAAAAGCATCACACTTAGAATATAACTCATTAGTCTCTAGTTGATCAATCATGTTTAAAATTTATTTATATCACATCTTTATAAAAGAGATAAGTATTCTTTATCACTAAGCTTTAATTTTTGTTGTCACATTTTATAATTTAGGTAAATATTTTGCATAAGTGTACCAAAATTTTTAGTAGGAATGATTAGTTATTTGTCCAGGCAATCCATTTAGAAGCAAATGGATTTTTTTTGTTTACCCCTTTAACATCTAGAAGAGACTCAAATCCTTGAGGGGCCAGTTCATTTAGCTCTTCTAGGCTGTATAAAGGGTCATCATATTTCACAGGCTCTTCAGGTAGAAATCTATAATTTATTATGAGAAAAATATTTCTAACCTGGTTGTAAGCTTTTTTTCCAGAATATGCAAGATAGTCAACACCACCACTGACTCTAAATGGAAACAAATTAGGGTATAAACATGAAAATTTTCCATTCAAAATATAAAATTATAGATAAAAATTTAAGCCCAGATGATAGAAAATAATTATGTTCTCACAAGCCCAGTGCACATTTTGTCTATATTTTCTATCAAGAAATAATCTTACCTGACCTTGGCATTAGAAAGGGTTATATTTCTCTTAGGCAACTGGAACATTTTAATCTCATATGATTTGTAAAATTGATTGGAATTCATTTTGCTGATAGCTATTAGAAAGGTTAGAATCAGATTTGTGTCCCACTGATTGGACACCTGTAAGATGTTGTGGTACCTATCTTTTACAGTCTCATCCCTGATTCTATTTTATGTCTCTACTCTAACTCTGCTATCTTGTTTTTTATGTACATTTAATTTTAATTACTTTTTTGTAGTTCAGGTAACTTAATAAGCTGCTTTGAAATCCTTAAAATAGTAACTTATTTCTTCATTTTCCATTCCTATTTTTTATAACATTATTACACTGGCTTGGACCACCAGTATAAGGCTGAAGTGATGACAGTGAGCATACTTGATTTGTTCATAACCTCAGATGAATGGCTTTCAGCAGGTTTTGTTTGCTTGTTTTTTCTCTTCGTTAATACTTTTTACTGAACTAGGGATGTTCTTTTCTATTTCAGATTTTCTAACAGTTTTTATTATGAATGGATATTGATTGTTATCAAATGATTTTTGTGTCTAAGGAGATATGAGTTTTCTAGAGTCTGTTGATGTGATGAATTCCATTAATTTTCCACTGAAAGACCAAATTTGCATTACTAGAAATAAACCAGGTTGATTTTGTTCTATTATTCTTTTTAGAAAATTCCTGGATTTGGTGTGCCAATATTTTATATAAGATTTGTTATCTAGGTATGTGAAAAAAAGATTGACCTGAGATTCCCCCCCTTTTTTTTTGAAGCTCCTGTCAGATTTCATTATCAAGGTTATGTAGATCTCACAAAAAAACTAGGAAGCACTCTCTATTTTTCTATTTTCTAGAAAAGCTCATGTAAGATGCATTACTTTTTCCTTTATATATAGTCATGTGCTGCATAACAACGTTTCAGTCAGCATACACGATGGTGGCCTCATAAGATTATATCGTATTTTACTGTCCCTTTTCTATGTATACATATGTTTACATACACAAATACTTGCCATTGTGTGACAATCGCCTACAGTAGGTCACTACAGAAACTTGCTATACAGGTTTGTAGACTACAGCCTACATGTATAGTAGGCTATACCATCCAGGTTTGTGTAAGTACACTCTATGACATTCACACCATGATAAAATCACCCAATACATTTCTCAGAATCTATCCTCAATATTAAGTGATGCATGACTGTATTTTAAAAAACTCATTGGTAATGCTGGCTGCACTTAAAGTTTTCTATATGGAAAATGTTTAATTATACATTAAGTTTCTTTAGAAGTTATAACATTTCTCTGATTTTGTATTTTTTCTTCTGTCACTTTTGGCAAGATTTTATTTTCCTAGAAATTTGTCTATTATATTTAAATTTTTAAATTTGTTGACAAAAATTTGTTCACAATATATTTTTATGGTCTTTTTAATGTCTCCATTTTCATTCCTTCTCACTTTTTGTAACTTCTCACTTTTTGTCTTATTAATTTTCACCTGAGAGTTATCAATTTTATTAATCTTTTCAAAGAGACAATTTTTGATTCTGTTGTTTTTTATTGAATACTTGTTTTCATTTCAATATTTTCTGCTTTTATTTTTTTTCCTTGTGAGCATTTTTGCACATGTCTTTTGGTGGCAGAGATGTTCATTGCTCTTGGGATGGCTAAGTCATGGAGCTGGAATATCTTTAGCTTCAATAATTACTTACAATTTGCCAAAGTGTTTTATCAATTTACATTTTCACAAGCAATGTATGAGAGTTCCAGTTGCTCTACATCCTATATCCTTCTCAATATTTAGTTTTGCCAGTCTTTTTAATGTTAGCCATTCTGGGTACTATCTCCTTGTGACTTTTATTTGCATTTTCCAAATGAGTAACGATATCAAGTACTTTTTCATATGTTTATTGCCATTTGAATATCTCTTTTTGTGAACTGTTTCTAATAAAACTTTAAATACACATATACCTTAACCCAACACTTCCACTTCTGGGAATCTATTCCACAAAAATATTCACCCTATTTATGCAAGAAATATGTATATCGAAGCATTGCTTATAAAACCAAAACACTGGAAAGAACCCACATGTTTTGTTTAGGGAAACATTATGAGAAACTAGGTAGTTATCTTTAATGATGCAAATTCATGAAAACAGTTCGAACACTATTTTTGCCCTTAGGGATATACAGTGCAGATCCAGAGAGGAAATGTCCTACCAGATAGAAGACTTTTTATACCTTTTTAGAGAGCTGCCACTTTCTGCATATACGACAGTCTCCAAAATAGATAATAGTATCTTTCCTATCAATAGCACTGATTTTTAAACAGAATAAAATGAGATGAACTATGTGAATATATTTTTAGAATGATATGAATGGTGTACTATACGAATGTTTTTCTTAATTCTCCAAATATTCAATAAATCTGTGAAAATTTTAACTGTTAAGAATTTAGGGGGCCGGGTGCGGTGGCTCACGCCTGTAATCGCAGCACTTTGGGAGGCCGAGGCGGGCGGATCACAGGGTCAGGAGTTCGAGACCATCCTCCCTAACATGGTGAAACCCCGGCTCTACTAAAAATACAAAAAAAATTAGCCGGGCATGCTGGCAGGCGCCTGTGGTCCCAGCTACTTGGGAGGCTGAGACAGGAGAATGGCGTGAACCTGGGAGGCAGAGCTTGCAGTGAGCAGAGATCGCACCACTGCATTCCAGCCTGGGCGACAGAGCGAGACTCCATATCAAAAAAAAAAAAAAAAAAAAAAAGAATTTAGTAGAAAATTTAAAGATGTAATAATAACTTCTCATAATTGCACAGTGCTTTCTGATTTAGGTTATATATTAACATATTTTCTATTGTAATAACTGTTAAGTAGAAAAAAGACAGATGCCGTTGTTTTTGTTACTAGCGGTGGTGGTGGTAATATTACTGTCACCACTACCATGACTAGTAACAACTAGTAGGACTAGCAGTGGTAGAAGTAATAGCGGTAGTAGTTCTATTTATGTTTATTTATTATAATCATTCTTAATATAGGAAGACAGGTTTAAAAAGTTTCCCAGGGCCAAATAGTTACTCAAAGGTAGATCCAGGATTAAAATCCAGACCTAGTAACTCAAAATAGGAAAAAATCCTGTCTGAGGGAGTAAAGTGCCTCATTCACACAGCTGATATAAAAAAGGAGCTAAAACTCAAATCAAGGCAATCTGCCTTCAAAGTCCATGCACTGAAATCCTGACTTTTTTTTTTACACAAACCTTGTATCAAAGTTTGGTACCCTTGTTTTCCACCGTCTACATACTAAAAGGAAATAAATTAGAAAAGACACAGGGCAGATAGTCTCTGCTGCAATAAACTTGTAAAACCAAACAACAGAATTAGGAAAGCACAACTGTAAGAGATATTTAAAGTTTGGGTAAAAAGTGTTATTTAAATAGCTACCAAACTTGTATCTGCCTTATTACCCTTCATGTCCTTTGGTTAAGCATCGAAAAACCTGATTATCAAAGTAAGCATGTATACAACTAATTTTAAGTGTGATTTTTTTGGGGAAAATATTAAATTACCAATATTAGTGTAATAAAGGGACTAGCCTTTGAAATAGGAAAACTGTGAAACAGTCTTCATTCTTCCTTGATGACAGATAAAGGAAAAGCTCCCATATTGTGGGACTAGGTTTGTCCCAAATTCCTGCAGATGTAATTGGTTGTCATAATAACAAACCTTTAAAGATTTGTTAATATTTTATGAAAATATTTCTAAAGTACACTAAATGTCTTCTTAAGTAGCTAATACTGACCAGTCGGCTTTCTCTTTATGCTTTGCCTTTTCTATGATCTTTCAAGGTTCAGTTAAAATACATTCATTTGTTAAGTATATTTATCTTTTACCACCGACAAAATAAAAACAAAAAATAAACAAAAACAAAAAAAGTGAAAGTGAAATGACAGCCCCCAAAAAAAACTATGTAAAGGAGATAACAAAGCTTTTGAAAGTGCATAAATAAAATGTAAACTAAATTACACACATGGGAATTCTTTTATGAGTAAAATAAATGCATAAATTTGGGGATGTGGCTTTATCATAGATATAATAAATTTAGACTGCTTAGAAGCATTTGCTATTTATTGCTGGTTTTTAATTATTGAGTTTCTAAAGAGATGATTATAGAATAATATTTCACAAAAGAAATCTGATTGTCATCTTTCCGCTTAGAACTCTCTAGTTATTTCTATCCATCCACAGGATAATGTCTCAAATTCATTGCATGGTTCACAATCTTGCCACTTTTTGACCTTCCAGTCTTATTGTCCCACATTTCCCCTTGCACCCTCTGATCCAGTTACATTGAACTACTCTCAGTTTGTCAAACATATGTTCACTTTTGTGCCTACAGGCCTGTCCAGCTCTATTTCCATCTACCTGGAAAGCTCATCCCCACTCCTATACCTTGCCCTCAACCTAGCTAATTCCTATTCAAACTTCAAGTTAGAGCTGAAGTATCACTTCTTTAGCTAGAATATCCCTGACTCCTAAACCAATGTAAACACCCTAGTACATGCTCCCATGGCTGATTTAGCTGAACCACTTGGCATATTTACAATTAGTTATTTAATATGTCTTCCCTGCCAGAATATAAATTCCATCGGGGTCCTAAATATGACTACTTTATCCACCATTATATCCAGGCTCCAGGACAATGCCTATCACAAATCATGTACTCAGAAAATATTTGTTGAGCTGAAATAACCTGATTGCAGAATTATGAGTAGGTAAAATATTACTGCATTATTATTAGTTACCACATATGAGCTTAGTGACATCCTTAAAGAAAAAAAAAGAAAGACATCAATTGGTGTCATAGCTAGGAATCAGCACAGCTGACAGAGAATATCATCAGTGTTTCAGAGACCAAAGATCGGGAACTCCTGCCAGGAGTAAAGATTATCAAAGATGCTCTTAAGAAGTTTATATTCTGGTAGAGAAATCAACAACAAACAAGAAAATTAAAAATTGCTTTTCGGCCGGGCGCAGCAGATCACACCTGTAATTCCAGCACTTTGGGAGGCCGAGGCTGGTGGATTACAAGGTCAAGAGATCGAGACCATCCTGGCCAACATGGTGAAACCCTGTCTCTACTAAAAATACAAAAATTAGCTGGGTGTGGTCGTGTGCCTGTAGTCCCAGCTACTCGGGAGGCTGAGGCAGGAGAATCGCTTGAACCCCAGAGGCAGAGGTTGCAGTGAGCCGAGATCATGCCACTGCACTTTAGCCTGGTGACAGAGTGAGACTCTGTCTCAAAAAAAAAAAAAATTGCTTTTCTTTTCTCCGTGAAATAAGAATTGGGGTAAGGGATAGCCCCATATCGCATCAGGAAAGACACCTGCAATCTGGACAGTGCTAGAGAAAAGTCATGGCCTGTAAGGGCGACAGCTTCAGAAAGTCCTCACCATCTGGAAGTAACCTGAGTCACTTATGCAGTGATATGGTTTGGCTCTGTGTCCCCATCCAAATCTCATCTTATATTGTACTCTCATAACTCCCACCTGTTGTGGGAGGGACCTGGTGGGAGATAATTTGAATCATGGGGGCAGTTTCCCCCATACTGTCCTCATGGTAGTGAATAAGTCTCATGAGTTCTGATAGTTTTATTGGAGGTTTCTGCTTTTGTTTCCTTCGCATTTTCTTTTGCTACCACCATGTAAGAAGTGTCTTTCTCCTCCCACCATGATTCTGAGGCCTCCCCAGCCATGTGGAACTGTAAGTCCAATTAAACCTCTTTTTCTTCCCAGTCTCGGGCATGTCTTTATCAGCAGCATGAAAATGGATTAATACAGTAAATTAGTACCAGTAGAGTGGGGCGCTGCTGAAAAATATCCAAAAATGTGGAAGTGACTTTGGAACTGGGTAACAGGCAGATGTTAGAACAGTTTGGAGAGCTCAGAAGAAGACAGGAAAATGTGGGAAAGTTTGGAACTTCCTAGAGACTTGTTGAATGGCTTTGCCCAAAATGCTGATAGCAATAAGAACAGTAAATTCCAGGCTGAGGTGGTCTCAGATGAGATGAGGAACTTGTTGGGAACCGGAGCAAAGATGACTCACATTATGTTTTAGCAAAGAGACTGGTGGCATTTTGTCCCTGCCCTAGAGATTTGTGGTACTTTGAATTTGAGAGACATGATTTAGGGTATCTGGTGGAAGAAATTTCTAAGCAGCAAAGCAATCAAAAGGTAACTTGGGTGCTATTAAAGGCATTCAGTTTTACAAGGGAAGCAGAGCATAAAAGATCAGAAAATTCGCAGCCTGGCTATGCAATAGAAAAGAAAAACCCATTTTCGGTGGGGAAATTCAAGCCAGCTGCAGAAGTTTGCATAAGTAACAAGGAGCTGAATGTTACTCCACAGGAAAATGTGGAAAATGTCTCCACGGCATGTCAGAGATCTTCATGGCAGCCCCTTCCATCACAGGCCTGGAAGCCTAGGAGAAAATAGTTTCATGGGCCAGACCTTGTGTGCCGATGCTGTGTGCAGTCCAGGGACTTGGTGTTCTGCCTCCCAGCCACTCTAGCCATGACTTAAAGGGACCAAGGTACAGCTTGGGCTGTTGCTTCAGAGGGTGGAAGCCCCAAGCCTTGGTGGCTTCCATGTAATGTTGAGCCTGCATGTGCACAAAAGTCAAGAATTGAGGTTTGGGAACCTCTGCCTAGATTTCAGAAGATGTATGGAAACACCTGGATGCCCAGGCAGAAATTTGCTGCAGGGGCGGGGCCCTCATGGAGAACCTTTGCTAAGGCAGTGCGGAAGGGAACTGTGGGTCAGAGCCCCCACACAGAGTCTCTACTGAGGTACCGCTTAGTGGAGCTGTGAGAAGAGGGCCACTATCCTCCAGACCCCAGAATGGTAGATCCACCAACAGCTTGCACCATGCATCTGGAAAAGCCACAGACACTCAATGCCAGCTCATGGAAACAGCCAGGTGGGGGGCTGTACCCTACAAAGTCACAGGAGTGGAGCTGCCCAAGACCATGGGAACCCACTTCTTGCATCAGCATAACCTGGATGTGAGACCTGGAGTCAAAGGAGATCATTTTGGAGATTTAAAATTTGACTGCCCCACTGGATTTCGGACTTGCATAGGCCCTGTAACCCCTATGTTTTGGCCAATTTCTCCCCTTTAGAATGGCTGTATTTACTCAATACCTGTACCCCCATTGTATCTAGGAAGTAACTAGCTCATAGGCAGAAGGGACTTGCCTTGTCTCAGATGAGACTTTGGACTGTGGAAATGAGTTAAGACTTTGGGGGAATGTTGGGTAGGCATGATTAGTTTTGAAAGGGGAAGACATGAGATTTGGAGGGGCCAGGGGTGGGATGATATGATTTGGCTCTGTGTCTCCAGCCAAATCTTATCTTGAATTGTAGCTCCCATAATTCCCATGTGTTGTGGGAGGGACCCAGTGGGAGATAATTTGAATTATGGGGGTGGTTTCCCCCATACTGTTGTCGTGGTAGTGAATAAGTCTCACGAGATCTGATGGTTTTATCAGGGGTTTCCACTTTTGCAACCATCTCATTTTCTCTTGCTGCTGCCCTGTAAGAAGTGCCTTTCAGCTCCCATCATGATTCTGAGGCCTCCCCAGCCAGGTGGAACTGTAAGTCCAATTAAGCCTCTTTTTCTTCCCAGTCTCAAGTATGTCTTTAGCAGCAGCATGATAACAGACTAATACATGCACTAACAACTTGTGATTGTTGTCCTTGTGTCTAAAGATGTCCTTTACCTTTCTTTATCTGGATGCTAGCAATCACTCTTAATATCTGGGTTAAAAAAAGATGAATAAGAACAAATGATAATTTTTAAATTGATAGATTCCATTAACTTATAAGTGCAAGATAATTGTGTTTGATAAGAGCTTTTTAATATTTTCATTTCATTGCTCATGAGAGATGAAGTATCCTCTGTCTATATTCCAGGATCATTTTCTGTCTCTTTATACCTTGTACTTTAGGGCTACAGAATACCCCCAACTCATTGTAATTCACCATGCATAATATTTGTTTCACACCTCTGAGTCCTGTCTTGTTTCTTTTAATTAGAAGGCCCTTTTCATCCACTTTTAGCCTCAGTAGCTCCTCTTTTGTCAAAACCGAGCTCAGAATCATTCTCTCCAGAAACTCTAAGAACCCCTCTTCTACACACCCATACACTTTTTCACATTGTATTAAAATTATCTGTGTTTCATCTTCAAGACAAAAGGCATTGACTTATTCGTTCAAAAAAATGTATATCTGTTATTAGATAGGCATTCATTTATAAATTCATTCATTGAACAAATATTTGTTGAGTGCCTACTATGAGCCAGCTGCTTGTTCTCTAGACATAACAGTGACAAAGGCAATAAATTGCCTACCATCATGAAGGTGACATTTAGTGTAATTTCAGATAGCAATAAGTGCTATGAAGTGGGGAATGGGCAATTCAGGGACTGGAAATGAGTAGGGCATAATAGAAAAGGTGATTTTAAAAGGCTCTTTTTAGAAGATGATATTGGAGAAGATTCAGCAATGAAGCAAAGGTAATACCAGAAGAGGAATCTCACTGGCAGAGAGAACAGTAATTTTCCTACTCTTGGAGCAGGAAGGAGTTGTTGTGTACTAGGGGCATCAGGAAGAATAACGGCGCTGGAAGGGAGTGAGCAAGGCAGGAAACGGTAAAGATGAGGTTGCTGCATAGGCAGTGGCCAGTTTATGCTGTGCTTCACAGGAGTCCGGATTTTATTCTAAGTGAGATTGGCAGTTACTGGGGGTTTTGACAAGGATAGTAACTTGGTATAATGGTTTTAAAACATTACTTTGGTAGCTGCATCAAGAATAGACCACATTGGGGCAAACCAGAAAGCCAAGTGGCCAGACTGATACCCAGTACTAGGGATGTGGTGATGGGCAAGAAAGAGACTTACAGAGAGCTCACAGGAGGATGACAAAGAACATGAACTCTTGAGCTGGTCTACCTGGGTCTGAACTCTGGCTCCCCAAACTTTGTTGGGTTACTTTGTGCCATTCACTTAAATTCTCTTTGCTTCAATGCATGTTTATAGAAGCACAATTCACAATTGCAAAGATATGGAACCAACCTAAGTGCTCATCAACCAAAGAGCAGATAAAGAAAATGTGGTATATATGCATTATGAAATACTACTCAGCCATAAAAAGAAATGAAACATGGCCGAGCGTGGTGGCTCACGCCTGTAATCCCAGCACTTTGAGAGGCCGAGGTGGGCATATCAGAAAGTCAGGAGTTCAAGACCAGCCTGGCCAATATAGTGAAACCCTGTCTCTACTAAAAATACCAAAATTAGCTGGGCATTGTGGTGTGCGCCTGTTGTCCCAGCTACTCGGGAGGCTGAGGCAGAAGAATCATTTGAACCCAGGAGGCGGAGGTTGCAGTGAGCTGAGATCATGCCACTGCACTCCAGCCTGGGTGACAGAGCAAGACTCCAACTCAAAAAAAAAAAAAAAGATAAAAAGAAATGAAATAATGTCTTTTACAGCAACTTGAATGGAGCTGGAGACCATTATTCTAAGCGAAGTGACTCAGGAATGGAAAACCAAATATCATATGTTCTCACTTGTAAGTGGGAACTAAGCTATGAGGATGCAAAGGTGTAAGAATGATATAACAGACTTTGAGGATTTGGTGGGGGAAGGTTGGGAGGGGAGTGAGGGATAAAAGACTACACATTGGGTGGAGTGTACATAGCTCAGGTGACGGGTGCACTAAAATCTCAGAAATCACCACTAAAGAACTTATCCATGTAATCAAAACCACCTGTACCCAAAAAACTATTGAAATAAAAATAAAATTTAAAAAAAATAAAGAAGTACATATCACAACATTGTATGTACCTCATGATTATGGAAATAAATTAATTTCATTTTTATGTACTAGAAAAAAGTTTCTATGTGAGAGATAGGACTAGCTGGATTTCCTAGGCCGACTAACAATTCCTAAGCCTAGCTATGGAAGGTGACCACGCCCACCTTTAAATGGGGCTTGTAACTCAGCTCACACCCAACCAATCAGGTAGTAAAGAGGGCTCACTAAAATACAAGTTAGGCTAAAGCAGGAGGTAAAGAAATAGTGAAATCATATATCGCCTGAGAGCACAGGGGGAGGGACAATGATCGGGATATAAACACCAGCATTGGAGCAGGGAGCGGCATCCCCCTTTGGGTCCCCTCCCACTTTATGGGAGCTCTGTTTTTCACTCTATTAAATCTTGCAACTGCATTCTTCTGGTCCATATTTATTACTGCTCGAGCTGAGCTTTTGCTCGCTGTCCACCACTGCTGTTTGCCGCTGTCGCAGACCCGCGGCTGACTTCACCCCTCTAGATCCGGCAGGGTGTCTGCTGCACTTCTGACCCAGTGAGGCAGCGCCCACTGCCGCTCCCAATCGGGCTAGAGGCTCGCCATTGTTCCTGCGAGGGCTAAGTGCCCCGAGTTCGTCCTAATCGAGCTGAATAGAGGTATAACACTCACCGCATGGTCCAAGATTCCATTCCTTGAAATCCGTGAGGCCAAGAACCCCAGGTCAGAGAACAAGAGGCTTGCCACCATCTTGGAAGCTCTAAGAACAAGGATGCCCAGGTAACATATGCTTCAGTTTCCTTGTATATAAAAACAGGAATAAGGATAGTAACTGTTTACTTCCTAGGGTTGTCGTAAAGATAAAATGAATTAATTCATGTTTAGTACTTTTCATGCGCGTCCGTGTGAAGAGACCACCAAACAGGCTTTGTGTGAGCAATAAAGCTATTTATTTCACCTGGGTGCAGGTGGGCTGAGTCCGAAAAGAGAGTCAGCGAAGGGAGATAAGGGTGGGGCCATCTTATAGGATTTGGGAAGGTAATGGAAAATTAGTCAAAGGGGGTTGTTCTCTGGTGGGCAGGGGCGGGGGTCACAAGGTGCTCAGTGGGGGAGCTTCTGAGCCAGGAGAAGGAAATTCACAGGGTTAATCACTCAGTTAAGGTGGGGCAGGAACAAATCACAATGGTGGAATGTCATCAGTTAAGGCGGGGCAGGGCCTTTTCACTTCTTTTGTGATTCTTCAGTTACTTCAGGCCATCTGAGCGTATACATGCAAGTCACAGGGGATGCGATGGCTTGGCTTGGGCTCAGAGGCCTGACATTCCTGCCTTCTTATATTAATAAGAAAAATAAAACAAAATAGTGTTGAAGTGTTGGGGCGGCGAAAATTTTGGGGGGTGGTATGGAGAGAGAATGGGCGATGTTTCTCAGGGCTGCTTCAAGCGGGATTAGGGGCGGCGTGGGAACCTAGAGTGGGAGAGATTAAGCTGAAGGGAGGTCTTGTGGTAAGGGGTGATATTGTGGGGTTGTTAGAAGAAACATTTGTCGTATAGAATGATTGGTGATGGCCTGGATACCGTTTTGGATGAACTAAGAAACTAAATGGAATAACAGAAGGAGAAAAACAGGTATAAAAGGTCTAAGAATTGGGAGGACCTAGGACATCTGATTAGAGAGTGCCTAAGGAGATTCAGCATAGTCCTGCCAGCAAAGATTATTTATTTACTTTAAGAGCTTAGAGTGGCAGTTTGGGGATAGCACCAAGAGACATCAGCTGTGATGGCTTGGAGAAACAGTGTAAACCGGCAGTGTAAACAAGAGCAGGGTGTGTATGAGTAGTTGAGAATGGTGAATAGGAGTATGACTAGACAAAAGATAGTAGGGATGACAAGATTTTGGGGGCACAGTCTAAGTTGGTCTGGTGTCGAATGAGACTGGGGCCTAATAAAAAGGAGCGTCTATACAGGAGCTTAAATGGACTGTACCTTGTGTAACATTCTGAGGACAGGCCTGAATTCTGAGAAGCGAAAGTGATAAAAGCATTGTCCAGTCCTTTTTAAGTTGGTGGTTGAGCTTGGTGAGGTGTGTTTTTAAAAGACCTTTAGTCCGTTCTACTTTTCTTGAAGATGGAGGACTGTAAGGGATATAAAGGTTTCACTGAATACTAAGAGCCTGAAAAACTGCTTGGCTGATTTGACTAATAAAGGCTGGTCTGTTATCAGACTGTATAGAGGTGGGAAGGCTAAACTGAGGAATTATGTCTGACAGATGGGAAGAAATGACTGCGGTGGCCTTCTCAGACCCTGTAGGAAAGGTCTTTACTTATTCAGTTGAAAGTGTCTATTTAGACTAAGAGGTATTTTAGTTTCCTGACTCGGGCATGTTGAGTAAAGCTAATTTGCCAGTCCTGGGTGGGGGCAAATCCTCGAGCTTGATGTGTAGGGAAGGGAGGGGGCCTGAATAATCCCTGAGGAGTAGTAGAATAGCAGATGGAACACTGAGAAGTTATTTCCTTGAGGATAGATTTCCAGGATGGAAAGGAAATGAGAGGTTCTGAGAGGCGGGCTAGTGGCTTGTACTATAGCATAGCCTGACTTTGCTGGTGTGTGGCGATTAGGCCTGGTGGAACTGCCATCAATAAATCAAGCGTGATCAGGGTGAGGAACAGGAAAGAAGGAAATATGGGGAAATGGGGTGAATATCAGGTGGATCAGAGAGATACAGTCATGGGGGTCAGGTGTGATATCAGGAATAATGTGAGAGGCCAGATTGAAGTCCGGGCCAGGAACAATGGTAATTGTGAGACCTAAAGAGTGAGTACAGCTGAAGGAGCCGGGGAGAAGAAAGTATATGCATCAGGTATGAGGAAGAAAATAGATTTTGGAAGTTATGAGAAATGTAGAGAGTGAGTTGAGCATAGTTTGTGATTTTTAGGGCCTCTAACAGTATTAAAGCAGTGGCAGCCGCTGCACGCAGACATGAGGGCTAGGCTAAAACAGTAAGGTCAAGTTGTTTGGACAGAAAGCCTACAGGGTGCAGTCCTGGCTCTTGTGTAAGAATTCTGACCGCACTAACCATGCCTAGGAAGGAAAGGAGTTGTTGTTTTGTAGAAGGTTCTGGGGTTTGAGAGATCAGTCGGTCACGATTGGCAGGGAGAGCACGTGTGTTTTTATGAGAATTATGCCGAGATAGGTAACAAATGAGGAAGAAATTTGGGCTTGATTGAAGTAATGGGGGCTGCCTGTGAAGCTTTGCGGCAGTACAGCCTAGGTAATTTGCTGAGCTTGATGGGTGTCAGGGTCAGTCCAAGTGAAAGCAAAGAGTGGCTGGGATTAAGGATGCAAAGGAATAGTAAAGAAAGCATGTTTGAGATCTAGAACAGAATAATGGGTTGTAGAGGCAGGTATTGAGGATAGGAGAGTATATGGTTTTGGCACCACAGGGTGGATAGGCAAAACAATTTGGTTGATAAGGTGAAGATCCTGAACTAACTTGTAAGGCTTGTCTGGTTTTAGGACAGGTAAAATGGGGGAATTGTAAGGAGATTTTATAGGCCTTAAAAGGCCATGCTGTAGCAGGTGAGTGATAACAGGATTTAATCTTTTTAAAGCGTGCTGCGGGATGGGATATTGGCGTTGAGTGGGGTAAGGGTGATTAGGTTTTAATGAGATGGTAAGGGGTGCATGATCGGTCGCCAAGGAGGGAGTAGAGGTATCTTATACTTGTGGGTTAAGGTGGGGGATACAAGAGGAGGACGCAAAGGAGGCTTTGGATTGGGAAGAAGGGCGGCAATGAGATACAGCTGTAGTGCAGGAATAGTCAGGGAAGCAGATAATTTAGTTAAAGTGTCTCAGCCTAATAAGGGAACTGGGCAGGTGGGGATAACTAAAAGGAGTGCTTAAAAGAGTATTGTCTAAGTTGGCACGAGGGTTGGGGAGTTTTAAGAGGTTTAGAAGCCTGGCCGTCAATACCCACAACAGTTATGGAGGCAAGGGAAACAGGCCCTTGAAAAGAAGGTAATGTGGAGTGGGTAGCCTCCATATTGATTAAGAAGGGGACGGGCTTACCTTCCACTCTGAGAGTTACCGGAAGCTCGGCATCCGTGATGGTCCAGGGGGCTTCCGAGGCGATCGGGTAGTGTCAGTCTTCAGCCGCTAAGCCAAGAAGATCTGGGAAGGAGTCAGTCAGAGAGCCTTGGGCCAGAGGTCCAGGGGCTCTGGGAGTGGCTGCCAGGTGAGATGAACAGTCCGATTTTCAGTGGGGTCCCACACAGATGGGACGCGGCTTAGGAGGAATCCTGGGCTGCGGGCATTCCTTGGCCCAGTGGCCAGATTTCCGGCACATGTAGCAAGCTCCTGGGGGAGGAGGTTCTGGAGGAAAGCCTGGCTGCTGTGGTTCAGGCATTTGGAAGTTCTTGTGTGCTGGAGATGTGGCTGGGGTTTGTCTCAGAGTGGAGGCAAGGAATTGCAACTTTTTTCTGTTATTGTACACCTTGAAGATGAGGTTAATTAAGTCCTGTTGTGGGGATTGAGGGCCAGATTCCAATTTTCGGAGTTTTATTTAATGTCGGGAGCAGATTGGGTAATAAAATGTATATTGAGAATAAGACGGCCTTTAGACCTTTTAGGGTCTAGGGCTGTAAAGCATCTCAGGGTTGCTGCCAAACGAGCCATGAACTGGGCTGGATTTTTATATTTGATGAAAAAGAGCCTAAATGCTTCTGATTTGGGATAAAGAAAAAGGAGCATTAACCTTGACTATGCCTTTGGCTCCAGCCACCTTTTTAAGAGTAAGTTGCTGGGCAGGTCGGGGAGGGCTAGTCACGGAACGAAACTGTAAGCCGGACCAGGTGTGAGGAGGGGAGGTGATAAAAAGATTATAGGGTGGAGAAGCAGAGGCTGAGGAAGAATTGGGACCTAGCTCGGCCCGGAGAGGAGCAGCCTTGGGAGGAAGGGAGAGGTCAGATGGGTCTGTAGAAATGGAAGATTAGAAAGACTAAGCGACGCTTGGGGTTGGTACTGAGGGGACAGGTGGGAGGGAAAGAAGGAAGATTTGGGACGAGTTGCACTGGGCACAGAGACTAGGAAGGGACTGATGTGTAAAAGAATGCCTGGACGTCAGGCACCTCAGACCATTTGCCTATTTTACGACAAGAATTATTTAGATCTTGCAGGATGGAAAAATTCAAAGTGCCATTTTCTGGCTATTTGGAACTACTGTCGAGTTTGTATTGGGGTCAAGCGGCATTGCAGAAGAAAATAAGCATTTAGGTTTTAGGTCAGGTGTGAGTTGAAGAGGTTTTAAGTTTTTGAGAACACAGGCTAAGGGAGAAGAAGGAGAAATGGAGGGTGGAAGGTTGCCCATAGTGAAGGAGGCAAACCCAGAGAAAAGAGAGCGTAGAGACATGGAGGGAAGGGGTTCAGGGGTTCTTACCCTCCTGAAAAGCGGGAAGGGGGTTTGGGGCACGGAAATAAGGGATAGGGGCACAGAGATAAGAGGTTGGGGTGTGGAAATAAGGTATTGGGGGTTCTTGCCCCCTAGAAAAGCAGGACTTGTCACTAAGGGTGAAGGAGAAGGGGTTGAGGGGTACTTGCTCCTCCCCCAGAAAAGCGGGACTTGCCGCTAAAGGTGAAGGAGAAGGGGTTGAGGGGTACTTGACCCTGCCCCAGGAAAGCGGGACTTGCCACTAAGGGTGAAGGAGAAGGGTTTGAGGGGTACTTGCCCCTCTCCCAGAAAAGCAGAGAAGGGGTAGAGACAAGGAGAGAAGGGGTTGGGGTACTTGCCCCTTCCCCAGAAAAGCAGAGAAGGGGTAGAGACAAGGAGAGAAGGGGTTGGAGTACTTGCCCCTTCCCCAGAAAAGCAGAGAAGGGGTAGAGACAAGGAGAGAAGGGGTTGGGGTACTTGCCCCTTCCCCAGAAAAGCAGAGAAGGGGTAGAGACAAGGAGAAAAGGGGTTGGGGTACTTGCCCCTTCCCCAGAAAAGTGGGACTTGCCGCTAAGGGTGAAGGACCAAGGCAGGCGTCCCTGCGTGGTCTGATACCTTTGAAACGTGGGTGAATAATCAGAGAGACATCCCTGCAATGATTAAACACCAAAGGAAGGCTGCTTTCCCAGTCCGTGACCGGCGCCGGAGTTTTGGGTCCACGGATAAAACATGTCTCCTTTGTCTCTACCGGAAAATGAAAGGAATTGAAATTAAGAGAAGGGAGAGATTGAAGTGTGGTGCCAAGATTGAAAGGAGAAAGAAGTTGAGGGATAGTGAGGGAGGTTGGAGAAGAGAGTAAAAAGAGGCCGCTTACCAGATTTGAAATTGGTGAGATGTTTCTTGGGCTGGTTGGTCTGAGGACCTGAGGTCGTAGGTGGATCTTTCTCATAGAGCAAAGAGCAGGAGGATGGGGGATTGATCTCCCAAGGGAGGTCCCCTGATCCGAGTCACGGCACCAAATTTCATGCGCCTCTGTGTGAAGAGACCACCAAACAGGCTTTGTGTGAGCAATAAAGCTGTTTATTTCACCTGGGTGCAGGTGGGCTGAGTCCGAAAAGAGAGTCAGCGAAGGGAGATAAGGGTGGGGCCGTCTTATATAGGATTTGGGAAGGTAATGGAAAATTACAGTCAAAGGGGGTTGTTCTCTGGTGGGCAGGGGCGGGGGTCACAAGGTGCTCAGTGGGGGAGCTTCTGAGCCAGGAGAAGGAAATTCACAGGGTTAATCACTCAGTTAAGGTGGGGCAGGAACAAATCACAATGGTGGAATGTCATCAGTTAAGGCGGGGCAGGGCCTTTTCACTTCTTTTGTGATTCTTCAGTTACTTCAGGCCATCTGGGCGTATACATGCAAGTCACAGGGGATGCGATGGTTTGACTTGGGCTCAGAGGCCTGACAGTACTTAGATCAGTTCCTATCACAAAATGGGTTCACTGTAAATGTTAGCTAGAAGCATTACAAACTGAGGACAGGGTCACAACTATATCAGATGGGATTGTAATTGATTGTTTACCAGGTCTATAGTGAATTTTTTTAAACAAATACTAGGAAAATTCATAGCAATAGTGCCTACCTAGTTCTGGTTGCTCAGCATAGTAGATGCAAAAATACTTAATCTGGTTAAATTATATGATCTTACTTTGTCAGGTAGATTGTTTGGGTATGGATTTGTAATTCCACACAGTGCTATTACCAGTATACAAGAATCTTTGGTTTATTTTAGTGTAAGTTATCTTAACTTTAAACTAGTTTTTTAATTAGTATTCCCTCTTGGTATTGTTACCAGAAAGGGGTCCTGATCCAGACCCCAAGACAGGGTTCTTGGATCTTGCACAAGAAAGAATTTGGGGTGAGCTCATAGAGGAAAGTGAAAGCAAGTTTTAAGAAAGTAAAGCAATAAAGAATGGCTACCCTATAGGCAGAGCAGCAGCTTGGGCTGCTGGACTAAGGAGATACTTATAGTTATTTCTTGATTATATGCTAAACAAGAGGTTGATTATTCATGAGTTTTCCAGGAAAGGGGTGGGCCATTCCCAGAACTGAGGGATTCTCCCATTTTGAAGCCATACAGGGTAACTTCTTGACATTGTCATGGCATTTGTAAACTGCTGTCACTGCACTGGTGGGAGTAACTGTTAACATGCTAATGCATTATAATTGGCATATAATGAGCAGTGAGGAGAGCAGAGGTCACTTTCATCACCATCTTGGTTTTGGTGGGTTTTGGCAGGCTTCTTGACCACATAATGTTTTATCAGCAAGGTCTTTGTGTCCTATATCTTGTGCCAACCTCCTATCTCATCCTGTGACTAAGAGTGACTTAACTTCCTGGGAATGCAGCCCAGTAGGTCTCAGTCTTATTTTACCCAGCGCCTATGCAAGATGGAGTTGCTCTGGTTTAAACGCCTCTGACAGTATCATATAAAATACATTCAAACCCTGTTACTGTGGTAAGAAAAAAGTTACTCCTTGATAACAAGTACATACTAAGAAAAATACAGTTATCCCTACATATTAGATAATTGTGAATCTGCACCAATGGTTTACTAAATGTACACCCACCTTTGACCTAAAAGTATCATTGACTTTTCATTTATCGGCAGTGAATCATTACAGCACAAGAGCATCTTGTGGACTGTAGATGGGAATAAAATGAACTAAAGGAAATGACCTAGTAAAAAAATGTAGTGAATGCCTCTGTGTAATTGCTAAAATACCACCACAGGAGGGCCCAGTGTCTTTCCTTGAGTGCAGTGTGTTTCTGGAAGACCTTTAAGCCTGGAGACTCCCAAGGACAAGCACATAAAGGAGATGAATCACTTTCCAGTTCTCATCAGTGAATCATGGTTGAGATCACCACTACTTAATTTGAGCTTTTCAAACATATGAGTCACCACACAAGTTCCTGCATTCTAAATTAGAATGAGAACAGATTTCGTGATGTTGGATCAAGTAGCTCTTAAGGGCAGTTTGCCTGGGCTGGAAGAATGGGTACATTAGATGTATTCCAAACAGCCAGCTTGGGCATGAATACACTGCCCCATCAGCTTTCTGGGAACTGGCACAATAAAATCACTTCCTGAAGTTAGAAGGTAGAGAGAACTCCAACAAGGGTATAAATAGTGCACAGAGTAGTTCTGCTAAAACGACAGGATCCAGAGACACTCTCAGTCTTGGAAATCCTACCAACAAGGATTCAGGTACTTCCTTCTTTTATTAAAGACATTAGTGTTTTCCATTGCCTCCTGTAGTCTAAGTTGTGCTGTCATCCTGAGAGTGTTCCAAAGCCACACGGATACCCTACCTGATTCTCCAGACTCCTTTGGCTTCCTTAGTGTTAATGACCTTCTTCTCCTATCTCCCATTTCACATCACACATACTCCACGTCCATCCCAGTTTGCTATACTTCTATCATTACTTGGAATTATTCTATCTCCTAAATATTAAATTCAAACACTCCATTCACTAACTGCAACCTTTCTTCCAACATTCTCATTCAGTTACTCCCAGTCTATTATTTCTTCAGCCTCTTCAGGACTTCCAGATCCTCTCCTCTTTCTCCCAATATCAGCCCTTCTTTTCTGTAATTATTTTGCAATAATAGTTGTTACCATAAGGGCACTAACAAGTAAGTCATAGCAATTAACAACAATAGCAACTAACATTTATTGAGTTGTTCGTTTATGCCAGGCATTGAATTAAGCACTTATATCATTTAATTAATGCCTTACATCATTTAATTCCCAGGACTACTCTATGAACTAGGTTTTGAGGACCGTAGCCCAGCCTTCATGTTAAGCTTTGCTACATCTTGAACAATTTTACACTCCTCATCATTCTAATATAACTACTCATATGAAATGCTTAGTCATTATTCTAAAACCTAGACCAATGTGGTAAGGGTGGCACCACTGGCATAGTAAGAAATTGTACCTGAAATCTACACTAGTTAGACCAAGGAAATGGAGCTTAACTAAAGGCAGTTTTTGCAGCCTTATAAAGTAATTATACGAGCGGTTGGGAGTGACATAATTTGAGGTATTAAGAGACTTGGTAAGCTCCTGCTTATGGCCTCCTGCAACCTGCAACCTGAAAGGACCTCAACCTGGACAGGCAAAATGCCATCTCCACCAGCTGGGGCAGTGTTCTGTAAAGAACAGGAGAAAGTCAAGAAGCCACACTCACCTCATCTCCCTTGGATGAGGTATATGAGCATCCAATGCTAAGAATGCATCCTTTGCTCTTATAATATCCTTTGCTCTTATAAGCTTATACCAACTCATAAACAACATAAATTTATTTCTCATAGTCCTGAATTACAAAAAAAAATCACCCAACCCCCAGTGCTAACCTTAGTGTCCAGTGGCACTTATAAGGTGCTAAATGATTACTTGTTGAACTGTTTGTTTTATTGAGATTTCAACCCTTTGACAGTATATACTAATGAGGTATCCTTCTCACAGATTCTCCCAGAAGGATAAAGCAATAAGAAGCTTGAACCTAGAGCTATCCCTCTTTATTAAGGGCTTTTTAAAAATTGGAATTCTATCTGTACTATAAATTTCATTTTATTACTGACTCACAAGATTGTTCTATAAACCTCTGGCTAGACCGATTTTATATGATTTTGTAAAAATGTCATCTCTTCTATTTAAAGAATATAAATGCATAGAATTATACACATAGTGTTACATAGACACACACACTAGTTTTCTATTGTTGCATAACAAATTACCCCAAACTTACAACAGTAAATAATACAGATTATTAGCTATAGTTTCCATGGGTCAGGTATCCAGCATATTGTAGCTGGGCCCTCTGTTCAGGATCTCAAAGGTTGAATAAAATCAAGATGTCAGCTGAGCTATGTTCTCATCAGGAGACTCTGGGGAGGAATATTCTCCTGAGCTCATTCAGGTTGTTGGCAGAATTCAGTTCTTGTGGTTGTAGGACTAAAGTCTCCATTCTCTGCTAGCAACTGTTGCCCAGGAATCAATCTCAGCTCCTAGAGGTCACTCAAATTCATCAGTTTGTAGGTTCCTCCTTCTTCAAGCCATCAGTGACACATTGAATTTCTCTCAGGCTTTGAATCTCTGACTTTTGCTTCCCCAGTAAGCCAGAGAAAACTCTCTTGTTTTAAGGGCTCTATGTAATTAGGATAGGCCCACGTGGTTGACATCTTATTTTAAGGTCAACTGATTAGTCACCTTAATAGCATCTGTAAAATCACTTTTTCATGTAACATAACATAATAAGGGGGTGACAATAGAGGGCAGAGATTAAGGGGCTATTTAGAATACTGTCTTCCCCAAATTCCCATTAGAGTATCAACTCAAAATCAAAAATTCTCATCTAAATCTCAATGGCTCATATGCCCCCAATCCCATCACGTAAATCATGTAGAAATCAGGAGAGGATGGGGCTCTAGGGTAACCCATAATAACAGTCCCCAGGCACAATTCCTCTCTATCTGTGGACCTGTAAAACTAAAGAGACATGTTATGATCTTCCAGTACTCCAAACATACAATAGTGGGGCAAACATAGGATAATAGTTATACACATTGCAATTCGAAAAAGGCATAATATTTATATTTCACTGATGTCATGGCACTTTTAGGAAGAAATTGGTATTCCGCTGGGCACTGATACTGAAGATGTGCTCTGGGTCACCCCTACCTATTTCCTACCCACTCACCACTTCTCCCCACATGCCTGCCTTTTCCTTCTTTTCTCTGGCAGGATGAGGCGGGCAGGTCTGGGTATAGGAGTACCCAGGAGTTCCCAACTATGGGAACTATGGCTATGCTAACAGTGAGTATAGTGCCTGTGAGGAAGAAAATGAGACTCACTGAAAGTCTGAGAAGCAAAGTCACTGCTACAAAATCTCTTTCCATTGAAGTGGACCATGAAGCTAAAAATCAAAATAAATTATTAGCTGAAATGGACTCATGATTTGATTCTAAAGTGAGGTGATGCAAGTAACTGTGAGTTTGGAATTTGTTCCAATTAATGGCTTGAAGTACCATTTTGATAAAAATCAGCATCAAAACATTCTTAATTTTCAAATACTATGACCTTTTCCATTGAAGATTGCTGAACTTTGCTTATTTTATAAATTGCATTAGATAATACAGTGCTCGTTGTTTTAGTTTTATTTTACTTGTTTATTTTTGAGACAGGGTGTCACTCTGTCACCCCAGCTGGAGTGCAGTGGTGCTATCATGGCTCACTGCAGCCTTGACCTCCTGGACTTAGGTTATCCTCCCACCTCAGCTCTCTAAGTAGCTGAGACTACAGGCGCGTGCACGCCACCAAGCCCAGTAATTCTTTTTTTTTTTTTTGAGATGGAGTTTTGCTCTTTTGCCCAGGCTGGAGTGCAGTGGCACGATCTTGGCTCACTGCAACCTCTGCCTTCCAGTTTCAAGTGATTCTTCTGCCTCAGCCTCCCAAGTAGCTGAGATTACAGGCATGCACCACCACACCCAGCTAATTTTTTTTGTATTTTTAGTGGAGACAAGGTTTCACCATGTTGGCCAGGCTGGTCACGAACTCCTGACATCAAGTGATCCGCCTGCCTCGGCCTCCCAAAGTACTGGGATTACAGGCATAAGCCACTGTACTCAGCCCAAGCCCAGTAATTCTTTATATTTTTTGTAGAGGCAGGGTGATGTGGTTAGGCTTTGTGTCCCCACTCAAATCTCATCTTGAATTGTAATCCCCAGGTGTTGAGGGAGAGGCCTGGTGGGAGGTGAGTGGATCATGGGAGTGGATTCCCCCATGCTGTTCTTGTGATAGTGAGTTCTCACAAGATATGATGGTTTTATAAGGGGCTCTTTCCCCTTTACACACACTTCTGTCTCCTGCTACCTTGTGAAGAAGGTGCCTCTTTCCCCTTCTGCTTTGATTGTAAGTTTCCTGAGGCCTCTCCAGCCATGCAGAACTGTGAGTCAATTAAACCTCCTTTGTTTATAAATTACCCAGTCTCAGGGAGTGTCTTTATAGAAGTGTGAGAACAGACCAATACACAGGGTTTTACCATGTTGCCCAACCTGGTCTTGAACTCCTGCACTCAAGCAATCCACCCAGCTTGGCCTGCCAAAGTGCTGGGATTACAGGTGTGAGCCACTGTGCCCAGCTTGCAGTGATCTTTGAATACTGTTTCTTAATTATTCATTTTAGTTCCTGTTTTCAAGGTTGTTGAGAAGGTGTGGTGCCACCAATTTTTCTTCTATTATTTGCTGTCAGATTAAGTAGCATTATAATATTCTGTTGTTTTCATAAATGCCTGAAGAGCCTGATTCTAAGCTCTTGAGATAGTGAGCCAGTTTGTGATAGAATGGCAACTGACTTTTCTTCAACTGTCATAAACTGTGATTATGTACTCCCCTTTCCTCCTTTATTTAGTTAAAATTGTAGGCTGATTTCTTATCTAAATCTTCCTAATAATTTTTTATGATGAAGACCCTTTTCCCTCTTTGCCTGAAGACCTCATTCTTTAAAGCTTGTTATTTTTGACATATTTCGAATAGGCCCCAATGCACATGTGTGTCAGTATAGTTGTTTCATATAAACATTATAAATTCCATTGACATGGCTTATAATAGTTTTATGATTTTGGCTAGTTAGGTAGACCATTTGATTATCACTGGTGACAGAGAAATGTGAAGTTAAGTAATTACTAAACTCCGAATGGAAATAAAGTGGTCAAGAAACTCAGGCATTGAACTTAAAGGTAAGATTACTGTTGCTGTAATCCAATGCATTTGTTGATGGAAAGCAAAACATAAAGGTGACTGTTGAGTAAAAAGAAATATTAAAATATTGTTAGTCTGCATTGATACTATGTTGAAATTTACCCATTTATAAGCTCTAGAAATACATTTTTTAATAAAATATATTAATCAATAAAAAAGGGAGAGAGATGGAAGGCAAAAAGGAGACACAAATCCAAAGCAACTTTGAAATACACCCACAGAAACTCCAGCTGGGGTTCTTTAATTAGGTTTATTATTCCAGGCCTTGGAATAACCTGCTATGGTTTTCAAATCTGCACCCTGGGTTCTTGGTTCAGCCTTCTGGGTTCTTGATTCTGCCCTCTGAGTCATCCTTCCATTATCAAGAAAGGAAAATGTTTTCAGCCAAGTGGTTTTATTAGCTTGCTTCCTGACAATAAAATTGGCATATGGGAGAGCCCCAATAGTTTTCTTTCATTTTGTACTTCCTCAGTTCTTTCAGTCCACTCTAGTAGCATTTCTGTTGATGTAATGTTCTCAAAAACATTATAATCCTTACTAGTTTCCTAGGGCTCCTGTAACAAGTTACACAAACTAGATGGCCTGTGAAAAGTAAAATTTATTCTCTCATAGTTTTGGAAGCTACAAAACTTAAATCAAGGTATCAGCAGAGCCATGCTCTCTCTGATGGCTCTAGAGGAGAGTCCTTCCTTGTCTCTTCTAGCTTTTAGTAACTGCAAACAATTCTTGACTTGTAGGTGCATCACTCTAATCTCTGCCTGTCTTCACATGTTGTTTTCCTCTCTGCATGCTGCATGTATGCGTCCAAATTTCCCTCTTCTTATAAGGACACCACTAATTAGATTAAGGCCCACTCTAATCCAGTATGATCTCACCTTAACATGATTACATGTGCAAAAACCCTATTTTTAAACAAGTTCACATTCATAGGTCCAAGGAAGATATGAATTACAGGAAGAAACTATTCAACTCACTGAATGGTCCTTGCCTAAATTTTTCAGAGTTTCACTCCATTAGACAAAAGCCATGAGCACAAACATTTTTGAGATGATCCCTGCTCTGTCTTTGGTTTCTGCTGAGATGACTGAGGGACAACACTCCTAAGCTTCTGAGAGGCCCTCTAGTTTCACTGATGGGATCGGTGAGTCACAACCTTAATATCTTAGAAGAGCCTTTTCTATGACTGAACACTTTAACCTTTTAGTCTTCCTGAGGCTTCAGTGAAAGCTGGACAGTTGCACAGTCTTTCTTTTCTCTATGCCATACTTTTGGAAGCCATTTCTGACTCTTAGCATTTCTTGCCACCTGGAAAGGTTGAGCAGTCTCAAAATTCTCCAGTCCTAATCCCTTTATGTTTACCAGTTTTTCCCTCCAGTTATTTTTTTTTCCTCACATTTTAGTATAAGTAGTAAGACAGAAATAAGCCAGCACCTTTAACACTTTGCTTGCAAATCTCCTCAGCTATATATCTAAGTTTGTCATTTACAAATTCTGCTTTCCACATAACTGCAGGACACAATTTTTCTAAACTTTCTATCACCACATAGCAAGGATTCTCCTTCCTCCAGTTCCAATAACATGATTCTCACTTCGTTCTGAGTCTTCCCCAACAGTATTCTAAAAGCCCAGATTTCTAATTAAAGTCTGTTCATGATGATTTAGGCTTTCTCCAAGGAAATTTAGGTTTGCTCTATAATGCTCTTCACCTCCTTCTAAGCTCTCACCAGTTGTATCTTTAATATCCATATTTCTACTAACAGTCTGTTTGAGACAATTTAGCCTTTCTCTATCATGTTCCTCAAAATTCTTCTAGCCTCCAGCTACTGCCTAATCCCAAAACCATTTCCACCTTTTAGGTATTAATTACAGCAGTATCAACTTTCAGTATCAAAATCTGCATTAGTCTCTATTGCTGTGTAACTGTCATAAGCTTAGCAGCTGTAAACAATACATATTTATTATCTTACATTTTTCATGGGTCAGGAGTTTGGCACATGTTAACTGGGTCCTCTGCTTAGGGTCAGTCACAAAGGCTGAAATCCAGATGTTGGCCAAGCTGGAGGTACTGTATAGGATTTGCTTCCAAGTTCAGTCAGGCTGTTGGGCAGAATACAGTTCTTTTTGTTTGTAGGACTGAGATTTCCATTTGCTTGCTGACTATTGGCTAGGGGTCACTCTCCTCTCCTAGAGGTCACTCACATTTCTTAACTTACGGCTCCTCCCATCTTCCAGCAAGCAATGGCATTTTGAGTGCTTCTCATGATTTGAATCTCTGACTTCTTCTGCTTCTCCAACTAGCCAAAGAAACCTCTCTGCTTTTAAAGAATTCATGTGATTAGATTAGGCTTACCCAGATAATCTCCTTATCGTAGGGTCAACTGATCAGTAACTTGATTACCTCTGTAAAATTCTTTTTGCCAAGTAACAACATAATCACAGGAATAACTAGAGGGTAGAGATCATGGAGGGCTAGCTTAGAATTATGATTATCACACATTCTTACACCAAAAATACCCTAGGAATATACTAATAGTGGCAACTATGCGTTTTCATTTCTTTCTGCATTTTTATGTTGTATAATTTTTAAAATCATATAACTGCAATGAGGAAAAATGCAGAACTATATTATTATGAGTATAGTTCAAATCATAGTGGCTTTACAGAATCTTGGAGCTATCTGCTTGCCCATTTGCAGTGACTACAACTGCATGAAGTACTGATTACAAAAGATAGAATCATTCATTTTTAGAAAGCTAGTTTTGTTACACTGCAAGCTTTTTCTACAAGCACACACATTTCTAATAAAATAAATTTATTGTTAATGATGAGGTTTGAAAATAGGTGATATAAAGGTATGCCTAGCTTCTTACTCTATCTGCTTCTACAGCAAAAGAAGTCAAAATGCTGAGGGCCAATGAGCTGCATAACTAACTAGCTGCTTCCAGCTGAAACAGCAGATCAGGATTGTATAATGCTATTGAATTTCAACTTTTTCACTCAGGCACCAAATGTTTACTGAGCTCCCACTATACACAGAGCACTTGGGTACAGAGATACAGATGGCACCACCCTGAACCCAAGTGAAGAGCTCAAAATTTCTCATTTTGCCCAGCAGACAAGTTTCTTATTTAAGTGAGTCAAAATTATACTTTAAATATTAACTGTCAGATTTCAGAGGGCATTTCAGATATCCTAAAAATATTTTGATAATTAAACAAGAAGAAAACCTGTATTCCAAACAATGTTTATTCCCTGCGTCCTAAAAAAACCTATGTTTAAAAAAAAAGAATGAGGCAAATTGAAATTTTCCTTTCAACATGACCCTTGATCAGACATTCTTTTGGCTATTTTGACAAGAAAGAATCAGTCAAAGCCTGGTCACATTCCTTTAAGGTCACAGCTCTTTGTCATCATCATCTCTTCTTTTGGCAATGTACAGTAGTTACTTCCAAATGCCAATTACTTTGAAAAGATCTTGGCTTAACCTTAGTCTAACCCAGCCAACCCTCCAAGTCAGCCCAGCAGCAATGCTGGCAGACCTTGGAAAAATGGAACACTGGGCTGTTCATGGGCTGTTTCCATGGAGAACATCACATTTCATAGGGGAAATACGAGTAGTCACTTGGAAGGCCCACCTCTTCAAGAGTGAAACATTATACCACAGCCTGGTATTTCAACCTATCTTCAAACTTCTTGGCTTAGTGAATTCCTAAACTTTATATTCAGTTGCTGTTTTCCACCTGCTTACAATTCTTGATCCTGCACAGCAACTCTTCTGATCAGAATTGGAGCAAGTGGAGAAGAACTACAAAAGGGACCCAAAGAGGGGCAATGGCCCTGGAACAGGGGCTATGGGGGTGCGTGGGGACCAGGCTGCAGTGGCTGCAGGGCTGATGAGTGAGACTCTGACTGAGGCAGAAGCAGAGCTCCAGGAAACTACTAAAGTTCCAGGGGAAGCAAAGTAGCATTTTATAAGAACAAAATGAATGGAGAGGAGAAAACCTATGGTGGCTGTGAAGGCCCTGAGATGCCATGTATGTCAAATTGATACCATCTGATGGCCATGAATTTATTGTAAAAAGAGAACATGCATTAATATCAGGCATGATAAAAGCCATGTTGAACAGCCCTGGTCAATTTGCCGAGAATGAAACCAATGAGGTCAATTTTAGAGAGATACCTTCGTATGTGCTATCAAAAGTATGCATGTATTTTACTTACAAGGTTCGCTACACTAACAGCTCCACTGAGATTCCCGAATTCCCAATCACACCTGAAATTGCACTAGAACTGCTGGTGGCTGTGAACTTCCTAGATTGTTAAATAAAATAAATTACATTTTGAAAAAAAGGGGCCCGAAGGAAGTCTGTGGGAGCTGAGGAGAGGGAAAGGAAAAGAGCCCAGTCTGACAGGTGGTGTTTCTTTTTGCACTCACCCTTTCTATTCCCCTTCCCCTTTAACCTCTTTCCCCGTTTAACCATCTTTCACTATCTTCCTTCCCTTCCAAGAGATCTTCCCTATGTAGCACCATCAGTTCCCAAAGGCTGCCCAATTATCTCCAGCTTTTTATCCTCTACCTCCGCTAGCCCTACAGATAGTAAACACAGTCATGCTGAGCCTCCGTGCACATCCCTTGGTTAAAAGCTTTCCATTAATTTACTGATCACTATTCATTCATTTATTCAAAAGACATTTACCAAGTGCCTCCTAGGTGTCAGGCCCAGGGCTAGCTGCTGAGGATAAGGAGGGGAACTAGACCGGGTCTCTACCCTCAAGAGATGGAGGAAGCACTCATACACACAAGGGTCTATAATAGTATTACATTACATTTTTATGCAATAAAATGGAGGAAGAGTGGATTCATCTTGATGGTACTAAGGGAGGCCAATTTTTAACTCTGTCCCCTTAAAAAAATTTGATATGCTAAAACAAATAAACTATCAAACACTAACCTGTTCAATCCAATCAGGTATAAGACAGCAAGAATTCCACAAAGATATCCAAGAGATAGGTTGAATTTAAGGCAGGACTGTTTGCCAGGGAAGAATCACAAGTGGAACAAGTATGCTTCGAGAAAAAAGTCTGTGTGCCAGGAGAAATGGGAGCCAAGGTTGTGAAAGAGGTGCACTGCAGGAAGACTCGCGACATACTGGTTATCTTGGTAAATTCTTTGTTCAAAGAGAAGGCAGTATGAAATGAATTTAAGTTCAAAAATATGGAAGGCAAGGTATGCACCAATGCATTTTTTCATTGCTTATCTTGACTAAAAATAACACAGTGTGCTCTCTTTGCAAGTCAATACATAGAACATGGAGACAGAGTTGGAGAGACCATCCGCTTCCCCAACATCCTTGTAAAACATTTGAAAAAACTTGACATTCCCCTGCATTGTTAGGCTGCTCTTTGTAACGGAGTTATAAAAACCCTTTCCATGGAAAGATCTCCCATTCAAACATTTTTTACTGCTAGCAAGCAGAGACACATACTGCCCTACCAACCTAATTCCAAGCTTGAAGGCCATGAGCTTGAGAGACCATTTTTAAAGTTGCATGTTAGAACCTGTAATAGAAATGATAAAAAGAGGGGGAAGCTAGAAATAGCACAGATGCCATAACTGTATAGAAATGTATTCTAATCAAGTCGTCTTAACCCCTGGTGAGGTAGACTCTACAATTGGCAAAGTCTCGTGGGCCCTTCCAATATGCCAATCACAGACCTGTAGGTGTAACCTTCCATATTCCCTGAATTCCAGGGGTCTCCTTTTCCAGAAAGAGAAATTTAAACTCAGGCACAAAAGAGAGGTTGGATAAATCTTTGTTGAATAAGTGACAATTTATAATTTTTATTAGAATAGTAATACAGTAGTAATATCGAGAATGATGTGCCAGATGTTTATTCAATACCAATTCTTCCTTATCTACATTTTATAAATGAAGGGATTTAGGTCATATTATAGCAAAGCTTGGATTAATTTAAGCCAAGTTGGCCCAATTCCCCCCACAATATTGAGTCACCTGATGTTTGTAGTCTAGTGTCAGAGGCCAATGAGGAATTTTATTCGGGAATTTTGTTCGGTGCTTCTGCTATTAAATAAGAAGTGAAAACTAAGGGCGTGAGGTTGAAGCTGGCGGCGCTGCTGGAGCAGGCCAGGGATGTCCAGGAGAAACCGGCAGGGAGGAGGGACTGGGAATGGTGGGTGGGAGGAGTAGTGGTTGGGGGTGAGCCTGGCGGGTGGCACGGAGCCAAAGTCAGGAGAAGGCTGGAGACCGAGGCTCCAAGACCCCCAGCTTCCCGCAGGCGGTGCGGGCGGGGGTTGCGCTGCAAGGATGCTAGCAGTAGGCGCGAGCGTGTGGCTGCTGCTGGTGCCATCGCTCCCCTCTGCTCAGGGCCTTGGGCTGGGGCGGCAGCAAGGTAAGATGAGGATTGAATGAATCATATAAAAATGCAGGGGTTTTGGAGAGTAAAAAGTCAAATATCCCACAATTTCTTTTTTTTTTTTTTTTTTTTTTCTTGAGACGGAGTCTCACTCTGTCGCCCAGACTGGAATGCAGTGGCGCAATCTCAGCTCACTGCAACCTCCGCCTCCCGAGTTTAAGCGATTCTTCTGCCTCAGCCGCCCAAGTAGCTGGGACTACAGGAGCGCGCCACCACGCCTGGCTAGTTTTTGTATTTTTAGTAGAGACAGGGTTTCACCATATTGGCCAGGCTGGTCTCGAACTCCTGACCTCGTGATCTGCCCGCCTTGGCCTTCCAAAGTGCTGGGATTACAGGCATGAGCCACCGCATCTGGCCATATCCGCCATTTCTATGGTTCACGGTAATATAGGTGAAAACTGCTAGCACAGAAGCCTGCCTGAAAGCCTGTTTAACCATAGGCTATGCTGCATTATACTAATGCGAGGGTATAGAATGCAAGCACATTCGGCCTGAGGTCAAAGGAAGTCACAGAAGGCCAAGCCCAAGATCAACCAGTAGGGGGAAGAACATTCTTCCCATGAAGTTAAAGAAAGGGAGTAAGTATTTTTGAACAATAATATAACTTGCAACATTTCCAATTAGAAGACATCTGAGACTGCACTTCCAACCTGGGCTACACTGATTTAGCCTCAATAAACTATAGCATTTCGTCCTCATCAATGTTGGCTAAATCTTTGAAATCAATAAAACAATAATTAAATAAAGAACTATTGTATGTATAAATTTGTTTCTTGCAAGGAACAATTCTGTCTTTGAGAAGCAAATAATCCAAATGAGAAGTAAGGAAATAAACTTATTTCACTTATTTAGATTGAATACACTCAAGTTTTATCTGGAATTTGATGTCTTTTCTATGAAATATTTATATTAGTCCATTTAGTCATGGAGATGTGTATTTTTTTTAATCATTAACCAGGATATTTGTTTGCCAGCTGTAGTTTGTTTAAGGGTTTTGTTTTGTTTTAGACAAGGGTCTTGCTATGTTGTCCAGGCTGGAGTGCAGTGGCTGGCTAGTCACAGGCTTCTTCGTCTTGATTACTCCCAGTTTTGGTGATTATAAATAAAATAATTGTAAATATTTATGTGTGGTGTTTTGTATGAACAGCAGTTTTCAAATCAGTTCGGTAAATACCCAGGTGCACTACTGCTGGATTCTATGGTATCCTTAGTTTTGCAAGAAACTGCCAAAGTGTTTGTACCATTTGGCATTCCCACTAGCAATGAATGAGAATTTCTGTTGCATTCTCACCAGCAATTGGTATTGTCAGCTTTTCAGATTTTGGCCATCCTAATATATATTTTTTCCATGATTTTACTTTCGTCTTATTTGTTGAAATCTTATTTGTATTGATTTCTGCTATTTTGCTATTTGTGTCTATATATATCATGCATTTTTTGTTTCTATGTTTCTCTTTCACTGCCTTTGTTGTACTATGTAAATATTTTCTACTGCACCATTTATATTCATTTGTTGGACACTGTTATGGACTGAATGTTTGTCTCCCCCCAAAATTCATATATTGAAACCCTAGCCCTGGATGTGATAGCATGTGGAGGTGGGACCTTTGAAAGGTAATTAGGTTTAGATTAGATCATGAGGGTGGAACCCCCATGATGGGATTAGTGTTCTTATAAAAAGAGGAAGAGAGACCAGAGCTTTCTCACTGGCATGTAAGGACCCTGTCCATAAGTTGCTGTCTATCGACCAGGAGGAGGGCCCTTGCCAGAAACCAAGTCAGCCAACACGTTAATCTTATAATTCCCAGCCTCCAGAACTGTGAGAAATAAATATCTATTGTTTAGACCACCTAGTCTATGGTATTTTATTATGGTCACCTGAGCAGACTGATACAGATGCCTTTTACTATATATATTTTAGTTCTTTTCAGCCATTATTTCTTAAATATATTTTCTTCACTTTTTTTTCTTTTCTCTACTTCTGGGACACTGACACTGGGTCACTTGATGATGTTCCTCAATCTCTGAGACTCTTCTTTTTTCTTCATTGTTTTTTCTGTAATTCCTTATAATTCTTGATCCATCATTGATTTCACTCATTTGTTTTATTCTGCCAGCTGAACTCTGCTATTGAAACCCTGTAATGAATTTCTTATTTTAATTACTGTACTTTTCAACTTCAGAATTTCTATTCCATTTTAAAAATAATCTTCATCTCTTGATTTGTATTCCCTACTTGATTATTTATTATTGTTATGCTTTCCTTTAGTTCTTAAATATTGTTTTCTTTATTTATTTAAACATATCTATACTAGTTATTTTGAAGTCTTTGCTCCACCATATCTAACATCTGTCCCATCAGAAACAGTTTCCATTGTTTTTCTTTCTGTGTGTGGTCACACTTTCCTGGTTTTTTGCATGTCATTTCTTTAACTGGACATTTTAGATAATATATTGTAGTAACTCTGGATTCATCTCCTCTCCAGGGTTAGTTGCTGTTGCTACTTTTTTGATTTGCTGAATGACTTGCCTGGATAAATTCTGTAGAATCTATCTCACAACAGTGTGCAGCTCCTGTTGTTTCTGTTCAGGTTCCTTTTTAAAATTTATTTTTGTTTAATTTTTAAATCTGGCTTCCCATGAGTCACTCCTGGATTAGCATAGCTTAATGATCAGCCAAAAATTGATCAGAGGTTGCACATAAACGTATTGAGCCAGTAAGCCTTCTGCTCTTTGCCAACAGATCTGTGTGTTTAAGGAATGTAATCAAGGCTGGGCATGGTGGCTCACACCCTGTAATCCCAGCACTTTAGGAGGCCAAAGCAAGAGGATCACTTGAGACTAGCAGTTTAAGACCACCCTGGGCAACATAGTGAGACCCTATCTCTTTTATTTATTTATTTATTTATTTATTTATTTATTTATTTATTTTTCTATATTTGAGAATGGGGTCTTGCTGTCACCCAGGCAGGTCTCAAACTCCTGGGCTCAAGCTATCCTCCCACCTCTGCTTCCCTAAATGCTGGGATTACAGGCTTGAGCCACCACTGCCAGCAGTGATTCCTTGTCTCTACAAAAAATAAAATTGAAAATTAGCCAGGCATGGTGATGTGTACTTGTAGTTACAGCTACTCAGGAGGCAGAGGTGGGAGGATAGCCTGAGCCCAGGAGGTAGTGGGGACCCTGAGCCGTGTTGGTGCCACTGCACTCCAGCCTGTGTAACAGGGCAAGACCCTAGCTCAAAAATAACAAAATAAAAAAGGAATGTAATCAAAGTTCAGACAACTTGCAAGTCTGCCCTGGTTTATACTTTCTGCATACTCAAGTCTTCACATTCATAAAGGACAGGTAGACAGCCAGGCCCTATCTGATCCATCCTATGTGTACACATGTCCTTGAGCATGCATACAGCCTTCCAAGCTGCCACGGAGAAGTGAACACTTGTGAAGGCCACTGTCACTATCTCCATCTCTGGATTTCCCTTTTAATTTTCTGGCTGGTCTGTCAGTTTCTTGGTTTCCTGAGCAACATCGTAACCTCAGGTTAGCTGCAATGTTGCCCTTCTTAAATTGTTTGGTATTATTCCAGGATTTTTCCACCATCATTTTTGCCAAAGGCCCTGAGTCAAATCTACGCTCCACTCCAAAGTCAATCTGCCTCCTGTAGTAAGGAGGCCACCTGTCCTCATAGCTTGTTCTGCCCTGGTAAAATTACTGAACAGCAGAACTGGGGTGGGGAATGGCAGGAACCCCAGGACAGAGTGCCACAGATTCCCACCATTCTTACTGACGCTCAGTTTTTCTTCAATACATGCTTCTCAATGAGATGGATGCCTTTCATCAATTTCCAAAATCCCAAAGTGGTTGTTTCTGACAGTTTTTTCTGGTTTTATATTTGCCTTTGGGGGACAGGATTTTCCCATCTTCTCACTCACTCTAGAAGTCCCACCTAAAGTCAAAATTTTTGCTTTGGGCCAGAGTTCATTGTAACTTTTCATTATGATGTATGAAAAAGGAAAAGATATGTAAGACATATGGACAAAATTATGAATTGGGAGGCATTCCAAAGTTTTAGTAAAAAGATTCAATATCAAAAAGATAGAACCTTAGATCCAAGGCAATTACAATTCAAATATCAGTGGAATTTTTGATACAACTTGCTTAAACAGGGTGGATATTGGCACAGGGATAATGGTACAGGTTAGAAAGCCCATAGACAGATTGTAGCACGTGAAATTCTAGGAATGACCCCCAATGACCCTGGCTCTTCTGTAATACCTTCCTATTTGAGTGGGGATGGAACATGAAAAGATCCTTTCCATGACTGTTACATTTTATGGAAAAATAAAGATTATCTGGGTAATCTTAATTACCTGAGCCCTTCAAGTGCAGATCATTTTTTTTTTCTGGCTGGCAGAAGAAGCAGAAGTTGGACATTCGAAGTATGAGGGCATTTCACTTGCCCTTGCTGGCTTTGGAGATGCAAGAGTCCATATGCCAAGAAATGTGTGTGGCTTTGAGCTGCGTAGAGTGGCTCCAGCTCACAGCAGACAAGGAAACAGAGACCTCAGTTCTATAGCTTCAAGGAAGTGGATTCTGTCAACAACCTGAAGGAGCTCGAAAGCAGATTATTCCCTAGAGCCCCCAGATAAGAGCCCAGCCAGGCCAACACCTTTATTTTGGCCTTGTTAAACACTCAGAATCCAGGTAAGCCTGCCTGGACTTCTTGTCTATAGGACTGTGAGGTAACAAGTAGCTATTGTTCTAAACTCCTAAATTTGTGATACTGTTTTATTCAGTAATTAAGAAGACTAACACAGAGACCTATACTTATGTATACTAGATATTTGATATATGACACAGTTGGCTTTGCAAACCATTTGTGAAAGGAAGGACTATCCAATGAGTAATTCTGGGACAGATAGTTATATATATAGAATGAAAAGCTCAGATTTTGTCTTAGTCTGTTTTCTGTTGCTTATAACAGAATTCCTGAAAGTGGGTAATTCCCAAAGAAAAGGAATTTATTTCTTAGGATTATGGAGGCTGAGAAGCCCAATGACAAGGACCTGTATCTTGTGAGGGTTTTTTTGCTGGTGGTAATTCTCTGCAGAGTCCAGAGGTGATACAGGGAAGGGCATCACATGGCAAGAGGGTCTGAGCGTGTTAGATCAGGTCTCTCCTCTTCTTTTAAAGCCACCAGTTCTACCCTCACGATAACTTATTAATCCATTAACCCATTAATCCATTAATTAATCCATGAACGGATTAAACCAGAACCCACCTGACCCAATCACTTCTTTTTTAGTTTTTTGTTTGTTTTTGTACTTGTTTTTATTTATTTTGTTTTTTGAGACAGGGTCTCACTCTTTCATCCACAGCACTCAGGCTGGAGTGCTGTGGCACAATCACTGCAGCTTCAACCTCCCAAGCTCAAGTGATCGTCCCACCTCAGCCTCCAAGTTGCTGGGACTACGAAGGTGCGACCACCGTGCCTGGCTAATTTTTAATTTTTTGTAGAGATGGAGTTTCACCATGTTGCCAAGGCTGGTCTCAAACTCCTGGGCTCAAGCGATCTGCCTGGTTCCTCCTGCTAAAGTGCTGGGATTACAGGTATGAGCCACCACGCCGGCCCCCAATCACCTCTTAAAGGCACCATCTCTTAATACTGCCATGCTGGGGATTAAGTTTCAACATGACTTTCAGATCTCTACCTCAAAACATGACAATGAACTAGAAACTTTAAATGCTTGCAAGAAATTTTAGAAGAACTTCATGAGCTTAAAGTAAGGAAGAATTTTTCTTTCTTTCTTTCTTTCTTTTCTTTTTTCTTTTTCTTTTTTTCAGAGTCTCACTCTGTGGCCCTGGCTGAATGCAGTGGCACGATCTTGGTTCACTTCAACCTCCACCTCCTGGGTTCAAGCAATTCTCCTGCCTCAGCCTCCTGAGTAGCTGGGACTGCAGGTGTGAGCCACTACACCCGGCTAATTTTTGTATTTTTAGTAGAGATGGGGTTTCGCCATGTTGGGCAGGCTGGTCTTGAACTCCTGACCTCAAGTGATCTGCTGTCTTTAGACTCCTGAAGTGCTGGGATTACAGGTGTAAGCCACCTTGCTCGGCCCAAGGAAGAATTTCTTAATTAAAGATGTATACAATACGCTAAAGGATTAAAAATTTACACACTACACAAAAATTAAATTCTACTTATCAATGGTCAACATTTTAAAAAGAAATAGAACGGGAGGAAAACACAAGAATGCTGAGAAGCAGTAGTCTATGGCATCACAAGCGTCACAAGAGCAGCATGTTTGAAGAAAGAGGAGGTTGCCATCTGTGTTCAACGTGGCTGAGAGGTGGAGTAAGAAGACAGCAAAGTGTGCAGTGGATGTGGAGATGCAAGGCACACAGGCAAGCATAACAAGAGCAGCTTCAACAGAGTAGGAGGAAACCCAGGGCAGTGCCTGGACAGCTGCTCCTCTTTCTCCTCACCCTTCCAGAAAGTGCCACGCCTCCCACTGCCCTGGATGCCCCATCACTTGCATATTCATACCTACCCTAAAATACTTGAATGTAGCGGTAGGTTTCTTTTTGCTTGTATTCTGTAACGGAAAAAGTGGAATTATTACCTGTTTTTTTATTTAGCTGATTGCACAAGCTTTTGACAATTCTATCATTTTTCTGACATCTCTCCCTCTCTGAGAAGATGAGAAAGAGAAACCATAATAAAATTGCGTCAATCCCTATCGTTGAAACAGGTCTTTATTGTTTCTCATTAACCTGAGCTTTCTGGAGGGTCCAAGGATGAAAGCTTGAGGTGCAGCCAACCAGTGCTAAAATCCTAAACCTCACACTCTGTGTGTATGTGACACACTCATGCACACACACACACACACAAATGTGAAAGGCTCTCTTTCCCTTCCTCCTTTCCTTGTCTCTTGCAAGGTTGAACAGATTGGTCATTTTAACCCCATTATGACTTCAATAAAGAGAAGTCAGCCTAAAGAGGGGCAGGGAATGGGCACAGAAACCAGGTCCTGTGCTCCCCTAGGGAGCGGCTGTGTCTCAACTCATGAGATCTTGAAAATATTTCCCCCTTCCTAAAAATTATTCTCTTCCAGCAAAAATAGCTTCTAAACTATGGAAGCTCTGATGTGCACAAGGATTTCAAAATGTCCCTAATGAAGATTATAATTAAAATATTTAAATGGGTTTTTAATTTTCTTTCTGGGCTGTGTTATTTCCTAGTCCTCTTCAGGAGCTCCTATTGTTCAGTCATGACAGAATCCTCTGTCAGAAATTATAGCCTGCTGCCTTTCAGCATCTTCATTAAAATGCAGTGCTGCCAGATATATCTGCATGCATATGAATGAAGCATCTATAGAATAATTAAGTCATGAATAACACATTGCTGAGCATGGCTTTTCCTGAATAAAAAAAGAATGCTATTTATG
Organism: Homo sapiens; assembly: GCF_000001405.40. NCBI lineage: Eukaryota > Metazoa > Chordata > Mammalia > Primates > Hominidae > Homo > Homo sapiens. The sequence goes on along the minus strand of NC_000001.11, from coordinate 68,365,759 downwards.
AACCCAGAAATTTTATATTATATTAAAAAATAATTGGCAATAACAAGTATCATTTGAGGATTCATTAATTTAAATTATGATTTCCCTGCTATAAACTCCATTTTTAATAAAATGGCAATTTACATTGGAAAATGAATGTGAACCTATATGCAATTTTTCTTCATTTTGCTTAAAAGGCCACCCGAAAGCTTTTGGCAATGGGGGTTGCATAATTTGAAAATCTTTTAGGTCTATTATAAACAAAAGGCCATTAGCATCACAGCAAGTTAACAGGCCTGAGTTCAAACAAATAGTGACATATCAATGGAAAAACATAGACAGTATTTGTGATATTATAAAATATTTATTTTTGGCTGTGTCCATGGTTTCTAGCTCACAGCTCCTATAGCCTTTATAATTTCCTAAGTAACTAGAATGATAAGGATATTTTTTGTTAAACTATTTGGCCTTTTGTCTTCAGTTCCCAGAAACAGCTTCAGAGTAGCTCCAGAGTGATGAAGGTGAAACCAGCATTTCTGTTATTTATAACAAGCCCCTTTCAACCACACCTGAGACTATGTTAATGAGGTGATTTTTGGAAAATCCCTAGATAACTACAGGATGAAGGGTTGGTTGCCAAGGGGACTTACTGTGTGCTTAGAGGGTTGAGACTCACAGCCCCACACCCCATCTCACATCCAGAGAAGGAGAGAGGCTGAAGTTTAAGTTGATCACCAGTGGCCAACAATTTAATCAATCATGTCTACATAATGAAGCCTCCATAAAGTACCAGAAGAGCTGAGTTCAGGGAGCTTCCAAATTGGTGAACAAGAATACATTAACCTGCTGGAAGGGTGGCACCCTCCACCTCCACAGGGACAGAGGCTCCTGGGCTTGGGACATTTCCAAACCTTCTTTCTTTGGCTGTTCATTTGTATCCTTTCATGTATCCTTTATAATAAATGCATAAACAAAACTAAAGGGCTTCCCTGAGTTCTGTGAGCAGCTTTAGCAAATTAATCAAACCCAAAGGTAGAGAGGTTGTAGAAATCCCAATTTATAGCTGGCCAGTCAGAAATTCCAAAGGCCTGAATGGGCAACTCGCATCTGAAGTAGGGGGCAGTCATGGGACTGACTACTCGATGTGTGGGATCTGATTCTACTTTCAGGTAGGTCATTTCCAAATTGAATTGAGAGGACACCCCACTGGTGTCCACTGCAGAACTGATTTCTTGATTAGTGTGTGGGTCAAAACTCCTACACATTGGTCAATGAAGTGTTCTGTGTTGTAAGAAAATAATAGGAGAAAAAAAAAATGGTGGGTTTTTTTTTCTTCTTAATATTCTAAAGCAGTTTTAAGACTTTTTCAAGGAATATTGTGGAAACAAACACTGAACTTCTCTGAGCCCACCCTTCCCCTGCATGCAGTGTGTCAAGAAGCCATTCTTTTGCTAAAGGCCCAGCTTAGCAATGATCACATCCTAAAGTTGAGCAGCACTGTAATTTCAACATGGTTTCAGGTTTAGCTCCCTACCCTGTCTTCCTGAGACCTTTAGTCATGATGAACTGTTAAAGTCACAGAGGCAGAGAAAGGAGTAGGTGAGAAGGAAGAGTGAGAGATTAGAGAAGAAAGGGACACAAGGCTTAAGGTAAAAAGAAAAAGATAAGACTGTCTCTTCCTTCTTGGCCTTACTCAGATCCCTTGTTTTATTCTTTCTTGCTCATAGTTGTATGTGATTCATTTCATGTTTGGGCTTTTTTTTTCATTTTCAGTAGACTGCACATGCTATAATATCTCCCTGAGCAAGGGGCTGAGCCAAATGTCAATGGAGCAAACAATATGGCAGGCAAGGGAACCTGCTTCAAATCTTATAAACCCATTTCTCTCCTCCTATTTTCTCTTTTCCCTTTCAGGGGCCTCAGTTTCAGCTCTCTTCTTTCTTTACCTGGATTACAGCAGCATCCCCACCGGGGTCCCTGCCTGTAGTCTCCCATGTCCCTTCTCAATGCCCCATCCTGCCTTTCTATCCTCTACCACCCCCACCCATAGGCACACTCCCTAAACCATATCTGACTATGTCATTTCTCTAATAAAAATCCATGGTGGCTCCTCATTCCACTTAGGATAAATTCTAAGCCACTCAACATGGTTCAAATAGCCATGCAGGATCTAAGATGAGACTGACTCTCCAGCTTCCTCTGACATGTCCCACATGACCTCCTGTTTCCAGTCCATTACTCATTCCAAACAATTATTCATGGTTTCTTGAGTTCATTATGTTCCATGTTCACACATGCTATCTCCCTAATGGACATCTACTCCTCCTTAAACATGCAACTCAAAGGCCTGCATGTCCTGCAAGCATTCCCTGACCATCCCCACCCAGGCTGGTTTTGATGTCCCCCTCTGTGAAAACAGTTTCTTACACTAAACTACAATTATGCATTTGCTTATGTGTTTTTCCCATTACTTTGTGTTTATCACCTGTCCCAGTGCATAGCAATAAAAGTTCCTTGAATGGAAGGATAAACTATACAGATATACCTGTATAGTTTTATTGTGCTTCCCTTTATTGTCCTTTGCAGCAATTAAACTTTTTACAAATTGAAGGTTTGTGGCAACCCTGCACCAAGCAAGTTTATTGGTGCCATTTTTTCCAATAGCATGTGCTTACCTTGTATCTCTGTGTCACATTTTGGTAATTTTCACAATCTTTCAAACTTTCTTATTATTGTATCCATTATGGTGACCTGAGATCAGTAATCTTTGATGTTATTATTGTAATTGTTTTGGGGCACCACAAATCACACCCATTTAAGACAGCAAACTTAATCAACGTTGTGTATATTCTGACTACCCCACTAACTGGTGGTTCTCTGACTCTCTTCCTTTCTCTAGGCCTCCCTGTTTCCTGAAACACAACAATATTAAAGTTAGGCCAATTAATAACCCTACAATGGTCTCTAAGTGTCAAGCGAAAGGGAAAGTCACACATCTCTTAGTTTAACTCAAAACTAAAAATGATTAAACTTAGTGAGGGAGGCACGTAGAAAGCTGAGACAGGCCAAAAGCTAGACCTCTTCTGACAAACAGCCAATTGGGAAAGCAAAGGAAAAGCTCTTGAAGAAAAATTAAAAGTAAAATTAGAAGTGCTACTCAGTGAAATCACAAGTGATAAGAAAGCAAAGTAGTCTTATTGCTGATAATGAAGAAAGTTTGAGTGATCTGGATAGAAGATCAAACCAGACACAACATTCCTTTAAGCCAAGCCTAATCCAGAGCAAGATCCTAGCTTTCTTCAATTTTATGAAGGCTGAGAGAGGTTAGGAAGCTGCGCAAGATGCACAACTAGCAGAGGTTGCTTCGTGACGTTTAAGGAAAGAAGCCATCTCTATAACATAAAAGTGCAAGGTGAAGCAGCAAGTGCTGATGTAGAAGCTGTAGCAAGTTATCCAGAAGATCTGGCTAAGATCATTGATGAAGGTAGCTACACTCAACAACAGATTTTCAATATAGATAAAACAGCCTCCTATTGGAAGAAGATGCTACTTAGGACTTTCATAGCTAGAAAGAAGTCAAAGCCTGTCTTCGGAGCTTTGAAGGACAGCCTGGCTGACTCTCTTGTTAGGGACTAATGCAGCTGGGGATTTTAAGTTGAAGCCAATGGTCATTGACCATTCAAAAAACTCTAAGGCCCTTAAGAATTATGCTCAGCCTATTCTGCCTGTGCTCTACAAATGGAACAACAAAGCCTGGACGATTGCATATCTGTTTACAGCATGGTTTACTGAATATTTTAAGTCTACTGGTGAAACCTATTGCTCCTGAAAAAAAAGATTCCTTTCAAAATATTAGTGCTCATTGGCAATGTACCTAATCACCTAAGAGCTCTAAGGCAGATGTACAAAGAGATGAATGTTGTTTTCATGCCTGCTAACACAACATCTATTGTGCAACGAGGAGATCAAGGAGTAATTTTGAGTTTCAAGTCTTATTATTTCAGAAACACATTTCTTAAGGCTAGAGCCATCATTGACAGTGATTCATTTGATGGGTCTAGGCAAAGTAAATCAAAAGCCTCTGGAAAGAGTTCAGTATTCTAGATGCCATTAAGAACACTCATGATTCAAGGGAGGTTAAAATAGCAAGATTAACAGGAGTTTGGAAGAAGTTGATTCCAACCCTCGCTGATGACTTTGAGGGGTTTAACACTTCATGGAGGAAGTCACTGATGATATTGCAGAAGTAGCAAGAGAACTAGAATTAGAAGTGGAACTTGATGATGTGACGGAATTGCTGCAATCTTATGATAAAACTTGAATGGATGAGGAGTTGCTTCTTATAGATGAGTTTTATTATGATATTTACTTTATTGCAGTGGTCTGAAATCAAACTCCCAATATCTTTGAGGTATACTTATATATATGACAAGGCAGAATGAGGTAGGCACTGTTACCTTCTGCTTTGTATGAGAGTGAAAGCATAGCCTCTTGAAGATAGGCAAACTTGGGTTTGAATTTTGACTGCTACTTACTGAGTAACAATAAATTATCTCATTGCTCATTGCTGAACCTCAGTTCCCTAGTCTGTAAAGTAGCTACATAAACTCATATTTTATAGTTCTTTTGAAAATTAGATTGAATAAGAGAATAAAGTGTTTAATGGGAGGCCTGGCAAACATAGTGCAATCAGTAATGGTAGCTATCAGTATTATTGTTACTACTTTTATTACTATCAAAGCACAGCCAGTAAAAACTAAAAAGACACATCTTCATTTTAAAGACTTATTGTATCTTTAAAATAGAATACTATTTTAGACTCCCAGGTAATTCATGACCAAACGTTATAACTATATCGCATAAGCAGACCTGGAGACCAATCTTATTTACTACTACATCTGGTCCTTTTGTCATAATGTGGTGGGGAGAAGGATTCCCTACTTTAATTTAAATCATTAAACCATATCTTTGTTTTTTACCTCCACCTTTACTTCATATATATATTGCAGGAGGCACTACACTGATGCATTTAAACAGTGTAGAGTACTAGAAGATATCCTGACTTCTGGTCAGAAGGTCCAGCTTAACCGTGGCATTGACCCATGGTGTGACCATGGGCAAGTCACACCTATTTGGACATCTATTTAGTTAAAGAGGTGAACTACCTGATCTCTAAGCATCCTCATAATTTTCCTTATAATGACCAAAATCACAATTACAAGGAGAAGCCTGACCCCTACCCTATGAAGAAGTGTAATTGTGATGGGACTGAACTATTAAAATATAATCCCTTTGCTTTGCCTGCTTTGTCTGCTTTGTCCCTTTTCTTTCCTGGCCCTTGCAACATGGCCTGAGTAATACTTTGATTTCATGTAATGAAGTCCCTAGAAGGTAGGAGGTGTAGAAAGAACAAAAGCTGCCTGGGTGATTATCTAAAGGAGAGCAAAGAGAGCCATCAGCTGACAGGGCACAGGGGTGGACAAGAAGAGAAGGAGCAAGAAGCAGTGTTGAGAGAAGAGAATGTGAGAGAGAGAGGATAGGGATGAAATGACATAAATTAAGGAAAAAAGTATTGGACACTATGGTGATAGCCAGGGATTTTAACGAGTTGCCACGGGGTATAACCTCTAGTTTCATCTATATCCTTCAAGATGGGCAAATAAAACAGGGAGATTCAGAAGGACTAAACTTCTCTGAATATAGAACCTCCTGAAGGATTGAACCAAATAGGTCAAATTGTCAGTGGACTTAGAACAACAAATGGGAAAACAGAGATAGAGACTCATTGGTACACTCACAAATATCTCCACTCTGAATATGTGTTTAATCTTCAGGGAAAAGCAGATGAATGAAATATGATTTGAGATGCCTTTAAAACACTAAAAAATGAAAATGTTGATGTTTTAGAGACTAGGGAAAGGAAAAAATGGAGAGCTTCATCATAGTTCCATGGTAAGATGGTCATGGTAATATGGTCAAGCCTAATGAAATCCATTTAAATAACATAATTGACAAAAGTAGAGAGTATTCCAGTATTATAGATATGAAATCGTTTCACAAACATGTTAAGATTACTCAAAAATTTACTTTCTCTTTAGCAGATGTGAATGCAAGTAATGCAGTCTATATTTTAAGCAAACTATGGCCACCTTTCTATTCAATATTGCTAACCTTTCAACTGAATTTCTAAGGATAAACAAATGTCAATTAAGAAAACAACATGTGTGAGGAAGTGGACTCTGATGAATTCAAGGAACCATAAGTCATTTAGTTAGACTAAGTAGGATTTAGGTTTGCATTTTAGAAACGTTATGCTGGTTGCAGAGTGGAAGATGGAGTTGTGGGAGGGCTGTTCTGTGCATTGTAGGATGTTTAGCAGTATCCCTGGCTTCTACCCACTAGATGCCAGCAGCACTTCCTATTGCTGACCATCAAAAATGTTTCCAAACATTTGAAAATGTTCCCTGGAGGGAAAGTCACCCCCACTTGAGAGCCACGAATCTAAATAAAAGCCTTAGTTTGCCGGAAGGTCAAGGCAAGACACATTAATCAACATTAAACATGTTTATTGAAGACTTGCAAAACAGTGCTTGATGTTAGAGGAAACAAAAATGCTAAAAGTATTATGCAATAGTAGGAAAGACCTGGGACAAGCCCTCTAGAAGCACAATTTAGGAGTCTAGTTAGAAAGCTGGACAATAATCCAGATAAGAAATGATGGGAACCTGAACCAAACAATAGAATTGAGAATTAAAAGGGGGATAAAGGACTTGGGTTTGAGTCTTAGCTTTTGTATTTACTACACATGTGATTTTGAACAAATTACTTCTCTAAACCTTAATTTTGTAATCTAGGAAATGTGAATAATAGTGCACAGGGTTGTTGAAGGATTTTTTAAAAGATCAGGCATGCAAAGCATTTAGCATAGTTCTTGGAATGAAAAATAGAGATATGGAAGTAATCAGTAAATATAAGGGAGTTAAGCTATGAGGTTGCCCACGCATCAAATATGGAGTAAAACAGCAGGCCACGGTTGTCTAGCTTAACAGAGTGGATCTCTGACCCCTTAAGCTCGAATCCTCCTGCTGTTCCAGAATTTAGCTGCTTGTTTATGAAAGATAAAGCACATGCCATGCAAATGAGGACATTGCCACTACCAACCAGCGATTTGCTTTTTGGCAGCCCTGCCATGGTTCATTTTTAGAACCAGCAGCAAGAAAGAGGAAGAAAGCCTAAGTGAAGGTGGCTGGTCTGCCTTCTTGATAAATTCTACCTTTCCCCACTTGGCATGATAAAGCTGTATGATTTGTCCCAGCTGCTCAGAAGGAATAGAAAAATGAGGTCTGCCTTTTTATGCTGTTTTGATTTTGAGGTTTAATTAGTGTTGTTTCTCAGGAATTCATTGCTTTAATTAATGATGTGCCCTGAATCTTTTAAGTGAAGAATGCCATTGCAAACATGAATATGTAATGAGTACAAGTTGCTTTATCCTGGCTGAGGAGTATGGCTTTTACTTGGCTCTCACCTCTCAGTACAAGCACAAGGACCTCAGGTACCAAAAGGAGCCAGGCTGACAGGGTTTTATTTGTGTATCTGTTTTTATAGCTCAAGTGCTCTTTTATTTTACTTAAAAGCTGGGTCCATTAACAAGAAAACCAGAGAGAAGAAATAATCAGCTTGCTTTGGTTCACTTTTAGACTTTCTCTATACTGCTTGCAAATCAATAAGCTAAGATCTAAATCGGGGTTTCTCAGTTTCAGCACATTTGGGCCAGATAATTCTTTGTTGTGGAAGGGCAATCCTGTGCATTGTAGGATATTTAGCAGTATCCCTGACTTCTGCCCACTAGATGCCAGTAGCATTTCCCATTCCTGACAATCAAAAATATTTTCAAACATTGGCAAATGTTCTCTGGAGGCAAAGTTGCCCCCCAGTTGAGGATTACAAGTCTAAATGAGAGCCTTACGTTACAGGAAGCTCAAGGCAAGGAACATTAATCAACAATAAACATGTGTTTACTGAGGACTTGCAAAACACTGTGCTTGGTGTTATAGAAAATATAAGAATGCTAAAAGTATTATGCAGTAGTGGGACCTTGGACCAGTCTCAAGATTCACACCTGCTGTTTACTAATCATGCAACCTTGGGCAATTCATTTACCCTTTCTGAGTTTCCTTAACTGGTTAAGGAACAAGTTTGAGAAATGTAAGACAAACAGATATATATATTTGCAGTGGGATGAGTGGTATTAATAGTCTCATTTAAAGGTCTCTATTGGGCCAAGTGTAATGGCTTATGCCTGTAATCCTAGCGCTTTGGGAGGCAGAGGTGGGAGAATTGCTTGAGGCCATGACTTCAAGAACAGCCTGGAATTTTAAATTTAAAAAAAAAATCTAAGTATATTAAGAATCTTAATAAGTCAATTAAGATCCTTAGTCTTAATTGCCAAACTTATATAAAAGAAGAAATGTGTCTAAAACAATGAAGATAATGTTCCCTATCTTTGCTGTGTTTTTCAAAACCAAACAAGAATACAATATTCAGTTTGAATAATAATTATCCAAGAGTGACATATAATTCATCAGAAGTCATCCGAGAACAATGAAAGTAGGTTGTATGCTTCGTAGAATCTCTTCATTACGTCAACAAATATTCATTGAATGCCTACTATGAGACAGGCCCCATTTTAATCTCTGCAAATGTAACAGTAATATAATCAGGCAAAATCTCTGCCCTCATGGAGCTTATGTTCTGTGAAAGGAGACAGAAAATAGTCAAGAATTACTAGTAAAATATAGAGTATATTATATAGTAATTTGAATTTTAAAAATGAATGAGAAAGTTTATTAAAAGTATATGAAAAAAAAAGACTCAAGTAGAAGGTAGCATTTAAACAAAGACCTGAAGGAAGATAGTGAGTAAGCAAACAAAACAAAAGACATAATACCAAGTGCAAGGACACAAATTAGGAGCTTGCCTGATGCCTTCCAGGAATAGTGAGGAGATCAGTGTGTATAAAAGTGAGCAAGGAAAAGAGGAGTAGAAGATAAAATCAGAAATATTAAGAGTTCAAACCATCATACAGGGCTTCACAACTCCCTTTTTTTTTTTTCAGACACAGTTTCACTCTTTTGCCCAGGCTAGGGTACAGTGGTGCCACTTCAGTTCACTGCAACCTCGACCTCCCAGGTACAAGCTATTCTCACGCCTCAGCCTCCCAAGTAGCTGGGATTATAGGTGTGTGCCACCATGGGTGGCTAATTTTTGTATTTTTAGTAGAGATGGGGTTTCACCGTGTTGGCCAGGCTGGTCTCGAACCCCTAACCTCAAGTGATCCACCCGCCTCGGCCTCCCAAGTGCTGGGATTACAGGCATGAGCCACAGCATCCAGCCTCACAACCCCTATTAAAAGAAATTTGTCATTTACTCTGAGATGGAAAGTCATTTGATGGGTTCAACAAAGGAGTGAAAGATTGAATGAAATTTTTATTTCACCAGATTGTTTTGATTGCTGTGTTAAGTGTGAACTAAATGGGGGTAAGAACATGAATAGGGAGACCAATTAGGAGGCTATTGCAATAAGCTAAGAGAGATGTTACAGTGGCTTAGATAGATAGATAGATAGATAGAATTTGGGATGTGAGAAAAAGTAAGAAATTCTGACTCTACGACTTTTAGTCTAATCAAATGGAAAGACAGAAAGCCACAAACCAAGATGGAAAGATAAAGGAAAATAATTTTGGAGAGGTAAATTGAATGATAAAAAGGAAACATGAAAAGAGAAGAATATCCATGAAGAAGACATTTTGCCTATTCTACAAAACGTAAGAACCAAAACCAAAAAGTAGAGGTTGTAGTGGGTGTGATCATCTTATTCTGCATAAGAAAGAAGTGGCACAAATGGAATGAGTCACTATATGAGACAGTAAATAATAATACCAACCTTAGTTCAGACTTTCTATGAACTGGCCATTGTCTAAGGCTTTGTAATCATCTTATTTAATCCTCAAACCAATCGTATTTTACAAATGTAAGTGATTAAGCTATTTAAAGCCTGATCAAGGTTCAGACTGGTAAGGCTAATAACTCGAAGGTTCCCTCTTGTCTTACAATTGTTTCAACTAGTAAACAATGAAAAAAATATGCATGAGAACAAGATGGAAAGAAGTTTCTCTAGTGACAACTTTTCTTCTCAAGGAAATATACCTAAAGTGGATTAGTTTGAGCAGCTCACATGATATGCTTATCTTCTAGGTGGGAGAATTTTCAACACTGGACTTATCTTTTATTTCTTTTTAGGCTGGGAGGGAACCACATCATTTATACCCTAATATCAAGGCTCCAGATTCATAATTTCTGGGTGAGCCATTGCTACCTAATCTAATTATTTTCATATTTTGGTTCTTGCTTAGCTAGTATGCCTATTTGAAGCTTCAATGCAGCAGGTCTGGCATGGTCTACCATAGCAGGCAGAGCTGAGATTTTTTTTTCCCATTTACTTATAAAGATGATGGGGTCTCGCTATGTTGCCTAAGCTGGAGTACAGTGGCTCTTCACCGGCGTGATCATAGCACACTATGGCCTTGAACTCCTGACCTCAAGTGATCCTCTCACCTCAGCCTCTCAAGTAGCTGGAACTACAGGGTGTGCCACCGCACCTAGGGAAAGCTGGAATTTGAACCTAGGCAATCTGGATCCTGGTCTTAACAGTTGCCCCATGCTATCAGCCGGTCAAAGTATTCAAGAAGAGACTCAAAAACTATTAGGAAAGATGTAGTGGAGAAGATTTAAACCTTAGATTAGGTGATTAATATAACAAAGCAACTTCCAATGTCTTAAGACTCTCGTTCAGTCTGTTGGGTTGGGGAAGTATGTTAAAATACAGAAAAGCATTGTCAAGGTGCTATTTTTATAAATTGCTGCGGGACAGATATCCAAATTGCAAGTACATCTTCTACCATTCTAAATTCTGAGATGTAGCCTTACTCCAGTACTTTCTTGTCTCCAAACAAACTATAAGAAATGGTGTCTTTGTACAGTGTTTCTACTCCACGAATACCTTTTCTTGACCTATTTCCAACTGCATAACTGCTACTTCAAGACTAAGGGACCAACTTCTCTGTAAAGCCATGCAGAATCTCACTCTCTATCTAAGCAGCTTTGATCTCTCCTTTCTCTCTGATTCCAGACACAGCATCATGGACCTGCTTTGGAACAGTACTTATCTAATTGTTATATATATATATATATATATATATATATATATATATATAGCATATATATGACATATAAATATATATGTCTGATATATGTATCTCATTGTCATATGTGTAAAATATATATGACATATAAAAATATATATTCATTTACTTATTTTCTCTAATGATACAATTTCTCTTCCCTGTATTGCTGATCATTTTTCTTTTAGACATTTTCTAAAATACCAATACAAATATGCCATTGCTGACTGTTTGCATTTCATTTGTCTAAGTAAATTTACAGGAAGCTAGATGTGGCTATCAGGTACAGGAAGAACTAGAAGATGGGCCACAGGGAAGAGAAGGATTTGCACTGGAGGCCCTTGCAATAGTACACGTCTAAGGTGTAGAGGACTTGAATAAGAATGAGAATGGAAAAAAGGAATAAAGAAAAGATGCAAGAGATGTTGTGGAGAAAGAAGGGTGAGAGACATATACAGAAGAGTAGACAAAATGAGTTTTTAGATGAAGGGACATTTCTGATAATATGACTACATATGTCTTTTTTTTTCTTCGTTAAAACTGGAAGAAACAGTGATTTTTTTTTCTTTTTTTAAATTCCTTTTTTTCTTTCTTGATATGCCTATATAAACATTAAGTGAAACCCCTTCTGGTTTAACACACCAAAAAATGCTTATGAAAAGTTTTTTAAAGTAACAAAATGTTTTATGTATGACTGAGCTGTTGGGAAGGGATATAATTATTCAGGGGAGTCCAAGGATACACAAATATAAGTTAGTACCAAAGCCAATCTTTTCCTTGAAGGTACTTGCTGATTCTTGGTCCCTGGTGGCCTGAAATTTGGGTTATTAAGGGGCCACTGACAACAAACAGGAGACAAAGGCCAAAATCAATGCAGAGTGGGAAGTCAGCTCAGTGTCAGGACCACAAAAGGGTCATAGCCCCAATGGTAAACTGGAAACAACCTCTCTCTATAGACACAGGCATAGAGACACTCGTTTCTCAGCTTTGTGTGAAAAAAGAAAACATAAATAAAAAATAAAAATAAATGGCTCCCCTGAAAATTCTTCACACAAACCTACATTCTCATAATGTGAGGGTCAAAATCCAAACTGCCCTTTTAATTGAAAACCCCAACTCAAATGTAATTTGACTGATTCCTACTTGGCAGTATTCCAAGAAATGGGGCTTAAAATATCAAATATACTCTAGAGAAAGTCACTTCAAGCACGGGCTTAAAGAATTCTCAGAGACAAAGTTCCAAGACCACAATAAAATAAATTATCAGAGAAGGAAACAAACTACAATAAGTGAGAGTTGGCAGTCAGAACAAACATCAGAATATGACTGCAGAGACTAGATTTGGGAATAATCAGACCCAAAATAATAGATGTGTATGTCTAGTATATTTTTTTAAATTGAAGAGTAGTGAAAAATAAGACACTAGCATAATAGACTATTAGAATCCGCCAGCTAGATATAAAACTGAGCCAAATAGAGATTCTAGAAATTGAAAAAATCACAATTAAAAAACAGGAAATTAGACTCAGCAGTGGAGAGATTTAGTGAACTGGAAAATGGAGATTTAAAAAAAAAGAATTAGCAAAGCACTGCCAGATAGACAAAAGGAAAATATGAAATAGAGGTTAAGACACATGAAGGAGACAGTGAGAAAGTCTGCCATTCTCAATCAATTGGTTTAAAAAAAAATCTGAAGGAAACATGAACTATATCAACTGCAAAATGTAGGTACACTTCAAAAGCTGCCCCCTGCTAGGCAGAATATTAATATTAAAAGAGCATGGATAATCTTTGAGTCCCAAAGCTGAGAGGAAAGGCTGCCAACTTTAGGCAAAATATTGATGAAAGGGAAAATCTGACCATCCTTCTCTCCTTCCCTTTCAAACTGATAGTGCCATATTAATATAACTCCAAAAAAAGGGAGCTGAGTCCTAAAGGCCACAAGCCTAAGGATGAACTTGAAACAGGGCCATGGACAGGGAACAGTAAGTCACTTGTGTTCAACAGCACCGATTTTTGTTCTTTCTCCCTGCTGATATAACCCAGCTGGAGTAAGCTAGAAAACTAATAAATCCCCTTCCCTCCTCTTCAGAAGTGGCCAAATATCTGCCTCTAAAAAAAGTCAGAGAACCCCACCCTGTATCTTCTGGGTGTGGACATTCCTCTGCAGAAATAATCACGCTACAGAACAGAAGTCAGCAAGCCTTTTCCATAAAGGATCAGATAGTAAAGGTTTTAGACTTATAGGCCCTATGATCTGTATTGCAACTACTGAACTCTGCCATTATAGTGCAAAAGCAGCCACAGACAAAGAAAAAATAAATAATCATAGCTATGTCCCAACAAAACTTTACTTACGAAAATAGGTGGTAGGCTGCAGTTTGCTAACCCCTGCTGTAAAAGATTACCTAGGAGTACAAATGCTGGCAGCATTCGAGAACAGGAACTGTTCTAAAATAATATTTTAATAATCACTCATTTTAAAACACACTGTTATAATAATTGAGAGAAAATGTGCTATAGTATTCGAACATAGTGATAGTGTAAAGGTCTGGGAAATCTGACCCAGTGAAGCCACAGCCGCCCAATTCATACAACATCCACATGGTGATGCAGATCATACAGACAGAGTGAAATGACTCTGTCCAGGGGCACTACGTGGGATGAAAATGTCATTATTTTCACATAGTGAAAGTCATTTACTCCTGAACTAGAGATGCCCCAAAGCACAGACTGAGGAGAAATTCAAGAAGAAAGCATAGCATTAGAAAGCAGATGGCGTTGAAGGAAGTTTACCAAAGGACCCTTCCCTTTTAATTCTGTGCCTGTGGATTCTCCAGTAAGTTAGAATCCCATCATTTTAAAAATTATAAATACAATATATTACTTTCTTTTGCCATTTTGAACAGAATAAGTACTTGATAAATTCTCACTTTTGCTGGGAGAATTAGGAAATATATAAGATTTTTACATAATAAAATTTGTTTCTGGCTTTGGCTAAATTTTTCATCAATGTAAAATAATAGCTAATATTACTGATTGTTTACTGTGTCCAGGCACTCTTCTAAACACTCTACATATGTTATCTTACTAAAGCCTTGTAACTTAACAAGGTGGGCAACTAGACAGATTTGCAAGGTATGTGTTTGACCAGTGACAGCCACTGAAAATGTTAATTTGCTTTCCTCACTACCCCCCTACTCCAAAATGTCCTAGATCAAGTTCAATGAAGAACTTGCCAGAGTGGGACCAAAGGAAAAAATCAGAGTAAACTAAGAACAGTTCGTCTTCCCTACCTCCATTCTCTTGCTAGGAGAAAGGTAAAATTAAGATGAGCTAAAGAACAGGAAGAGATCTTTTGGGGTCAGATTCAAGTTCCTGGATGTGAAGAGCATGTTGCATGAACCCTGACTCCTGGTTTGGGGGAATCCATTAGACAGCCATACTACAGTGGTACAGTGGCACCACAGGAACAGGAGACTGGCATCTTGCTTACCAGCTTCTGGTCTGCTTAGTCTCAGGGTTTCCTAACAAAACTTAGGGAAAAGCATTTTGGAAGGAAGGGATGGGTATTGGCAGAAGAGGGCAAGGCTTAGCCGCAAAGCTACTCTCGCCACATACACACCATGTCTCCTGAGAGGTATAAACAATTGGATCACAATAGGGACATCAAAAGATGGGTAGGGATGGAAGGGAAGGCTTGTGCCAAATCGACCGCATGCATCAGAGGCACATGCATGGGAGTTGTAAGTAAGATGGCTTCAGATGGAAGATGCATCGTAAAACTTCACAGAAACCGCAGATGCCTAGACAGTGGCTCAGGGCCATGTTCATCACCATCCAAATCTATAGGTCCCCCACATCAGGAGATATTGATGAAATTGATGGATGGTGATGATCAGCTTTGGAATGTGCAGCAAACTAGCCATCACCAACATACAGGTAGCCAAAAGAAACCTGCTTCCCTAACACCAAATCTACTTTCCTCCCTCCAGATACAGTGAAAGGAGAGAGGAAAACATTCCACATCCTTTTCTTCCATAAGTAGCTCCCAAGTGAATGTGTGTGTCAGTTCAGATCCTCCTGGAAGCAGATACCAAGGCAGAATTAGATCTGCAAATGATGAATTGGGGTAAATGACTATGAATAATAAAGGAAAAGGAACAGGAGTAGGAGGGAAGGGGCTTCAGACCATGATGCTCATCTGCGACCTATGAAAAGAAAGAGGAAGGGAAGAAAAGTGGTAAGGCAAAGCTCCAGACTGTGATGCAGATCTGAGAGTCTTGACCAGGTCAACAAGGCACCCCAGAGCAAAGTTATCCCATTAGAGGAATCCCATTTTGGACAAGAATGGCTAAGCTCTAGTACCCCTGCCATGCTCAGTTACTGTCTGAGAGCAGCCCAGAGACCATATAGCCTCATCACGCTCACTTCAATGGACCCCAAACCTGCAGCATCTAGAGGCTGTCAACTGACTCTTCTCTTTGCAGAGTGTTCCCACTTCAAGGAAAATAACAGCAGCATACACCAATAGCTGCCACAGGATCTGTTCAGTTTATCCTGGGATGGCTGTATAGGCTTCAAACTTTGACATTAGAGTGAAATTATAAGGATTTTTCTCCAAGCCAGGGTTAATAATAAGATCAGTCACAACCTATTCCCATTCAGCAAGTTATAGAAAATAATAGAATGCCTGGTTCATCTGTTCTACGTCAATCGATTTTCACATTCACGTCCTCCTGCCTCTTTCGCATTCCTACCATTCAACCACGTTTGTCCCATCAACACCCACTCTGGGAATCAAGACCTCTTTCAGACAGACAGCAATGCAGATAAATTATCATTTGGACATTGCTTTTCGTAGTTGAAAAAATGCTTTGTGAATTCTTTTGACTGGTTTCTGTCTTAACTATCTCATTCATGTTAAAAGAATAAAAATGTAGTCAAGAAACAGATATCACCCCTAGTTTGTGATAGATCCCAAACCAAGCACACAGTGATATGAATTCTGGAATACTGTTATTTGACTTAATCATGGAGGCCAGACGAGGTTTAATCAAAAAAATGGCCCAAAGTTGAGATCTGAAAAGGGGAAGAAAGATCATTCCGGGCAGAAGAATCAACTTATGCAGTGGCCCTCAGTGACTTTAGAGTGTAGACTTTAGTGTCACTGAGATGAAGGAGATGGGTGAGAGTCAAACTTTCTTAGGAGTTTTCATTATTCTAAGAGTAACTTTGGGGTTTTAATAGGAGGACTGGAATAAAGGGACATTATATGGTCAGATTTGTACTTTGAAAAAAATCCCTCTGGATGAAGAATGGAAAACAGATGGGAGAATGGATGAGGAGCTCAGAGAAGGTTAGGTGTAATATTATTTTAGTAGTAGTAGCAGTTCAAGTGAGAGATGTGGCTATCTTGAACTAGAGTGTGGATATGGAATAAAAATTAGATCATTTCAAAATATGATTAAATGACAAAATATCCAAAATTCAGTGGTGAATTAGATATGGAAACTGAAAAATTAAGGTGTCAAGATAACTCCTAAATTTCTAGTTGGCACAACTGGATGGATGATAATTGCAATCACTAAAATAATAAATACCAAGAGAGAATCAAGTTGGAACAAGGCTATAAGTTCAGAATTGAACAGTTTACCAGTTAGGAATCTTTTAGTTGAAAGTGATTAAAAAGCCCAACTCAATCTAGCTTAAACAAAGAAGGGAAGTTATTGGCTAATGTAATTGTAAAATATACAAAAAGGGCTGACTTCAGCAGTGGCCTCATTCTGGAATAAAATGATGCCTCCAGGAGCCATTCCTTAGTTCTGTGTCCAGAGTTGGTTCCTGTTGGTGGGTTCATGGTCTCACTGACTTCAAGAATGAAGTTGCGGACCTTCACGGTGAGTGTTACAGCTCTTAAAGATGACACAGACCCAAAGAGTGAGCAGCAGCAAGATTTATTGTGAAGAGCGAAAGAACAAAGCTTCTACAGCATGGAAGGGGACCCGAACAGGTTGTTGCTGCTGGCTGGGGTGACCAGCTTTTATTCCCTTATTGGCCCCGCCCATGTTCCATTTCTGTCCTATCAGAGTGCCCTTTTTTCAATACTCCCTGCATTTGGCTACTTTTAGGATCTTGCTGATCGGTGCATTTTACAGAGTGTTGATTGGTGCATTTTACAGAGTGCTGATTGTTGCATTTTACAATCCTCTTGCTAGCTACAGAGCACGGATTGGTGCATTTTACAATCCTCTTGCTAGCTACAGAACACTGTTTGGTATGTTTTTACAGAGCGCTGATTGATGCATTTTACAATCCCCTTGCGAGCTACAGAGTGCTGATTGGTGCATTTTACAATTCTAGCTACAGAGTGCTGATTGGTGCGTTTTACAATCCTCTTGTAAGACAGGAATGTTCTCCAAGTTACCAACCCAAATGTCCATCAATGATACACTGGATTAACAAAATGTAGCACATATACACCATGGAATACTATGCAGCCATAAAAAAGGATGAGTTCATGTCCTTTGTAGGGACATGGATGTAGCTGGAAATCATCATTCTGAGCAAACTATCACAAGGACAAAACTAAACACCGCATGTTCTCACTCATAGGTGGGAATTGAACAATGAGAACACTTGGACACAGGGTGGGGAACATCACACACCGGGGCCTGTTGTGGGGTGGGGGGAGGGGGAAGGGATAGCATTAGGAGATATACCTAATGTAAATGACGAGTTAATAGGTGCAGCACACCAACATGGCACATGTATACATATGTAACAAATCTGCACATTGTGCACATGTACTCTAGAACTTAAAGTATAATAATAATAATTTTTTTAAAAGTTCTCCAAGTCCCCACTTGGCCCAGGAAGTCCAGCTGGCTTCACTTCTCAGTTCTACTTCCTCTATGTTGGTTGCATTCTCAGACTTTGCAAGGTGGCTTCCGGTGGCAGCAGGCTCACATCATCACAAGAACTAGTTCAGTGAAAGAGGAAAGTCTCTTCTCAAAATGTCAAACAAAAAAATGCAAAACCAAATATCCTCAGCATTTATAGTCTCAATTTGGGTATATGCTCAATCCTGAACTATTCACTGTGGTGATGAAATATGCTAATTATACCCCGGACCCTGAACTTAAGGCATTTTCAAAAAGAAGTTTATGGATGAGGGCTGGGCGCAGTGGCTCACACCTGTAATCCCAGCACTTTGGGAGGTTAAGGCAGGCGGATCACGAGGTCAGGAGTTCGAGACCAGCCTGGCCAACATGGTGAAATCCCGTCTCTACTAAAAATATATATATACAAAAATTAGCCGGGCGCAGTGGCAGGCACCTGTAATCCCAGTTACTCGGGAGGCTGAGGCAGGAGAAGTGCTTGAGCCCGAGAGCAGGAGGTTGCAGTGAGCCGAGACCACACCATTGCACTCCAGCCTGGGTGACAGAGCGAGACCCTGTCTAAAAAAAAAAAAAAAAAAAAAAAAAAAAAAAAAAAAAGAAAAAGAAAAAAAAAAGTTTATGGATGAAAGTGGAGGAGGATTACATATCCCAACAAAGAATCAGCTACCATTGCCACAAAAAGGATAAATGGATATTGGGCAGCAAAAACAACATAAAATTATCTCTTACAGCTGAACACAATTTCTGAGATTAACAACAGGCTCAATGTGGTGGACATTTAAGAAGATGAAATCCTCATTGATAAAGATGGGGTACTTGAAATGAGCTCCGAGCACTGGCAGAGGTCAAGACTATGGGCTACCAGTAACAACCTGCTTGACACAAAAACACAGACTGCATGGGGCAAAAGCAACATCAGACACATTCAAGAAAATCTGTTTTCTCATGAAGGTTCTCTGGAAAGTCCAACAGATGAATTGCTATAAAACAATCAGAATTGATTTTTTTTTTTTACTTATATTTCATTCACATTACATGATGTGGATTGAGTTAGTCTTAGTTTTTTCATTGTGTTACGGACTCCTCCAGGTATTAATAGAGATATGTAATGACTCTGGCATCTATATGCAGCCTTCTTTATCTCCTGGTGTTTTAGCCAGACCTATTTCTGCCTGAGAAGACTTAATGGTACACAAGAAACCTTTTGGGGGCTCTCGGTATGAATGAAAGTGAAAAATAAATTCCACTAGGGGGTGCTAAGCCTCAAAATAAAAACACAAAACAAGTATCTTTGATTTTCCCATACCTTTCAACAATCATTGAACAACTGTCTTAATCTGGATTCTCCAGAAAGCAGTGCCTGAGACAAAGTTTACGTGCTACTACTTTATTATAGGATGCAATCCCAGGAAGCAAGAGTGAGGGAAAAGGAGAGTGAGGCAGGGGAAATGTAAGAGCTGATACAAGAATACATATTACTGAGCTGGTCATCTCTTGGTATTAAAAACTACTGATTCCTTGATCTTACAGTGCCTTTCACCAACAGGCCATGTAAAAAACTGCTTCATAGAACAGTCCATCCAGACTGGCTCAGTCTTCACCCAGGAAGATATAAATTCCTCTCATATGATTAAGTTGCACATATATTGACACTAAGCATGTCCTTGAGGTCTCACACCTCAGTCTCTACAGAACAGAAGGTGAAACATATGCAGAGAGGACATAAGGCAAAGAGATGTCAGGTTGTTCTCCGGTGGAACTGATCCCACTTCATGCACAGCAGGTTGCTCCACAGCTGGGGCTGGAACAAGAGGCCAAAGACCTCAAAGATAGGTGAGAAGCACCCAAAAGGTGTTTAATACAATAAGAAATGCTCCAAATATATAATGCACAATTAAGAGGGAAGCAAAAGCCTTGCCAAAGATATCATGCCATGAAAACAGCAGTTGGAGGATGTTTGTGCTTTGACTCTAAACATTAATTATCACTTCTCATTTAACAAGACAACTAGTTGTAGGTTTCTTTTGTATTTCCTAGTTGAAAATAGATTGCTTCAGACTTGCTAGTCATCTTAGAAATTAGATTTCTTCTTTTTTTCTAAATTAATTTTGTTTACCTTTGCCAAATCAACGACATATTATAATTGGCTGAATAAACAGTGTTGTTTGTTTTAAAGAATTAGGATTTTTGTTTTTCAAGCTGATTCATTTTGAAATACTTATAACTTTTCCTGCAATATTAGAAACAGGGCCGGGTGTGGTGATTCACGCCTGTAATCCCAGCACTTTGGGAGGCCAAGGTGGGTGGATCACTTGAGGTCAGGAAGTTCAAGACCAACCTGGCCAACATGGTGAAACCCCGTCTCTACTAAAAATAAAAAAATTAGCCAGGTGTGGTTGTGGGTGCCTGTAATCCCAGCTACTCAGGAGGCTGAGTCAGGAGAATTGCTTAAACCCAGGAGGCCAAAGTTGCAGTGAGCCAGGATGGCGCCACTGAACTCCAGCCTGGGCAACAGAGTGAGACTCTGTCTCAAAAATAAATAAATAAATAAATATTTTAAAATAAATTAATTAAATTAAGTGCTTTCAAAAGTCAAAACAATACAAAAAAAGTAGACACAAAAGTGTCACATCCTTCTATATTCCCTCTACCTCATTCATCTCCACCCCCAACAATCCCTTGTAGATAACCAGGTTTATTGTTTTATGATTTATACATTCTGTTTCTTCATGTAAATATAGGCAAATATATGTATATTTCATTTTCCCTTCTGCCTTACATGGAACGTAACATACTCTAAATGCAGCTTTTAGAAAATTCCTAATAAGCATATTCCCATATATTTTATCTTTTAGAAAAACAACCCTTTACATAATAAGATTTGATCCTTATAAGAATTACTGTATTTCCTTTCTTCTGAATCGTCACACTCTTTTTTCTGAATCCTTCTTTTCTACCTTTAAGTATATTCAGATCTCTTTCATCAGGAAAACGTAAAAACTAAGTAAGGGCAAAATATTTAGTGGAATATTTTCAAAATTCCATTTATAAAACACTGGTTCCCTAAAACATCAACAGCTGTTCAGAATTGTTTTCCACAATGCAATGCATATCTGCAAACTGAAAGTCCAGAGAAGTACAATAATAGACTGCGTTAATTTAATTAAATATTTCCCCAGCATATTTAATCATGGAATCATTTTTCTGCCAAATACCTGTTAACATCCCATGGAATGAGGAAGTACTCCTGGGAACATTACTCGTCACTCATTTGAATCAGGTCTTTTTAGACTACCAGTCATTCCTTATTGCTAAATGCAGTAGGCTTTCTAGAGGTCTTACTCTCTTTGCCTTGCTCCCAGTATTACAATATCTGGTCAAAATGGATTATTCCGTTTCCCCAATCGCTCTCACACTTTTCCTCATGCAGTTAACTCTTCCTGGGTGCCTTTTATTATAAGATCACTAACCTTTTGAAATCCTAACAGTCCTTCAATGTCTGTCGATGCCACTTCTTCCATGTTGGCTTTTAACTTTTTTTTTTTTTTTAGATGGAGTCTCGCTCTGTCAGCCAGGCTGGAGTGCAGTAGCATGATCTCAGCTCACTCCCTGCAACCTCTACTTCCCGGGTTCAAGCGATTCTTCTGTCTCAGCCTCCCTTGTAGCTGGGATTACAGGTGCCTGCCACCACGCCCGGCTAATTTTCGTATTTTTAGTAGAGACAGGGTATCACAATGTTGGCCAGGCCGGTCTCGAACTCCTGACCTCAGGTGATCCGCCCACCTCAGCCTCCCGAAGTACTGGGATTACAGGTATGAGCCACTGAGCCTGGCCTTAATTTTTTAACTTAAGTTAATTTTAGCTATGGTCGAAACGATCTTGTATTTCATTGTGTATTTATCAAAAAACATATATTGTCTATATAGTGTTTGGAAAACATTTGACAGGGATTAAAATCTTTTATATCTACCAGTATATTCTGAGAACTTGATACTTCGGCTTGAGGGAACCCTACTTATTGTTGGTAGATCCCAATATCATTACCAAAGAGGCATGCAACCTGGAAAAAGTAATCTAAAGTAGTCATAAGAAAGTATCTTCGGCCGGGCACGGCGGCTCACGCCTGTAATCCCAGCACTTTGGGAAGTCGAGGCGGGCGGATCACGAGGTCAGGAGATCGAGACCATCCTGGCTAACGCAGTGAAACCCCGTCTCTACTAAAACAATACAAAAAATTTAGCCGGGCTTGGTGGCGGGTGCCTGTAGTCCCTGCTACTCGGGTGGCTGAGGCAGGAGAATGGTGTGAACCCGGGAGGCGGAGCTTGCAGTGAGCCGAGATCGCGCCACTGCACTCCAGCCTGGGCGACAGAGCCAGACTCCGTCTCAAAAAAAAAAAAGTATCTTCACTGGAGAATTACTGTGAGAAATAGAAATAACTTTGCTCATGATAGCCTATTTGTGATTGTTCCTTAACATTCTTAATAAATGACTAAAAAGAGTTGCGATGTAACAGACCAGATTCTAATCCTGATTTTGTCAATACCTTGAACACATCATTTCATCTCTCCAGGTCTCCCCGCCCCGTTCCTGCCTAGAGCTAGGTGAGGAAGCTTGTGCCCTCTGACTCCAAGCCAACCTGAGTATTTAAGTCCCCGGCCTGTCGCATCTTGGGTGGGTTTAGGCCCATTCCGTATGTGGCCACTAGCTGGCAGGATTGCCACATGGTGTGCTTGGCCACTCCCCATCTGCACCTTCATCTTTTCCAGGAAGGATTCGCCCTCAGGCTGATTCTGGACCAAAACAAACAGAACATTCCACCTGGCAGCAGCCAAGTCCCCAGCACTATTGTGCCAAGGAGACTCTTTGATTTGCCTCAAGCCCAGAGAATAAACTACGATTCCAGGGGACAGCTGACTCCAGCCCATCTACCATGCTCCAGTAGAGACCTTCAGGTGACCCAGGTCAACACCAAGCCACCCTCTGGAGGATCTGATGCTGCCTCAGAAACAACACCTCATGCCTCATCAGATACTAATGGAAATGTGGGATACAGGCTTTTAATATGTGGCAATCACATTAATTTCTCTGATCCTCAATTTATTGCTTTGTAAAATGAGTGTGAGCTGGGTTTCTGAACTGTGTCTCCCAATGCTACAGGCAGTGTAGGATCCTGGGAAGAATATGGTGTTTTTGAACACAGATGTGCTTTTGTGTTTTTGTTTTTGTTTTTGTTTTGTTTTTTTGACAAAGTCGCTCTGTCACCAGGCTGGAGTTCAGTGGCGTGATCTCTGCTCACTGCAACCCCCGACTCCCTGGTTCAAGCGATTCTCCTGCCTCAGCTTCCTGAGTAGCTGGGATTACAGGCGTGTGCCACCACGCCCAGTTAATTTTTGTATTTTTAGTAGAGACGGGGTTTCACCATGTTGGCCAGGATGGTCTCGATCTCCCGACCTCGTGATCTGTCCGCCTCGGCCTCCCAAAGTGCTGGGATTACAGGCGTGAACCACCGCACCCGGCTGATGTGCTTTAAATCCCATCCTTGCCATTTATATGATTCTGATGGGTTCAGGACACATTACCCCAAGGTATAGCAGCTTGGTATCTGAGAAAACAGCAGAAGCAGGAAAGTCTCTCATTTTCTCCTCACCTTTCCCCAAAGCAGGTGATAAGATCCTCATTCCAGGGGTATCCTCCTAATGTCCAGAGAAAAGGAACTACTCTACCTCTGAAGAGATAGAGAATAATCTGAACAAACAGACCTTGTTAAGTTTCCCCAGTTTGTTACCATTACATCATACCCCCTTTGTCCGATACTTCACCACAACTGTCCATTTCTTCATCAAACTTAGTATAAAAATCTGTTTCCTTGTGTCTTTGGGTTTTCATTTCTGAAAGTTCCTGTGTCACATAAAACTTGTATTACAT